>NC_000021.9:9527143-9848505 GCF_000001405.40 Homo sapiens
GAATTCCCCACTTCAACCCCAGAAAGGTTTAATGCATTCTGTCTTTATATAATTTCAAATTTTATTTACATGAAAGCATACAATATTTATTATTTAGTATCTGCCTTCTTTCCTCTAGTATATGACAAAAATTCACTTTTTTTTTTTTTTGTACAAAGGAATGACAATCCTTCAATTGTAAAAACTAAACATGCCACCCAACTAATCACATGCCTTAGGGCATATTTCTGAAAAATAAGATACATATTTTAAAAGCAACTTTATTAAAACTCAGGGCTATTAAAGTATATATACAAATACAACACTAAAAAATAAAGTTACGTTTCCAGTCCGGGCTCAGTGGCTGATGCCTGTAATCCCAGCACTTTTTGAGGCCGAGGCAGGCGGATCACGAGTTCAGGAGATTGAGACCATCCTGGCTAACACGGTGAAACCCCGTCTCTACTAAAAATACAAAAAATTACCTGGGCTTGGTAGCCTGTGCCTGCAGTCCCAGTTACTCGGGAGGCTGACGCAGGAGAATGGCGTGAACCCGGGATTCGGAGCTTGCAGTGAGCTGAGACCATGCCACTGCATTCCAGCCTGGGCGACAGAGCGAGACTCCGTCTCAAAAAAAAAAAAGCTTCTGCAAAGCAGAGGAAGCAATCAGTAGAATGAAAAAACAGGCCGGGCGCGGTGGCTCACGCCTGTACACCCAGCACTTTGGGAGGCTGAGGCGCGCCGATCATGAGGCCAGGAGATCAAGACCACCCTGGCTAACATGGTGAAACCCCATCTCTACTAAAAATACAAAAAAAGTGTCCAGGCGTGGTGGCAGGCGCCTGTAGTCCCAGCTACTCGGGAGGCCGAGGCAGGAAAATGGCGTGAACCCGGGAGGCAGAGCTTGCAGTGAGCGGAGATCGTGCCACTGCACACCAACCTGGGTGACAGACCGAGACTCTGTCTAAAAAAAAATAAATTAAATTAAAATTTAATAAAAATGAAACAACCCAGATAATGGAAGCAAGTATTTGCAAACCATGCATCAGGCAAGGGGTTCATACACAAAATATATAAAGAACTCAAACTACTCAAAAGCAAACATACAAATGATCTTATTAAAGAAATATACCCCAAACCTTTGTCCCCCACCATTATTTCCCTACCTTCTTTTCCCGGCGGCCTTTGGCCCCCTCCCTCTCACCACTCTTTTTCTTTCACCATCTGCCCCCAAACTTCTTCATCATTTTTTGCCCACCCTCATTTCACAAAGCTGCCTCTACTCTCCTGCTCAACACCCTTTTCCCCATGCATCTACCCAAACCCTTTCCCCAGTTTCTTCCCACTGTCTTTTCCCCTTATCCCTGGCCAGCCTCTTTTTCCCCAACCCGCTCTCATCCATCTCTTTTGCTCTCTCAACCATCTCTTTTGCTCCTTTATCTAAGCAAAAACATTTTCCCCCGTCTTTTCCCAAAACCTTCTCTCCACTCCTGCTGCTCACTACCCTCTTTCCCCGCTTCATCCAACCAAAAACTGTTTTCTTCATCGTCTTTCCCCCCGTTCCTCCTTGCCATTCTCTTTCCCTTCTCCATCTACCCAAAAACATTTCCCCCGTCTTTTCACAAAGCCTTCTCCCCACGCCTATTCACCTCTCTCTTTCCCCCTCCATCTACACACCAAAACTTTCCCCACCACCTTTTCAAAGTCTCCCCCCTTTACCACTAGTGCTGTTTTTTCTCCTACCCTGCTTGCCACCCTCTTTTTTCCCCTCCATCTACCCCAAACTATTTTTCTGTTGTTTTCCCAACCGCCATCCCTGCTACCTCTCGCCACCCTCTTTCCTCCCTCCATCTATCGAAACACTTTTCACCCACCGTCTTTTCTTTCTTCACTGTCTTTCTTTTCTGCCACTGTCTTTTCACAAAACCTTGTCTTCCTCCTGCTGGCTACCCTCTTTTTCCTTCTCCCACTTGCTACCCTCTTTTGCTCAACCCAAAAACTTTTCTCCCCCACTGCATTTTCTCCACACTGTCTTTTCACAAAACCTTCTCTCCCTACTGCTCCACCCGTTTTCCCCCATCACCTCCCTCTCTTTCCTCCGCCCACTTGCCACCCTCTTTTCCCCCTCCATGTACCCTTAAACTTTTTACCCACCGTCTTTCTGCAAAACCTTCCTTCCCTCCCACTCCCCACCCTGTTATTACACCTCCATCTACGCAAAAACCTTTTTCCCCACCATCTTTTCACCACCATCTTTTTTCAATTCCTTCTCTGGCTAAGCTATCCTTTTTTCCCTTTGGCCCTAACTACCCTCTTTGCTCCCCTCTATCTATCCCAAAACTGTTTTCCTTCTCCTACCTCTCCAGCCGCGATGCTATCTCTCCGTCACTGCCAACAACTGCAATGAGGCGAGCCGCGCTCCCGCGGCTCCAGCCTCCAGCATATAGCCACCGAATCCTGATTCCTAGTCCTCTACGTTGGGCAATGAGCAACTCGACATGAAGATACAGGAACCTGAAAAAAAGTGATCGCACTTCAGCATCATTTATGTACTGCGGTAGTGCCCATGGAGGTTCCTGGACTGCATGTCTTGATTGGATGAGAAAAAAACCTCCAGGCTTACTCTGATTGGACTTTATGATCATGTTCTGATTGGATGAGAGCAAGTCTTAACACAACCAATCACAGCATGAAAATAAAGTCCAATCAGAGTAGGCCTAGAGGTTTTTTTCTCATCCAATCAAGACATGCAGTCCAGGAACTGCATTTGCATAACCTCATATATAAAGGATGCTGAGGTGGCGTCAGGTCATTTCAGACTCTTCTGTGTCGAGTGGAGGAGCAACTCTGTGCCCAGCTTAGAGGACTGGAAGAGGCCGCAATCTTCCGCCTGCTGGAGGGTGGAGGATGGATGGAGCCTGGAACCTGGGTCACTACCTCGCTGCAGTTGGTGGTGGCGATAGAGCAGTAGGAGAGCATTCGGCAGCAGGAGCTTCTCCTGCTGGGCTGGAGGACTAGAAGGAAGAGGCACTGCCACATGCTGGAGGCTGGAACCTGTGCCACCATGGCTCGCCTCGCTGTGGTTGGTGGTGACATCGGAGACTGCAGCTCAGCCACAGTGGTAGAAATGTGATGGTGTAGGTGAGTTTTTCCGGGCCTGCCCTGTATGCCTCTGGGGTCAAGGGTTGGGTGTCCTATTGGGGTTCACTGCTAGAGGCTACCATGCCTGTGGCAGTGGTCTGGTTGGGGACACTCTCCGGGGTTGCATTGCTGGTGGTGGGGCAGGTTGCCTGGCTATCTGGGGCTATACTGCCTGTGGTGGCAGGGGTGGTGGGGGGAGGCAGATTGTGTACAATAGCTTGTATTGCTGGTGGCTGGGGAAGGATTAGGGGCGCTATTTTCTGCTGCACTGCCCGCAGCAGGGAGTGGGTTGAGTGGAGTTATCCAGGGCTACAATGCTGGCGGGGGGGTGGTTTAGGGGCGTTGTTGGGTGCTACACTGTGACTGGAGGGGTGCACCATTAGGAGCTGAACTGCCTGTGGCTGGGTCAGATTGTGGGCACTATTGGGTGGTATGCTCCCTGAGGTGTGGGGGGAGTGTTTTTGTCAGGGGGTATTGGGGTTACATTGCCTGAAACTGTAGGGTGTGTTGGATGTGTTATCCAGGAGCTACACTGCTAGTGGCAGGGGGCAGATTAGGGGTGCCATGGGGGCTACACTGCCAGTGGCATTGGCGAGCTGGTGAGGTGGCAGCAGCAGTGACAGCAGTGGCTTCCTTCTTCTCGTAGCTTCCAAGTAAGGTATCGTTTTCTTCTTCTCAGACTCCAGACTCTAGAAGGCGATTTTCTTCTGCTCGAGCTGGATTGCATGGTAGGGCCTCCACACCCACTGTGGTTTCCCAGCCTGCCCTCATGCTTTGTGTTGCGAAGATCACGTGGGACTACCGGGCAGGGAGTAGTAGGCACCATGGGGGAAGTGGGAAACAGGGCACTGTTGGTGGAGGTGTCAGGAATGGGAACCAGCCCTTTGGTGGGGAGGGCTGGCTGGGTCTTAGTTTCTCCTACGCAGGCTCCCGGAGGAGGACAGCCTTGGTGGGCCCAGCAATTCCTGGCCAGGTGTACTTGGCCAAGGGCCTGTTTCAGTGAAGGCACTCACTCCCACCCCAGGCCCCAGTTCCTGGCCAGCTTTTGCCAGAAGGAGAGGTTGGACTTTGGAAGGTGGGTGTGAGTGCCTTCAATGAAACTGATCCCTGACACCCAGTCACCAGCCTAACGAGGTGAGGCTCTAATGGTTCCAATCCCTGAGTCCTGTTTTGGGCTTTTCTGGCTTTGCCTGCCCAGCTGCTCCAAGCCACTCTGAAGAAGGAGAAGGAGGAGTCGCCTGTGGTATGGTTGAGCAGATGCCGTGGCTCTGCAGCTTGCCTCATGCAGTTGGTGGTGGAGATGGAGACCATAGCTAGAATGGAGCGGTAGGAGGGCACCCACGGGGGCTTGGTGGTAGGAGCCTGGTAGAGTGGGCTGGTACATTGAGGGTGACTGGTTGTATTGGCATTGGTGCTAGTGGTGGTAGCAGTAGGAAGTCTGGGGGCCGGGAAGGGGGAGTAGGAGCACTGCAGGGCCCATCCCGTTCTGGGGTGGGGAGGAACCTGTGGGTGCTGTAACGAAGGTCTCGGTGGCAGTGGTGGTGGTACACCTAGGGCAAAGAGGAGTCCTCCCCCTTCTCCTGCAATCTCTGGAGTGTGCCCTCCTCCTGCCGGTGTCTGAGCTAGGCATGAGTGGCAGCATTAACTCATTCTTAACAAAATTTAGTGACTATTTGTGTATCCTTTTGCTTGTTTTTTGTTGTGATACTCTTGGAGTTACTCAAATTTTATGAATCGAGGAGGGGATAAAAAGTATTATATGATAGGCCTTCTAATTCCCACACCTGTTCTTTTTCCTTTCTTCCATTGTGTTTTCTTCTCATTTTCTTGTTCCTCTTCATTTTCTTTTGCTACTGCTTCTATTTCATGTTTCTATTCTTGTTTCTCCTCCTGTTTTTGTATTCTTATGCCAAGCAATGGCCTTAACCACCAAAACTGAGTTAAAAATAAAATACTTGTCACTGTTGTGTTTTTTAAATAACTGATCCCTTACTATGTTTTAGAGATGAGGAAAAAAAATGAGTTGTATAATTAGTTACTTGAATAGTTATGCTTTCATAATTGTGTTAACCCATTTATGCCTAGTGTTCCATGCTAAGCATGTGGAAATTACTTATATCCTACTGTTAAATGTCATCGAAAAGGTCTGATTTTTCACTTATGCAAAAATTCAAAAAATTGCAACCTCTGGCATAAATGGACTAATGTGTTGTGTTATTCAAGGAATCAAAAAATGAAGCATCACATAAAATATTGGTAGCAAACAGCCATTTCACCTCTCTCACACTTTTTTCTGGAGCTATGCAAGAGTCACAGGGGTAATAAGTTCTAATTTATGAGATGATTAAGTGAACCATATTCCCTTAATTTTTTTTCTGCCACCATTTTCAAGAGTATTATCATCTGCATGAACAAAGGGTTCATCAACACATCTTTGCAAGAGGAAAAAGAAGAGGGGAGAATCATGTGTATAATGTTGTAAGGCAAACATTCACAACCAAAAACAAGGTTTTATTAACTTTCACCTTTAAGAACCTGCAGTGTTTAGCCCTCTTTGATTCCTAGTATTATTACCTTTGGTATGAACTCTTTTATTAAACTGATCACTCTAGAAGTTTATGCATTTTTTATCATTTTTCAAGCCAACAGAAATGTGTAATGCCTATAATTCTGACACTTCAGTTATTTTTAAGGCTATGAGCATGTAAGATACTGTTGGTATATGGAAGAATATGTATAAATACCACTAGGTAGCTTATTTTGAAGAGTTAGTATTTAAGTTTTTGTCCAGAGTAGATTGGTTGCAGTTTCTTAGGTGTGTTTCTTAATATGTTGCCTCAAAGTTTTAAAGCATGTAGAAATTTGAATACAGTTTAACTTCATATAGTCCTTTGTTGATAGATTTAATATTTCTAAAAACTAAAGACATCACAGCTCCCTTTAAGATTCAGTAATATTAATAAAATTTTAGAAATATAGGGTTAGAATCCAACAAATTCAGAGGAAAATTGTTAAATTATATAGCTGTAGAGCAAGAATGAAACCCAGGTTCTAAGCTCTAAGGGGGCCATGAGGTACCGTACAAGTACTTCAGTGACTGGGCATAGATTCAGCAAAATTACAGGATGGTTAAGAGAGTGAGCTGTGGAGCCCAACTCTATGTAACATGAATTTTTAAACTGCATGGTGCCTCAGTTTATCCATCTTTACAGTGGGGACTGCAGTAAGTTTTTCTTTTTCTGCTCAGTTGTCTGTCATGTTGCGACTGTTCCCTAGTCTGTCTTGTTGCCACTCAGTGCCCACATGACAAGACCTAAGGTAATTTCTGACAGCCTGGGACTCCTTAAAGAAAAACAGAAGGTGCTACAAAACCCATTTTAGGAGAAACCTCTGTTGTCCTCATGGAACCCCAAGAACTTCAGGCAGACGGGTCTCTCTCAAAATCTAAAGCTCTCCTCTGTTTTGCTTTGTGTTATCTGACCTTTTAGGTTTGGGTGGGCATCAGAAATCAGTCAGGGAGAGAGATCTAAAGAAAGTTGTGGATATGAAGATGTATTTATGGTAAGAAAAGTTGTGAAGGAAAGAAATGTTATATGAGAGGATCTTGTATGGCAAATTTTTGTCCTAAAGTAGAATGACTAATTATGAAAGAGGGAAGTACAGGAAAAGTCAGAAAGTTCATGTCATAGATAGTCTGTGGAAGTTGTGTTAGGGTTCATAAAATGAGAAAGAAAAACTTAACAACTGCTAGATCTTTTCCTGTCTAGAAGTGTTGTGTATATGATGGATATATAAAGGAGCCCTAACTACTTGGCTTAGAAGAAAAGGAAGTCTCTTAAATATTTTGTCAGAAAAATAGAATCTCTAATGCCTTTTATTTAACATGACTTCAGTGATCTTTGGGAAATAAAGACAGTGTTAAAATCATTTTTTAGTAGAGACAGCATTTCTCCGTATTGGTCAGGCTAATCTCGAACTCCTGTCCTCAGGTGATCCTCCCGCCTTGGCCTCCCAGAGTGCTGGGATTACAAGCATGAGCCACTGCACCTGGCCTACAAATAGGTTAAATTATTTTATAAATTAGCTGTTGTTTGTTTTGCCTACTTTCAGACTTCTGGATTTTTTTTAAGTATGAAGGATTTCAATTGTTATATTAATATAAATGCTTAGATAAATAGCACAAACATGAATTTTTTTTTGACAGAGTCTCACTCTGTTGCCCAGGCTGGAGTGCAGTGGCAGAATCTCAGCTCACTGCAACCTCCACTTCCCAGGTTCAAGCAATTCTCGTGCTCAGCCTCCCAAGTAGCTGGGATTACAGGCATATGCCACCATGCCTGGATAATTTTTGTATTTTTAGAGACGGAGTTTCGTCATGTTGTCCAGGCTGATCTCGAGCTCCTGGCCTCAAGTGATCTGCCCGCCTTGGTCTCCCAAAGTGTTGGAATTACAGGTGTGAGCCATCACACTTGGCCAACTGTATTCTTTATGAATTTTTTTACATCAAAAAGCTCATTTGTAATATTTTCTGTATGTATACATGCTATAAAATTTATTTTGTTTTATTTTAACTTTTTAAAAATAGAGATGGGGTCTGATTGTTTTGCCCAGCCTGGTCTTGAATTCTGGGCTCAAGTAATCCTCCCACCATGACCTCCCAAAGTGCTGGGATTACAGGCATGAGCCACCATGCCCAGCCTGTAAAATTTATTGTAAAGGAAAAGGCATATTTTCATTAAGCTGATAATCTTTACATAAATACTGAAGCATGGCATATTTCTTTATTCTACTTGGGCTATTTTGTGTTGCATTAAGAAGAATTTTTTATTTGTTTTTTCTTCTTACTATGCTTGTTTCTGGAATACTCCTTTCCTCCCTTATCTTCCAAACTCTACTACATCTAAATTTATCCTATTTTTCAAGGGTTTGATCACATATTACGTCATCCAGGAAGTGTCTCTCCTATTCCCTCTTCTCCAAAATGTATATTTTCTTTTTCTGGAAACTCTTGATCCTTTGCCTCTAGACCATAAGCCCTTTGTAGGCATGTCTGTATCTGAGTTTTTAAATTTTTTTTTCCTCTTTTCTCACTCCCAGAATAACACCCTGTGCCAAGGAGTAGTAGATACTTGTTGAATGCATAAAAGAGCTTAGCAGCTAGAGTTAGTGTGGATGCTGTAGAAGATGTCTGATACACATATGGCAGTTTGATGCTGAATAGTTTTTGGAAATTAAAAAACAGGTAGAAATTTCACCAACGTCAGTGACTAACATAGCTGTAATTAGTAAATTATCAAAATGTTTCTTTTTTTTTCTTTTTTACAGAGAGGGTCTCTCTCTGTTGCCCGGGCTGGAGTGTGGCGGTGTGATCATGGTTCAGTGCAGCCTCCGAGTCCTGGGCTCACACGGTCCTCCTGAGTAGCTGGGACTACAGGTGTGTGCCACCACACATGGTCAATTTCTTTTATTTTGTAGAAACAGAGTCTCATTATGTTACCCAGGCTGACCTCAGATTGCTGGGCTCAAGAGATCCTCCCACCTTGGCCTCCTGAAGTGCTGGGATTATAGGTGTGGGCCACTGAGCCCAGTTAAAAGCATTTCTTTAAAAAAGAAAAAAAAGTTCTGTTTATTGGGATTTGGGGGAGGAAGAGAAAGTAAATATGGGATTGGTTCATCCTAGACAGCACTCATAGTTCTAGATAATATTAGAAAGCAATAATGTTTTAATTTATATATGCAGGGAATTTCGGAGTAATTTCAATCCTAGGAAAAAACTGGGAGTTAGAAATATGGGACGATTGGCCGGCATGGTGGCTCACGCCTGTAATCCCAGCACTTTGGGAGGCCCAGGCAGGCAGATCATGAGGTCAAGAGATCAAGACCATTCTGGCCAACATGGTGAAACCCCGTCTCTACTAAAAATACAAAAAAAAAAAAAAAAAAAAAAAAAAACTAGCTGTGCATGGTGGCACGTGCCTGTAGTCCCAGCTACTCAGGAGGCTGAGGCAGGAGAATCGCTTAAATCCGGGAGGCAGAGGTTGCAGTGAACCGAGATTGTGCCACTGCACTCCAGCCTGGTGACAGAGCGAGACTCCATCTCAAAAAAAAAAAAGAAATATGGAACAGTTGGTTGATTATAATAGAATTTAGGACTCCCTTTGAAAGAATAATATCAACTAGTTTTATATTAAAAAAATTAAATTCTTAAGTAGATTCGTCAGGAGTAAAGGAAAAGTCAAGATTCCCAACTTATTTGGATTTCTTTCCCCCATTACAGTGTACTCGAGGAACAAAATTTGGGCTGTTTGGCTGTCTTTTTTATTTGTTATACATAAATAAACTGATAATCAAAACCAAATATATTGAGGTTACATTTTTCTTTTCTTTCTTTCTTTTTTTTTTTTTTTCCTGAGACGGAGTCTCGCTCTCACCCAGGCTGGAGTGCAGTTACATGGTCTTGACTTACTGCAAGCTCCACCTCCCAGGTTCACGCCATTCTCCTGCCTCAGCCTCCAGAGTAGCTGGGACTACAGGTGCCCACCACCATGCCCGACTAATTTTTTCTATTTTTAGTAGAGACAGGGTTTCACCATGTTAGCCAGGATGATCTCGATCTCCTGACCTCGTGATCTGCCTGCCTCGGCCTGCCAAAGTGCTGGGATTACAGGAGTGAGCCACAGCACCTGGCAAAGGTTACATTTTTCTAGCAAAATTTGATTCAGATTTATGATGAGAGTCACCTTTATGCTTATAGATTGCCCCTTTACCCCATACTTGGTTGAACTGACAGACATTCTTCTTGCCATTATCACTGTCATACACTGTTCACATTCAGAGTAATTTGTTTTAGGCAATTCATTTCCCTTGGCAATAACATGGAGATTAATGTAATTTTGAAAATGTTTAAGTAGTCATCATCAGGACTTTGAGTTTCTGTTCAAAGATGTTTAACTTTGCATTACTTTTAATATTTTTAAATTCATTTTTAACTACAATAACTTTTATGTATTTGGAGGTATTTGGAATGAAATCAAAACGTGCTATCTAGGAGTTATAACCTAAAATATGCAGAACATTAATATACCTGATGTAGGAGTATATACATTCTGTTGAGGGGGGAGAAAGAAGTTACTTTATATTCACACAAAATCATTTTAATGCATGAAGGAGGATATGCTATTTTAAAATTTGATCTTTCACTAATTGTAAGTAATACATTATTTTTTATATATACTGAAATTCCTGGATGTAATCTACTGAGTTTGCTGCATATTCTTCCAGTTTTTTTTTCTGTGTTTGTATAATTTTCTAAATTATGGGATCATAATATACTATTCTTTTATATACTACTGTTGCAAGTTTGTCTATTTATTTCAGAGTTACCTCTATCAATCATTAACAGCAACTTAAATACCCCATTTCTAGTACATGAAAATACCATAATTTGCCAGTCACGATGACTCACACCTGTTGTCCCAGTACTTTGGGAGGCCGAGCTGGCTGGATCACCGGAGGTCAGGAGTTCAAGACCAGCCTGGCCAACATGGTGAAACCCCATCTCTACTAAAAATACAAAAAATAGCCAGGCATGGTGGCATGTGCCTGTAATCCCAGCTACTTGGGAGGCTGAGGCAGGAGAATCACTTGAAACTGGGAGGTGGAGGTTGCAGTGAGCCATGCCACTGGACTCCAGCCTGGGCGACAGAGTGAGACTCTGTTTCAAACAAACAAAAAAAGAAAATACCATAATTTGCTTAATCAACTTATGGTCACTGGATTTTTTTGTTGTTGCCAGAAAAAGAAAGCTGTAAACAATTGTGTGTGTGTATGACTATTTATGCACATGTACATATGTATATGTATTTTGTGTACTTTATACAAACAGCTTTGTAGGATAGATTCCTAGAAGTGGAGTTGCTGAAATCAAAAGATGTGAATAATGTAGATATGGATAGATATTTATACATTTTCCTTCCAAAAGGTTGTTGTACCAATTTGTAAAGCTACCAATAGTATTCACATATGCCCCATACCCTGGCTAATACTAGATATTACAGTTTAAAATATTTTGACAATTTAGGAACTGAAAAAATGTGATGGCCTTTTGTCAATCACTATTGAGGCTGAACATTTTTTAATATGGAGAAAGTTGTATTTCTTTCTTTTTTTTTTTTTTTTTTTTTTTTTTGAGATGGAGTGTTGCTCTTGTTGCCTGGGCTCCCAAAGTGCTGGGATTACAGACCTGAGTCACCGCACCTGGCCTTTTTTTTTTTTTCTTAGACAGAGACTTGCTTTTGTTGCCCAGGCTGGAGTGCAGTGGCACGATCTCGGCTCACTGCAACCTCCGCCTCCCATGTTCAAGCAATTCTCCTGCCTCAGCCTCCCAAGTAGCTGGGATTACAGGCATCTGCCACCACGCCCAGCTAATTTATGTATTTAGTAGAGATGGGATTTCACCATGTTAGTCAGGCTGGTCTTGTACTCCTGACCTCAGGTGATCCACCCACCTCAGCCTCCCGAAGTGCTGGGATTACAGGGTGCGTCACTGCGCCTGGCCATATGTCTTTTATAAATTGCCTACTTTTGTTCTTTGTTTATTTTCTGTTGGGGTTACTGGTTTTTCACAGGTTAAAAGTTCTCTACATATTCACTTTTTTATTTCTTTCTTTTTCTTTTCTTTTTTTTTTCTTTCTTTTTTTTTTTTTTTTCTGAGACAGAGTTTTGCTCTTGTTGCCCAGGCTGGAGTGCAATGGTGTGATTTCAGCTCACCTCAACCTCTGCCTCCTGGGTTCAAGTGATTCTCCTGCCTCAGCCTCCTGAGTAGCTGGGATTACAGGCCTGCGCCACCATGCTCGGCTAATTTTGTATTTTTACTAGACATGGGGTTTCTCCATGTTGGTCAGGCTGGTCTGAAACTCCTGACTTCAGGTGATCCGCCCACCTGGGCCTCCCAAAGTGTTGGGATTACAGGTGTGAGCCAATGCGTCTGGCCTTATTCACTTTTTTCGTACGTGTGCACATATCCCCCTAGCTATTCTTTTGTAATGTTATGCAATCAGATAAATCCAAACCCAGCACTGTGCTGCTGTGGGACCTTGGGCACATTATTTAACCTCTGTACACCTTAATTTCCTTATTTGTACAATGGAGATAATGTAAATAGCATTAGGCATAATGGCTGGCACAAAGTAAGTAAATAATAAATGTTAGTTGTGACTGTTATTAATTTATTTATGTGACTTTTGTGTTTTGTGCTCTACTTAAGACTTTCCTTGCTCCAAAATGTAAAATATTCACCTAGCTACTAAACTAGAAAAACAAAGTGAGGAACATTATATGCCTCTATGTGTCTTTGCTTTAAAGATGAAAAACAATGTATACATTTTTGCTTGTATATCACAGGATATATGATACTTGGAAACATTGGTTGTCATAGTAGGAAGAATGAGTGAGAGGAAGACTTTTTAACTGCATGTGTTTTTGTATTTTTAAAACAAAGAAGTCCCCAGATTGTATTTAATACTTCAATGGTTTCTTTATTTTCCTTTTCCTTCTCTTTTTAAAACTTCTAATTCTTTGATCCGTCTGGAATTTATTTCTGGTATAAGAAGTGAGACATATTTTGGGGGATAAAATTGTGTGTGAATTCTACCCCATCTAGCTAGTTGTGTCAGCACCATTTAGTGAATAATCTGTTTTTTGCCCCCCTATTAGAATTGCAGCTTTTGTCATTTACTAAATGTGTTTGGGACTATTTCTGATTGGTCTTGTTATTTTGGTCTCTTGTGTATTACCATACACTTTAAATTACTATCATTTTATAATTTTAATACAGATGGGGTTAATTACCTGTTCATTTCTCTTTTTTTTTCAGACTTTGACAATTCTGGTCTATGTGTTCTTCTAGATGAACTTTAGAATCATTCTGTGACATTCAAAAAGAAATCATAGAGATTTTTATTGAATACTGAATATTGATTGGGAATACTGAAATTGGAGGTGAAGTTTGGGGAAATTGACATCTTTATGTACTTTCTGTCCTGTGTTCTAACAGATTTTTATGTGTCTCAGTAGATTTTCAAACTTTGCTTCAAATAAGTCCTGTACAAATAAGTCTTGTATATTTCTTGTTTATTTATTTTAAAAAACATCAGACCCATGAATGGGAGTTTGTTTATTTTATCCAACAAATATTATAGAGAATCAAACAGGTAGTTTTTATTCTAGTGAGAGAAGACAGAATATACTCAATAAAATGAAGTACGTAATCCATTTCAAATTATGATAAACCTATAAATGAACCAAAAGGGTGATGCGATTGAGAGTAACTAGTGGGAGCTTACCTTATATGTAGGGTGGTTGGAAAGACTCTTCTGAGATGACATTTGAACTGAGACCTTAAGTTTGAGGAGGAGCTAGCCACCTGAATGAGCCAGGAACAGCGTTCCTGGAAGAGAGTAAAGAAGGACAAAGGCCCAGCTAGGAAGGACCTGGCAGAGAAGGGCTCCTGAAGAAACTGAAAGGAAACTCATGTTGCTGGGGCCTAATGAGCAATCTGGAAAGTAAGCAGGCCAAATCTAGTAGGGCCTTGGGTCATCGTAAGTAGTTTAGATATGCAGTGCGTAGGAAATCCTTGGGGAATCTGAAGCAGAAGAGTGGCGTGTTCTGATTTAAGGTTTAAAAAGAACACTTGGCTTTTTGAGTTGAGAAAGTATTGAAGTGGGAAGCCCAGTTAGGAGTTTTTGCAGCAAGAGGTAAGGATGGTGGTAGTTAGATGGAGAGGCCAGGGAAGCTTCAGAGTCTGTGTGTGTGTGAGTGTGCGTATGTGTGTGCGTGTGTATAAGGAACAGCTAAACAACTTGCTGTTGGAGTGGGTGCTACTGAGAGCTAAGTACTGCTAGCTGCTGCAGAGGCCGTGTAGAGCAGAACAGAGCTGATC
Organism: Homo sapiens; assembly: GCF_000001405.40. NCBI lineage: Eukaryota > Metazoa > Chordata > Mammalia > Primates > Hominidae > Homo > Homo sapiens. The sequence continues at coordinate 9,541,203 of NC_000021.9, forward strand.
TTTGCCTTCACAGGTGTTTGACAGTTCTGTTCGTTTCTGAGGTGTGTACCAAAATAAAGTAGGCTAAGAGCATTTGACTTTAAGATTTGTGGAGCTCGGGGGTGTTGAGGGGGATGCAGCAAAAAACAGAGTCTGTTAATAACCCTTGTTTTATATTGCTTAATAACCTGTAGTCTCTGTTAGTGGGTCAAAGGAGAGGCAGCAGCAGATGATCTTTAAGGTATCTGTCTTTGAGTTAGAAAAACATAGCTTGAGGAAGTTATGTAGCTTCCCTACAGACTTACAGCTAATAGTAGAACCAGACTTTTAGGTGAGCTCATGCACACATCAAGTCTTAGCACACTGCCTAGTATATGTCTAGAGCTCAATAAATGGTAACTTTTAGTAATACCCACTTAGATATTGTTATATCTATTAATTCAGGCCAAATATCTACATTAAAATTTTTCTTATCTCAATTTCTTTGTTCTTTTGTGTTAATCAGGGAGGGAATTGGCATGTAGTCATCCATTTTGTTTGTGAAATATATTTGTTCTTTTTTTGTTTGTTTATTTTGAGATGAAATCTTGCTCTGTCATCCAGCCTGTAGAGCAGGGGTGTGATTTCGGCTCACTGCAACCTCTGCCTCCCGGGTTCAAGTGATTCTCATGCCTCAGCTTCCTGAGTAGCTGGGATTACAGGTGTGCACCACCACACCAGGCTAATTTTTTGTATTTTTTTTTTTTTGAGATGGAGTCTCACCCTGTCGCCCAGGCTGGAGTGCAGTGGTGCAATCTCTGCTCACTGCAACCTCTGCCTCCTGGGTACAAGCGAATCTCCTGCCCCAGCCTCCCAAGTAGCTGGGATTACAGGTGCACGCCACTACATACACCTGGTTAATTTTCATGTTTTTAGTAGTGTTGGGGTTTCACATGTTGGTCAGGCTGGTCTTGAACTCTTGACCTTGTGATCCTCCAGCCTCAGCCTCCCAAAGTGCTGGGATGACAGATGTGAGCCACCATGTCCAGCCATATTTTTGTATTTTTAGTAGAGATTTCTTTCAATATCGTACTTTATTAGAGGTAGGATAGGTTAACTAAAAAGCTTTTTCCTTAGCTTCCATTTGTTTCTCTGTCTTTAAGTAAGATGTCATGATGTCAAAAGAGGCTGCAAATAAAATACCTTGTCAGTGGCATTCCCCCAGGTTAGATCTTAACCAAAAGGCTGAGAAGCAGTAGCTTTTTTCCCCCCAAAGGGAAGAATGCTTAGGTTATTTTACAGGAGAAAATCCATTCCAGTATAGCACCACTCTGGTCTTGTACAAATTACATAATTCACTTAGATAATTTCTAGTCTTTCCTCTCCTGGATGGTGGACTCTGTAATAAGTTTAGGAGGTCGGCTTTCTTTAAATTATCCCCAGGTTGGAGGATTTTAGGTGTCGGGATGCCCAGGGTGGTTGTCCTTCTTAGCCTTGTCTTACCTAACATACTTTTAGAATTGGTCTAGAGCTGGACAACTTTGTGGGAACTGGAGTGACCTAATTTGCTTCAGTTTAATAACTAATATTTTAGCATTTAAATGTCATAGAGGCATTGCCCTATCCCATACTTTTGTATCAGGAGGTTTCATTATTTTATCAGTTAAAAATTGCATATTTTGTAGGATCCTTTTTCTGCTTTGGTGAAATGTAGGCTTCACCTCTATTGTGATGCTTGGTGGATTCATTCTTGCTCATCTGAAGTGACATCTGCGGTCCTGCCACTGTGAAGTATATTTTTAGCTTTTTTTTTTTTTTTTTTTTGAGATGGAGTCTCGCTCTGTTGTCAAGCTGGAGTGCAGTGGCACGGTGCCAGCTCACTACAACCTCCACTTCCCAGATTCAAGTGAGTCCCCTGCCTCAGCCTCCCGAGTATCTGCGACTACAGGTGTGTGCCACCATGTCTGGCTAAATTTTTTTTGTATTTTAGTAGAGATGGAGTTTCACCATGTTGGCCAGGATGGTCTTGATTTCCTGACCTTGTGATCCATCAGCCTTGGCCTCCCAAAGTGCTGGGATAACAGGCATGAGCCACTGTGCCCGGCCATTTTTAGCTTTTTTTCCAATGTAGCTTAGGCCACCTTGAACACCTTTGCATAACACATTTTGGTTATGCAAAGGTTGTGGGCCAAAAGCCAGGAGTTCCTGCTGAGAGGAAAAATTACTTGTTTTTTGGCAGGTTAGTATTTGAAATTTTGTTGCAAGATTTTCCTGTTGAGTAAATATGTGTGTGTTTATTTAATATGAGAAGATTTAAAAAGGAACTTAAATAGATCAATTTCATTTTGCAATATTTTATTACCTGTTTGCAATATGTAAGAGGCTAGTTCTGGGTTTATCTGTATAATTCAGTTAGAAGTGCTATTGTCTTTTATGACAGTGATGTATAATTATTACTATATTATTCTCATCCTAAAACATTATATGTTGATATGTAAGAGATGAGGAAGTTGCTCATAAAATCTTGATCGGATTTCTTAAACTATTCATAGAATTGTTTTAGTTCATGAGTCAACCATGTAACTACCCTGAGTTAATGAGTTTTGGTGCTAAGAACTGAAATTATAATTTGATACTGCCACTTAAGGTGCTCCCTTCCCCTTCAGTCTGAACTTTAGATTCTTTCATTTCAGTGGGTTTCAAATGTAAAGTATTCTGCCGAGGTATCTTAGTGAACCAGGACTGGAGTGAAAGGTGGAGGGAGGGATGGGGAAAGGCAGGGGGAGCCTGAAAAAATGAATCCTAGGTCTCCCATTCTCACTAGATCAGAATGTTTCTCCATTGTACCTTTTGTACATTTAGCTTTCATTTAAGACTTCTGAGGAAAACATTCTGGTTAAAAAACAAGATCTGAGCACTGTTGCTGTGTATCTCGTGGACAAGTTTTGAGGAAGGAGGTTGTGGTGGTCTCCAGGCTGCAGTTCATGTGACGACAGGAAGGGCTTGCTTTGACCTGTAAATTTGTATGCCGGTAGGGGCTAATTTCCTGACTTTGCTAGTTTTTTTTTTTTTTTCCTTCTGTATTGGGCGAATAGTACTTTTAAATAAAACTAATTTTTTTTGTTTTTTTTGAGATAATAAAGTTGAACTTCATTAAAGTCATACCACAAAACTAGGACAACAGGAAGGATTACTGAAATGAGGGAAAAAATGGAGAAGTCACTTAACTTGTGACTTTGAGTGACATTGTTTGTAATTGTTGAACTCAGGACTCACCATAGCTGAAAGTTAAACAATGTGCATTAAAAAATTGTACCTCATGGGTTTCTAATCATTTAGGCCACTGTTAGAAAAAAGTGGGATGACCCTGGGTTAAAATCTTTTTTTTTTTTGCCTCTGCATTCCACTTATAGCTTTATTTATTTGGGATGTCTGAGTTGGGAGGAGAGCACAGAGATAGATCACTTAAAGCATGTTTTAGGACAGCAGATCAGAATTAGTTGGAAAACTTTTACAAAATGCATGAACGTTCATATAGTGAAATACTCTGTTTTTGGACAGAGTTTCATTCTTGTTGCCCAGGCTGGAGTGCAATGGCACGACCTCAGCTCACCGCAACCTCTGCCCCTGGTTTCAAGCGATTCTCCTTCCTCAGCCTCTCGAGTAGCTGGGATTACAGGCATGTGCCACCATGCCTGGCTAATTTTTGTATTTTCAGTAGAGACGGGGTTTCAGCATGTTGGTGAGGCTGGTCTCGAACTCTTGACCTCAGGTGATCCACCCGCCTCAGCCTCCCAAAATGCTGGGATTACAGGCGTGAGCCACCACATCTGGCCCATGTAGTGAAATTCTCTTTAGCAATAGAAAGAACCATAGATGCATGAGAATAATTGCCAAGATGTATTTTTTTTGGGGGGGGGGGGGCGGAGTCTCGCTCTGTCACCCAGGCTGGAGGTTGGTGATGTGATCTTGGCTTACTGAAAGCTCTGCCACCTGGGTTCATGCCTTTCTCCCCACCTCAGCGTCTTGAGTAGCTGGGACTACAGGCGCCCACCACCATGCCTGGCTAACTTTTTTGTATTTTTAATAGAGACGGTGTTTCACTGTGTTAGCCAGGATGATCTTGATCTCCTGACCTCATGATCCACCCTCCTCAGCCTCCCAAAGTGCTGGGATTACAGGCATGAGCCACTGCACCAGGCCAACCGAGATGTATTAAGTAATAAAAGCAAGATACAGAACAGTGTGTTTCTAGTATGCCACCATTTACATAGGGGAAAAAGTGTGATTGTATGTATGTGTGGGATATTTCTAAAGGACACTCTAGAAACTAGTAACTTTGGTTGCCTTCTGGGAGGGTAACTGGGTAGCAGCTGGAGGAGAAGGGCAAGGAGATTTTTCACTTTGTATTCTGTGGTACTTTTAAAAACTCTTAAGTCCTGCATATAATCTTTATTTCTAAAAAGATCAACCCTCCCCACAGTGCCACATGTTGGCTTTTCCCCTTCCACCTGGAGCAGTTGCAGATGTATAGATGAGGAGAAAGCTCCTCAGGTGGTTTTAATGTGTGGTCTCACGGAACATCTCACCTTCTCCTAGTTCACTACCTGCTGAGAAGGCCGCAAAGCATTGCAGAAAACATTAGTTTTTCCCATTTTGCCACAGACAATTTTGTGATATTGGAGGAATTATTGACTTTCTCTGATCTTCACATTTCTCACCTGTCAAATCAGTGTTAGTTGGGTAATCTCAACCTTCCAATCCTTAAGATTTGCTGACCTCCATGCCTCGGGCCTTGGAAGGGAACAGGGAGAAAACAGACTGAGGGACAGCTGGTCAGTCTTCTGACTCTTCTCCTGGTCAACTTTCACAACAGCAGGAAATGTGACATCAGGAGAAAGGATGATATATTTATTTAAAATATTTATATATTACATGGTACCACATGCAGTTTTTAAAGTTCTTTTTTTTTTTTTTTTTTTTGAGATGGAGTCTGGGCCCCTCACCCAGGCTGGAGTGCAGTGATGCCATCTCACCTCACTGCAACCTCCGCCTCCCAGCTTCAAGTGATTCTCCTGCCTCAGCCTCCCAAGTAGCTGGGTTTACAGGTGTGTGCCACCATGCCCGGCTAATTTTTTGTATCTTTAGTAGAGACTGGGTTTCACCATGTTGGCCAGGCTGGCCTTGAACTCTGACCTCGTGATCTGCCCACGTTGGCCTCCTAAAGTGCGTGAGCCACCACGCCTGGCCTTAAAGTTCTTTCTATACATTTTTTCTTTTATTTTTTGGGTCAGAGTTTCATTGTATCACTCAGGCTGGAGTGCAGTGGCACAATCACGGCTCACTGCAGTCTTGACCTCCTGGGCTCAAGTGATCCTCCTGCCTCAGCCTCCCAGGTAGCTGGGACCATGGGTGTGTACTGTATGCCTGACTAATTATTTTTTCTTTTTCTTTTTTTTTTTTTTTTGAGACAGAGTCTCGCTCTGTCACCCAGGCTGGAGTGCAGTGGTCCGATCTCGGCTCACTGCAAGCTCCGCCTCCTGGGTTCACGCCATTCTCCTGCCTCAGTCTCCCGAGTAGCTGGGACTACAGGTGCCCACCACCACGCCCGGCTACTTTTTCGTATTTTTAATAGAGACAGAGTTTCACCGTGTTAGCCAGGATGGTCTCGATCTCGTGACCTCACGATCCGCCCGCCTCGGCCTCCAAAAGTGCTGGGATTACAGGTGTGAGCCACCGCACCTGGCCGCCTAACTAATTATTATTATTATTTTAATTTTCTTGTAGAGATAGTTCTGGCTTCATTGCCCATTCTGGTCCTGAATACCTGGCCTTAGGAGATCCTCCTATCTTGACTTCCCAAAATGCTGGGATTACAGGTGTGAGCCACTGTGGCCAGCCTATAAGTTTTGTTTTAAAGTTAGATTGAATGACAATTCCCTAGAAAATTTTATTTTCTAAACCTAACTGGATAAAGAATATATTGATAAAAACTGGGAAATTGATCAATTTGTCATACTGAATTATTTTTTGAATTTGCCCTCTTCCCAAATACCTTGAAATGATGGAAACAAAATTAAAACTTTACTAATAAAGTATTAAATGGGTGAAGATTTTATATATATAAAATTATATCTGTTATATTTTTATGTATGCAATTATATAGTTTTCATCTTATATTTAAATTCTATTTTTTTAAAACCACCCAATTAGGTAATAATAGAACTCCGGTCTTAAAGTAAGAGTGTATGTACACACATGCACATGTGTATATGTGTATATAAAATTTTTGTCATGGGAGTTTTATATATAATTAAGATAGAAATTATATATTATTGCACACATTTTTACACATATGTAATATTCTCTACCATATGTATGTAAAATACACCCATATGAATTATGTATAACATAAATATTTGTGTTATCCTGAAACATAAACGTAGATAATCATGTTTTAGAATGGGAATACTCAGGAGTATAGGGGTACCTGTTCTCCCATTAGTCAGTCTGTGAATTCAATATTTATGTTTTCTCATCCAGAATTTCTCTGGGACCTGACAAGCTGACTCTCATGCTTGTGTGTAAGAGGAAATGTTCTAGAATAGCTGGGAAGGTGGTGAAAGTAGCAGCAACAACGAAGCACAGTGAGGTGAAACTTGCCCTGCTGGATATGAAACCTCGTAATACTAGAGTAATTTGAAAAGTGTGGCATTGGCACAGGAAAAGACAGACAAATCAAATTAGTCTAGAATTGTGGACAAGTAGGAATAGAGTTTATAATGAGGATGGCTTTCTTTTTCTTTCTTTCTTTTTTTTTTTTTTTTGAGATGAAGTCTCACTCTGTTTCCCCAGCTGGTGTGCAATGGTGTGATCTCGGCTCACTGCAACTGCCACCTCCCAGGCTCAAGCAATTCTCCTGCCTCAGCCTCCCAAGTAGCTGGGATTACTGGCGCATGTCACCATGCCCGGTTAATTTTTGTATTTTTAGTAGAAAAGAAGTTTCACCATGTTGGCCAGGCTGGCCTCGAACTCCCGACCTCAAGTGATCTTCCCGCCTCAGCATCCCAGAGTGCTGGGATTACAGGAGGAGCCACCGCTCCTGGCCTTTTTTTTCTTTATTTGCTATTTCAGTTCCATAGAAGCAAGCAAAGAGTAACATAACAAATATCCATCTACCTACCATCTGTGATTACAAAACTTAGTATTTTATCATCCTTGCTTCACAATTATTTAATAAAGACAATACTTCCTCTGCACAAATGCTTACCTTAAAACTACTCTTGAATTCTTTTCACAATTGACTTATCAACTCCCAAATTTAAAACCATGTATTTTTGTCTTTATATGCCTTAGACATTTATAGAAAGGTATTTACTGAGCAGTTACTATGTGCCAGATATTATGCTGTTTTTATATACTGTTTTTACTTTATATAGCTAATTATATTATTTGTCACATACTAACCTATTTTAAATATAAAAAGAAATGATGCATTAATGTTTTCAAACCTTGGTAACTTTTATTAAGTAAATACCTGAGAGGAAGCTTTTCCTGGTAATTGTGGTTTTATTTATGTATCTATAGTTATAATTTATTAGAAGTACACTTGGTGTTTTAGTTCTTATTAATTCTATTTTTTTCCCATCCTGTTTAGATGGTTTCCTAGAAACATGATTGTTTATTGGCGTTGATCTCGCAGTCTGGTGAGAACTTCTTTACTGATAATGTCAAGTTCAGTTTATCCTCCCAACCAAGGAGCATTCAGCACAGAACAAAGTCGTTCTCCTCCTCACTCTGTAAAGTATACGTTTCCCAGCACCCACCACCAGCAGGTAAGGAACAAATGCTATGCAAATTGCACGTTTTTTTGTTTTTCTTTACTTTTCCTATTTAATACACATGTTGGTAGAAACCACCAAATTTGCCTTTTTTTTTAAGTGGCAAGAGCTATTTACAAAGACAAGGAACCAAAGGTTGGGAATTAATTATTTCTGTCTTCTTACTGTGGCTTTATGCCGATTTCAGGAGTTGAACTTGTCTTTGTTTTGATGACAGGAGTTGATGATAAATAGAAAACTTATCAATTCTCTAGAATTTCTAGGGTAAGACCTATATTTATACTCCCAAGTTGTGGTTGAGTTTTAAGCTGGCTAGATAACTTGGCATGTCTTGAGTGATGGCCAGGATAAAGACCTCTGTCTTCTTGAGAGATTGATGGTAGGAAGATTTGCATAGTAGGTAGGAAGGAAGGAAGGGATGGTAGATAGGAAGGAAGACTTTATTATAGGAAGAGTTTGTAAGAGATTGATTTACCTTGTGAAAAATAAAGTATGAGGTGAAATAATCATCTCAGAGTAGACCAAAGATATGGATGTAAGAGGTTTAAAGAAAAATAGGAAAGGATGGGATAAAACGGTCATCTCAGAGACTAAGAAAGCAGATTTGTCATCAAAATGTACTACGGGGTCCTACTGAGGACTCCTTTGAAGTGTAGTCATGATTACAGAGTTAGAATGGACATTCCTACGATGTTCCTGTGTAGGGAGGCATTTAGTCTTTTACCATTACGTGTAACGTTAGTTGCACATTTTTGTTGATGCCTTTTTTGGTTGAAGAGGTTGCTTTCTGTTCCTAGTTTGAGAATTTCTGTCATGATTGGTGTTGAATTTTGCTTGTGTTGTCCCCCTACCCCAGTGTTATTCATCTGATTACCAATTTTCCGGATTATTGTTGCTGCTGGTTTTTTCATAAAATCAGGCCGGGCGCAGTGGTTCACGCCTGTAATCCCAGCACTTTGGGAGGCTGAGGCGGGTGGATCACTTGAGGTCAGGAGTTTGAGACCAGCCTGGCCAACATTGTGAAACCCCGTCTCTACTAAAAATACGAAAAAATTAGCCGGGCATCGTGGCAGGCACCTGTAATCCCAGCTACTTGGGATGCTGAGGCTGGAGAATCGCTTGAACCCGGGAGGCAGAGGTTGCAGTGAGCCAAAATCGTGCCGGTGCACTCCAGCCTGGGCAACAAGAGTGAAACCCCATCTTAAAAGAAACAAAATTAACTTTGCAGTTTAGTTTATATATATATACACATATATCTATATTAGAATGCACTCATTATATGTGTACATTGTAACAAATTTTGACAAATTCATAAACTCATAGAACCATCACCAAAATGAAGATGAACAACATTTCTAACACTCCAGCACGTTCCTTGGCACCCCATCCTCCTTGGCACCCACCCGTGTCAGTCCTCCTCCCCCAATTCCTACTAACCTCAGCTCCTAGGAAACCACTGATCTGCTTTCTGTCATAAAACATTGTATACATTCTGAGCTTCATGGGAACTCTTTTGTCTATGACCTCTTTTGCTTCCCATAATACTTCTGTGATCTATCCATGTCTGGCATGTCTCAGTTCATTCCTTTTTATTGTTGAGTATGGGTATACCACAATTTGTTTATCCAGTCACCTATTCCAGTTTTTGATTATTATAGATAAAATTACTTAGAAAACATATATCTATATATTGTATCTAGATTATTAAAAGAAGTTTTGCCTCATTTTCTTAACAGTATCCTTTGGAGAGCATACATTTTTTATTTTTATCAAGTCCGATGTAGTTTATTTTTTGAGACAGAGTCTTGCTCTGTCGCCTAGTCTGGAGTGCTATGGTGCCATCTCAGCTCACTGCAACCTCTGCATCCCAGGTTCAAGCAATTCTCCTACCTCAGCCTCCTGAGTAGCTGGAATTACAGGCATGTGCCACCACACCCAGGTAATTTTTGTATTTTTAGTAGAGATGGAGTTTCACCATGTTGGCCAGGCTGGTCTCGAACTCCTGACCTCAGGTGATCCACTCTCCTCAGCCTTCCAAAGTGCTGGGATTACAGGTGTGAGCCACTACACCCAGCCCCGATGTACTATTTTTATTGTTCATTTTTTGTGCTTTTTGTGTCAAACCTAAGACGTTTTTGCCAAATTCAAGGTCACTAGGATTTTCACTTACGTTTTCTTTTTTTCTATTTTTGTTTTGTTTTGTTTTTGTTTTTGTTTTTGTTTTTTTGAGACAAAATCTTACTCTGTTGCCCAGGCTGGAGTGTAGTGGGGCAATCTCGGCTCACTGCAAGCTCTGCCTCCTGGGTTCACACCATTCTCCTGCCTCAGCCTCCCGAGTAGCTGGGACTACAGGCGCCCACCACCACGCCCAACTAATTTTTTTTGTATCTTTAGTAGAGATGAGCTTTCACTCTGTTAGCCAGGATGGTCTCAATCTCCTGACCTTGTGATCCACCTGCCTCGGCCTCCCAAAGTGCTGGGATTACAGGTGTGAGCCATCGCGCCCGACCAATTTTCACTTATGTTTTCTTCTCTAAGTTTTATAATTATAGGTGTTTCATTTAGGTAAATTACCTATTTTGAATTAAAATTTTATATGTGGTGTGGTAAGCGTTGAGTTTCAGTCTTTCTGCATTAAGAATGATGTTAGCTTGGAGAGTGCTCTTTACTCCTGTGTTTTCTTTTCTTAAGGGGTTTGTGTAGGATTGGTACTTTTCTTTGAAATGGAGTCTTGCTCTGTCATCCAGGCTGGAGTGCAGTGGTACAATCTCAGCTCACTGCAACCTCCATCTCCCGGGTTCAAGTGATTCTACTGCCTCAGCCTCCTGAGTAGTTGGGATTACAGGTGCGTGCCACCACACCTGGCTAATTTTTGTATTTTCAGTAGAGATGGGGTTTCACCGTGTTGGCTAGGCTGGTCTCGAACTTCTGAACTCAAGAGATCCGCCCGACTCAGCCTCCCAAAATATTGGGATTATAAGCATGAGCCACTGCGCCTGGCCTTTTCTCTTTCTTTCTTTCTTTCTTTCTTTCTTTCATTTCTTTCTTTCATTTCTTTCTCTTTCTTTCTTGGCTTTCTTTCTTTTTTTTCTTTTTCTTTCTTCCTTTCTTTCTCTCTCTCTCCTCTTTCTCCTCTTTCTTTCTTTGAGTCTCACTCTGTCACCCAGGTTAGAGTGGGCAATTGCGTGATCTCGGCTCACTGCAACCTCTTCTTCGTGGTTCAAGCAATTCTCCTGCTTCAACCTCCCAAGTAGCTGAGATTACAAGCGCCCACCACCATGCTTGACAAATTTTTTGTACTTTTAGTACGGTTTTGCCATGTTGGCCAGGCTGGTCTCGAACTCCTGACCTTAGGTGATCTACCCGCCTCAGCCTCCCCAAGTGCTGGGATTTCAGGTGTCAGCCCACCACGTGGTGGCTGGGATTGATACTTTTTCAACCTTAGATATTTGATAGAATTTATCAATGAAACTTGGTCCCAGATTTTTTTTTCTGGGAAGAATTTAAATATGAATTAAATTTCTTTAATAGTTATAATTCAGATAATTTTTTCTTGAGTCAGTTTGGGTATATTTTGTTGTTTAAGGTATCAGATTTATTGACATAATTTGTCTCAATATTTCCTCATCATTTCAGTGCCTTTGAGATATGTTGCTATGTTGTTAATCATGTTGATAATGTTTGTTTTTATTATTTTTTAATCAGTCTGCCTAGAGGTTTATCAGTTTAATAGATTTTTGAAGAACTAGCTTTGGTTTCAATCATTTTCACTATTTTTCTATTTCACTGATTTCTACTCTTTATTTTTTTTTCCTTCTCTAATTGCCTGTGTATATATCATCACTTCATTCTTTTTGTGTATTCAAGTTTTCTTCTGATATTATTGTGTTTTTGCCTGAAGCACTTCATTTCTCTCAGTTTAGCTAAGTCTTTTGGCAATTAATTCTCTCAGCTTTTATTTGCCTGAAAATGTTTTTATTTCTGAAGACTATTTTCACTAGATATAGAATTCTAAGTTGACAGTTTCAGTATTTTAAGAGATGTCATATCATTGTATTCTGGTTTGTATGGTTTCTGACTAGAAGCCTGAGGTCATTCTTAATTTTTGCTCATTAATATATAAAACACATTTTCCCCCCTGTGGCTACTTGTTTTTTTTTTTTTTTTTTTTTGAGGCATTCTTGCTCTGTCATTCAGGCTGGAGAGCAGTGGTACGATCTCAGCCCACAGCAACCTCCACCTCCCAGGTTCAAGCAATTCTCATGCCTCAGCCCCCTGAGTAGCTGGGGCTGCAGGCATGCACTACCATGCCCAGCTACTTTTTTTGTTTTTTTGTTTTGAGACAGAGTTTCACTCTTGTTGCCCAGGCTGGAGTGCAATGATGCGATCTTGGCTCACCACAACCTCCGCCTCCTGGGTTCAAGTGATTCTCCTGCCTCAGCCTCCCAAGTAGCTGGGATTACAGGCATGCACCACTATGCCCGGCTAATTTTGTATTTTTAGTAGAGATGGGATTTCACCATGTTGGTCAGGCTGGTCTCGAACTCCTGACCTCAGGTGATCCATCCACCTCAGCTTCCCAAAGTGCTGAGATTACAGGCATGAGCCACTGTGCCCGGCCCCAGCTAATTTTTTGTATTTTTAGTAGGGACAAGTTTCCACTATGTTGGCCAGGCTGGTCTCGAACTCCTGGCCTCAAGTGATCTGCCTGCCTAACATATTCTAATACTTTTCCCAGAGTCTTTTTGTTTCAATTTTTCTTTTTTTTAAGCATACTGAAATTTAAAATGTTTTTACTGCCATCAAATATTTTTTCTATGTTTGTTAACCTTTATGCCTGATTGCCCTTTCTTCCCTGATATCAGATAAATAAGTACCCACACATTTTCTTTGAGTTTTCATGCAATGAAGAGTAATTTAAAAGATAATAAATGTATCTACAATTTATTTTCAAATAGTTCAGCCAAAATGAAGTTTTATAAACATACACAGACACACACAGAAAGTAAATATGTTAAAATGTTAACTACTGGTGAATCTAGATGAAGGATAAATGAGTGTCCATTATACTGTTCCTTCAACTTTTAAGTGAATTTGAAATTTTTCAAAATAGTAAGTTGGATGGGGAAATATTCTTTGCCATAAGCTAGAAATTAGCTAAGCTTCTAGGTGTTTTGTGACCCACCTTATCATTTGAAATATCCTTATCCTACAGTAGTCTGTGGGGTTTATAAGAAGTGTTCTGCTGCATTAAAAAAAAGAAATTTAAAAATATAGTGAATAAAGGTCATCTTCCATGGCTGAATACATTACCAAAAATGTAATTTATAGAATTTCGTTTTTTAGCAGACAAGTGTCTTAAAAACTCATTCATTAAAATGAGATGTGTTGTGTGGTAATGTGACCCATTTCCATGTTATAGTTGAGAAACTGGGTGTTCAGAAAAATTAAGTGACCTAGGTAGTACCTCCTGAGCTGGAATTAACCCAGGACCCCTGACTCTAGTCCTGCTTTTTTTCCTCTAAAGTGTAAACCATGACTACTACTACTAACTAATACTTCTCTTTCCATCTCCCTCTCCCCATTCTCTCCCAACTGCCCACCTCCAGAAGTAAGTATTTAAAAAGAACTAACATTTGTTAGATTTTTTTTAAATGTTAAGCCTAGGTATATCATTTATAGAAGAATTAAATAAGCTTGAAAGAAAAAATTACCTGCAGTTTTACCAGTTAAAAGTTATTAACATTTTCATGTTGATTCTTCCCTATTTGTGTGTGTATTATTTTAATTTTAGTTTAATTTAATTTTATGGGTTTTTTTTTTTGTTTTTTGTTTTTTTTTGCTGCTGCTCCTTGTGTAACAGGGCTAACCCATAGGCAGTGTGTCCAGAGTCGGCCCGTATGAATGTTTTAATGTGCTCACTTTGTACATTCTGTTTAACTTTACTTTTGCTTAAATACGTGCTTAACTTCTTTTTGTGTCAATAAGTTTACAACTGTATTGTTAGTGGCTACTTAGTATTCCACATATGAATAAATAAAGTTATTTATTTAATCAATTTTCATACATTTAGGTTACCTGTTTGTTCAGAAGTACGGTGTTGTGACATGCATTTTTTTTTTTTTTTTGAGATGGAGTCTCACTTTGTTGCCCAGGCTGGAGTGCAGTGGCATGATCTTGGCTCACTGCAACCTATACCTCCCAGCGATTCTCCTGCCTCAGGCTCCCAAATAGCTGGGACTACAGGTGCATGCCACCAAGTTCAGCTAATTTTTGTATTTTTAGTGGAGACGAGGTTTCACCATGTTAGCCAGGCTGGTCTCGAACTCCTGACCTCAGGTGATCTGCACACCTTGGCCTCCCAAAGTGCTGGGATTACAGGCATGAGCCACTGCAGCTGGCCCGTACATTATTTAGCTTGTTTTTTCTGTATGCATTCTTACTTGTTTCCTTAAGGTAGATTTCTTTTAGTATAATTAATTACAGACCAGGTTGATTTTTAAGGTTCAGTGGGTATTTCCAGATTGTCTTGCAAAAGAGTAGGGCCAGTTCTTAACTCCTGACAACAGTGTATAAAGGTACCCACTTCTTGGCCGGGCATGGTGGCTCACGCCTGTAATCCCAGCACTTTGGGAGGTCGAGGCAGGCAGATCACCAGAGGTCAGGAGTTCGAGACCGGCCTGGCCAACATAGTGAAACCCCGTCTCTACTAAAAATACAAAAATTAGCCAGGTGTGGTGGCCGGTGCCTGTAATCCCAGCTACTCAGGAGGCTGAGGCAAGAGAATCGCTTGAACCTGGGAGGCAGAGGTTGCAGTGAGCTGAGATTGTGCCACTGCACTCCAGCCTGGGGGACAAGAGTGAGATGTCGTCTCAAAAAAATAAAAATAAAAAAAAATAAAGGTACCCACTTCTTCTGTATCCTTGCTGACACCACATGTTTATCGTTTAACAAAAAGATTGTTAATTTGATGAATGATTGTTTTTAAATTAAACGTATTATTTGTTAGTAAAATTTAACATTTTTTTATTTGTTTATTGGTTATTTTTCCTGTTTTGTAAATTGATTTTTCATATATGTTGCCCATTTTGCTGTTGGTTTATTTTATATTGAGTTGTTAGAGTGCATGTTTTGCAAATGGTTTTCCTATTTAATCATTTGCCTTTTTAATTTGTTGTTACTGTTTTGATAAGCAGAAGATGGTGTTTTTGCATGTGTGGTGGTGGTTGTTGTTGTTGTTGTTGTTGTTGTTGTTTTTGAGATGGAGTCTTCCTCTGTCACCCAGGTTGGAGTGCAGTGGTGCCATCTCTGCTCACCACAACCTCCGCTTCCCGGGTTCAAGCCATTCTCCTGCCTCAGCCTCCCAAGTAGCTGGGATTACAGGCTTGCACCAGCACACCTGGCTGATTTTTGTACTTTTAGTAGAGATGGGGTTTTACCATATTGCCCAGGCTGGTCTCAAACTCCTCACCTCAAGTGATCTGCCTGCCTCGGCCTCCCAAACTGCTGGGATTACAGGTGTGAGCCATCATGCCCAGCAGAAGACTGTTTTTTATTTTATCCATCAATTTTTCTTTTTTAAAAACTAATGTATTTTTTATCTTTTGCTTTTGGCTTTCCTGAACCCACGATAATGTGAATCTTTTTTTTTTTTTTAATTTGAGGCTTTTTGTGATTTGCTAATAAGCCTCTTATAAATGTTTGCTATTACTTGGCTTTTTTTATGTAAGATATGAGGTAAGAATCTAACTCTTTTTTCTTCAGGATTGGTATCTTGCTGTTTCAACCCAAGATTGTAAACTTCATGAAGGGAGATATCTTGTCTGTTTTGATCCACCACCCTATTCCTGTTATATAAGTAGGCACTTGAGGATTTGGTTTCTTATTAAATATTTAATATTTAGAAAGGAAGTCAGTGGAAAATATTCATTTGTAATATTAATTCTTTGCATCAGAATATTAATCTTTGCATCTGATGCATCAGATGCATCAGAATCACCTGAGGAGCACTTTTGAAGTCTGCTGATTCAAAATGTAATCTCTTTTTCTGTTATATATGTTTCTGTAACACAAATTTGCTCATATGCATATAGTGGGAGAATGACATTAATGTATCATGAAAGTCCTGGTAGTTCACCAAAGATCTTTCTTTATGCATTAACATTTCTAAGTTCTCAGGAGTATGCTGTCTCATAATGAAAGAAAAAGGCTTCACAACACATGAAGACTTAAGAATATTTGAACATTCTGCATTTAGTTTTCATTTAGTGCAAATAGTAGCTGGTTTAGTGAATTTAAGAACTGTCGTGCTTTTCACAGTGTTAGTGAAGATTCAAGCATTGAAAAGACAATGTGAAGACAAATTTTCTTGTATTTTTTTTTAGCGTTGATAAAGGAGGGAGGGGGAGAAAAAGAGGTTGATAAACATGGTTATATGCCAAATCTGATTTTTTTTCTTTTTTTTTAGATGGAGTCTCCCTCTGTCACCCATGCTGGAGTGCAGTAGTGCAATCTCAGCTCACTGCAACCTTTCCCTCCTGGGTTCAAGCCATTCTCCTGCCTCAGCCTCCCGAGTAGCTGGGACTACAAGTGCCCGCTACCACACCCAGCTAATTTTTGTATTTTTTAGTAGAGACGGGGTTTAACCATGTTGGTGAGGCTGGTCTCGAACTCCTGACCTTGTGATCTACCTGCCTTGGCATCCCAAAGTGCTGGGATTACAAGCATGAGCCACCATGCCCGGCCACTGATATTTTATTTAGATGAAACATACTGGTTTATTTTGGAAGCCAATGACCTCACGGATTTACATCTTAAGAGAGGAATCATAAACTCTAGGGCTTAAAGCTGCCAAAGATTGATTGTATGCCAGATGCAAAGGATACTGGAGCTTTAACTCTATTAAGTCTATTAGAATTGTTATTGCTTTTATTGGTGCTTTCCTTACAGAACTGTACAGGTTTTAGGGTATAGCCATAATCTTATTTTCCCAGAAGGCCTCTCAGATTCAGTGCATACTATTACAGAATATGAGGCTTTTCATCAGTGTATATTAGCTGAAATATCTGTACTACGGTGTTTTGAAGCAACTGTCCAGTTATCTCCTGTAGGCATTCTTGGCTCAGAACTATTGACTTTTCACAGTTCCTTAATCATTATTTAATACATTTTAGGGTTCTGTAATCCTGTGAACTACCCTCATTGTAGGTTTCTGATAGTCTAAGTAAAATTAGTGCTCTAAACTTTATGTTTTATAATATTGCTTATATCTTTACAGCAGACTGGAAATTAATAGGGTGTGTGTGGATGTGTGTTGGAGTGGATTTTGGGTGAAGGGGCTTTCATTCTGCTACAGCTCTGCTGATTTGGAGGTGCAGTGGGATGTTTTTGGCTAAGGAAATGTTACGTATGCTGTAGTGTGGGCTTTATGGAAGTAGGCCCAGAGATAGTAGCAGCTGAAGTTCCTAGGTCACTTCTCTGACTCGTGTACCTCAGTTTTGGTTTGGAAAGCCTGAAAACTTCTGATAGGAACACTTGGCCATGTTATAGTTGTTAAGTTGGGTGGACACACAGGTTTTACCTGGAATAATACTATTTCCCAGCCAGTGGTTCAGACCATTTGAAGAGCCATTGCAAGGAAATGGCTGAGAAGTTGGTATCTTCGTCATGATTGCATTATTTACCTATAAATTCTCTATAATTTCAGTATTGTTACACTAGAGGCTGATCAGCACTAACTCACCTGACTTTGTATAGCTTTTAGGCTCTTCAGAATAGTACATGGTATATCTAAACTATAAAAGTGAGGTGAGAATTTGCATATATGTAAATATGAAAGTTACTGCTAAAGGTTTCATTAGACACATATTACACATGGCTCTGCTGTGGTTTAAAACTGACTGTTTCATTTAAGGCAATCTGGACTCTATTAGTGAGAAATGAATTGTTTTTCTTGGTTTTATTCTCTAAAGGATCCAGCATTTGGAGGCAAACATGAAGCTCCATCCTCTCCAATTTCGGGGCAACCATGTGGAGATGATCAAAATGCTTTACCTTCAAAACTTTCAAACGAAGAGTTAATACAAAGTATGGATCGTGTAGATTGAAAAATTGCAAAAGTAGAACAGCAGATCCTTAAACTGAAAAAGAAACAAGTAAAAGTCTTTGCCTAATATATTCTAAGAATGTATGTTTTTCTCCCTACAGAAGATAATTTTGAGTTTTCCATATTTTGAAACTTTACATAAAAGGAATCATGCCTTACGTATTCTGACTTGCTGTTTTTTGCTACTATTGTGGTTTTCTTACATTCATTCATTTTCCTTGCTGCACTGTCTGATTATATGATTGCAGAGAGTGAAATTTGTTTTTCCATTCTATTTTTGATTTTTTTTTGATAATCCATACAATGGTGCTGGTTTTTGGTTCACATGTAGAGATTTTCCAGGGCATGTGCCCAGGATTGGCAGTGCTTGGCCCAAGATTATGCACAGTGAACTATTTAATAGATGATACCAAATTTGCTAAGAAGTAACACCATTTTATATTCCCACTGGCAGCTTATGTGGGTACTTATTTGTGCACATTCTTGCCTTTACTTGATATCATTTTTTCAGTTGGATATGAAATAGTCTTGTGTGGTTTGGAAGGAGGCTGAGCTTATTTTCATTTGTTTATGAGTTATTTGGGTTCCTTATGTGCATTGTTCAAGTCTTTTGTCTATAGTCTCCTATTTCATCATTGAAACTTTTAGGATTTCCTGAAGTCCCTTGTCAGATATGTGTATAGAAGATTTGCCTAGTTTGAGGCCTGTCACTTCACTTTTAGCCCAGTATCCATTCTAAGTGTACACTAAGTGCCTTTTTTTTTCCAGATTTGGAGTCTCACTCTGTCACCCAGGCTGGAGTGCAGTGGTGTGATGTTGGCTCACTGCAACCTCTGCCTCCCAGGTTCAAGCGATTCTCCTGCAACAGCTTCCCGAGCAGCTGGGACTGTAGGCGCTTTAAGTGCTTTTAATGTATTCATAAAGTTGTACAGCTATCACAACTCTCTAATTCTAGAACATGTTTATCATTTCAAAAAGAAACTCCATACTTACTAGCAGTTACTCCCCATTTCCCCCTTTTCCCAGCCCCTGGCAACCACTAGTCTATTCTCTGTCTCTATGGACTAGCATATGCCAAATACCAGAAAAAACAGAATCATATGTGACCTTTTGTGTTTGGCTTCATTTATTTACCATGTTGTCCTGATTCATCCATGTTGTATCTTGTCTCAGCACTTCATTGCTTTATATGCCTGAATCCCATTGCATGAGTATACTGTTTTGTTTATCCATTTATTAGTTGATGGATATTTGAGTTGTGTTCATTTTTTGACTATCATTAATAATGTACTGTGATGAGATTCATGTACTCGTTTTTGTGTGGACGTATTTTTACAATTTTCTTTATGTATCTAGGAGTGGGCGTATGGTAAATCTATGTTTAAATTTTTGAAAAACTTCAAAACTGTGTTCCAAAGTCTCTGTACCATTTTATATTATTACCAGCAGCGTACGGAGGTTCCATTTTTTCCTACCTCCTTGCCAACATCTGTTATTTTCCTTTTTTAAAAAAATATAGCCATACTTGTAGATGTGAAGTGGTATCTAGTTGTAGTTTTCATTTGCATATCCTTAATGACTAATGATGTTGAGCATCTTTTCATGTGCTGATTGGTGATTTGTATATCTTTTTAGAGAAATGTTCATTTAGATTGTTTGCTCATTTAATTGTGTTGTCTTTTTGTTATTCTAAGAATTCTTTATATATTCTGGACATTAGTTCCTCATCAGATGTATGACTTAATAGATATTTTCTCTCATTCTGTGAGTTCTTTTCACTTTCCTGATGGTATCCTTTGATGTACAAAAGTTTTGAATTTTGTTAAAGTCCAGTTTGTTTTTCCTTTTGTCACTCTTGCATTTGGTGTTGTATCTAAGACCCATTGCCTAATTCACGGTCACAGATTTATACCTATGTTTTCTTCTACAAATTTTATAGTTTTACCCCTTATAGTTGGGTCTTTGATCCTGATAGTGTTTTTTTGGTGAACAGAATTTGTTTAGGTTTTACATGAAAACCCACTGGGGCTATTAAGGTAGTTTTACTATATTATCTTTAGAAGTTTTATGATTTTCCTTTTCATCTTATTGCTAATCCACTGGAAACTACATGTTGTATAGTCAGTGTTCATTTATATTTACTCACATATTTGTCTTCTTACGTACTCACTATCTATTCTCGCAACTCAAGTCTTCCATCTAGGGGAACACCCTTCTACTGAAGAACGTCTCTTAGAATTTCCTTTAGTGAAGGTCTCTTAGTTAGCAAATTCAGTATTTGTTTGGTTTTTATGACTTAAATATTGTCTTATATTTGGCCTGTTTATTAAAAGATATACTAATTTCGTATGTGATTATTTTTTCTTAGTACATTGTCTTCCTGCTTCCATTTTTAAGACATTAGCTCTTGGTCTAAATCCATATTCTTTCATGGATAATGTGAATTTTCTCTCGGTTGTTTTCAATATATTCTTTTCTTCAGGGTTCTGTTATTTTTATGATGATATATTTAGGTGTTTTATTTTCCTTTTAAATCTGTCCAACTTGAGCTTCATGAATATGAAGGGTGGAGTTTTTCATCATTTTGAGAAAATTCCAAGCCATTATCTTTTTTACAAAACCTTTCTAACAGTTTATTATTTTACTTATGAAATCCTGTTAGTTGTAATATCTTGTCACTCTTGTCTTCCACGTCTCTTGTTTTTTTCTTATTTTTTTACTTCTTTGGGCTTCATTCTGAGCAATTTCTTCAGCCTGTCTTCCAGTTTACATTT
Organism: Homo sapiens; assembly: GCF_000001405.40. NCBI lineage: Eukaryota > Metazoa > Chordata > Mammalia > Primates > Hominidae > Homo > Homo sapiens. The sequence goes on from NC_000021.9 coordinate 9,561,881, forward strand.
TCCTTTTCAATTATATGTAATCTGCTGTCGAATCTGTCTTCAATTTCAACAATTATGTTTTTATTTCTGGAATTTCTATTTGGCTCCTTCTCAAATCTGCCTGGTCATTTTTTAAAATGTTTTTTGCTTTCATTGAGTTGTATTAAATTTTTGTTATATGCCCAACAATTCTAATTAAGTCTTTATTGGTTTGGATTTGCTGAGTCTCTTTTCTTTTTTCTTTTGTCTTTATTTTCTTTACTTGTACAATGGTAATCTAGTAATAACACCAACTAAATCACATGATTGTTTTATGAATTGAGATAATGAATATATTGCATAATATGTGGTACATAGTAAATGTATATGCAATCCATTATAATAATTAGAAATAATGAAATATAATGTATGATTATTATGAAATATACCAGAGCCACAAATTTTATTGAGCGATACAAAGGACAACTAGAGAAAACAAAGAAATATGCCATAGCTGGATGGAAAGAGTAATAATAATGTTGTGTGTTCATCTTGGACTAAATCATGTCTCATATAATTTCAATAAAATTCCAATTAAATTCATTTTTAGAACATGGCAAATATATTGTAAAGTTAATGTAAAAGAACAAACAGGGCCAGGCTCAGTGGCTCAACCTGTAATCCCAGCACTTTAGGAGGCTGAGGCGGGCATATCACGAGGTCAGGAGATCGAGACCATCCTGGCTAACACGGTGAAACCCCATCTCTACTATAATACAAAAAATTAGCCAGGCATTGTTGCAGGCGCCTGTAGTCCCCGCTACTCAGGAGTCTGAGGCAGGAGAATGGCGTGAACCCAGGAGGAGGAGCTTGTGGTGAGTGGAGATCACGCCACTGCACTCAAGCTTGGGCGACAGGGCGAGATTCCATCTCAAAAATAAAATAAAATAAAATAAAAAAAGAAAAAGAATTTGTGTCTTGTTTCCTCATTAATGTTGGTTGAAAGCATGTTGACACTTGTCTTTGACTTGTGTTTTATTAACATCGATTGGTATATTAAAAGTTCCTCTGAGCTTACCTTCTCTAAAAAAATATAAGAAAAAGGGCCTGTGGGAAGGACTATGAGGCAGAGGGGCTGGTGTGAGCACATGCTGGGCAGGAGGAAAGAGGTAATGACCAGGACCAGGGAAATCCCCAAACCCAGCAAGTCAGGGAGCCAAATGAAAGCCTTTCATCCTGTATCGGCCACCTAACCCCATCGACACTCCAAGTGAACATTCTCTTTTAGAGATACTCATTGTCCTGTTTCTTCTGTAATCTTGTAAAGGAATCTGATTTCTCCCATTAGCCTTTCACAGGACTAAAATTTCACATTAGAATGCTATTGTTTAGAAGGCATCTTCTTAGATTAGGCTGCAAGGAGATTGAGGAAGTTACTGTCAGTCACTTATACCCCACAGGGACATTAATTCACCAGAGCTTTGGTGGGGGAGTAGAGGAGCTCATTACAAGCAGGTCTGGATGCTGCACAGAGTGTAAAGGGGGCAGAAGGATCCAGGACACCTAGGCCTGGAGATATCGCCAATGCTGGGAGGTACTGTTATTATCCCCATTTTACAGAGGAAGAAACAGACACAGGCAGGTAATGTTATCAAGACCACGCTGCCCCACAGTACAGGAGCCAGGATCTAAGCACAGGCAGCCTGCCTTGCCATCAGAGCTCTCACCCATAACCCTGTGCTGCAGTTAAGCAGCATTGCCCTGTGGCCAGGGGGCACAGCTTCTGGGTTCACGTTCCAGCTTCTCTACCATTTCCAGCTGTGTGATCTTGGGCAAGTTACTTGTCTGTGCTCAGTGTCCTCTGCATAGTGGGTGTAGCAATACGTGCCTCATGGAGTCCCTTAAGTGAGTTAATAGCTGTAACATGCTTAGAATGGTGCCATGCACATCATCACCATCCACTGTATATGGGCCATCATGCCTGAATTCCAGATGGACACATATCCTTGAAGGGTCTAAAATCTAGGATCCTGAAATGCCTGGCAGTGGGATCCTGAAATCCTCTGGCAGCATTTTAACATATTTTGGCTGCAGAATTGTACCCTGCTTCCTGGGGCTAGAAGGTGTGGGATCAGCTGCTTACTCAGTTCAACCCCAAAGTAGGCAAAGAAGGTTTTGTCACAGGCTTCCCTGGGGCCAGCCCCTGTAACCTCCCCTTGTCCCTCCCTTGCATGCTTCCTCACCCATATTCACACATGAACTCCAGGCCTTCTGGGCCCCAAGGGAAGGAGAGAAGGTGGGAAGTGGGTTCACTGGTCCACCGAAGCATGCTGCCTCCAGCCCTGCTGCACTGGTGGGTCCAGGGAATGGGCCTGGAGCTGAAGGGCTCTTGCCCTCCCTTTAACTTTAAACCTTGACTTGCAGTGATCCAAGAGCTTCATCTCTTCCTGTGAGCCTGTCTGGATGTTTATGCTGGATGGCTTGGGCCCCTTCTTTCAGGGGTGCACAGGCAAGGGCCTGACCGGCAGCCATGGCAGATGAGGAGACTTTGGCAGATGAGAAGACCTTCTACTTCAGCTTCAATGTATGGGTCTTCTCCTGGCTCTCAGTACATTCCTCCTGAGTCATGATGGGCTCCAGTTCAGTGAAACTCTGTGGCAGCATCATGGTGTCCAGGGGTTTAATCTGGGGCATGTGCCAGTGCTACCCCAAGGTATGTGGTTGTGGGTGTGAGTGGAGCCAGAAGGGCTGGATCTTGTTCCTCTCTTCCATGTATCAGCCCCATCCTTCAATCATCTTGTTATTTTCATTTTGACTCCCTGTTTTATTCGGTATTCTCTTCTGAGCACCCGTCCATTCATTTATCCATTCATCCATCTATTCATCCATCCATTCATCCCAGCATCAATCTATCAATCCATGCATCCATCCATTTATTTGTCCAACCACCCATCCATCTATCTGTCCATCATTTAGCATAAGGATTGATCAGAAGCCTCCTGGTTCTGGAGCCATAGACTAGACACCATGGGGAGACATGATGAAAAATAACATATGATTTGTGTGCTTGAAACAAAAGCTAATGAGTGCTTACCACCTGCCTGGCAGTCCTGCATTCAGGGTGCAGTTCTCCCCTCATCCTGAGCTTTTTGGTACCTTCTATAGTTTCACTTTGTAGTAGAGAATGCTGAGCCTCATAAAGTGGGGACACACAGCTGCGTAGAGTTTGGATTGGAGCTCAGATGTGTGTGACTTAGGCATCACCCTCTGCCTTGAGTCCTCCACTCCAGGGTCTCAGAGCTGCTGAGCATTCTGGGGTTGGTCAGCTCTAACCTTGGTGGCATGCATTGAGCAACTCTCCATATTTTGGAGTCTTAATGTATTCCTAGCCTTAGTGATAGCAAGGACTCTGCTTTGGGAGACCTGGGTGCTAGTTCCAGCCCTGTCCCAAACTTTCTGTGTGATCTTTGTCTTTCTGAGTCCAGTATTTGCATCTGCATAATAGGACACAAGCACCAATTTTCACAGCCTCCTAGGGGTATTACAGAGTTCAGACAACAGAAGAGATATATGAATATTTGCAGACCGTAGAGTGTTTTATTTAGATGATGTGCTTTCAGGTCCTGACAACCCTCTGGAATGAACATGTCAGAAGTTGTAAACCTTCAATGCCCAGAGAGGTGGAGTGACACTTCCAAGGTCACATAGCTAGTCAGAGACAGACCTAGGGGGAAGAAATGAGACAAACATGGATTCTAACTTGGGCTCTGTCTCTAACTGCCTGGGATACTGCTCAAGCCCCTTCCCTCTCTAGGCCTCAGTTTCCTTGTTTTTACAATATGTGATACAGGATGAGGGGATGGATGGGGAGGATATCGGGGGGCCCTGCTAGAACTCACCTCTAGGGCCCAGGCTTGGGAATCCCCAGAACCCCCATATTGTCCTTTACACCTGGGTGGCTGTGCTCAAGGACTCAGGGAGGGGGAACTCCTGCGGCCCTGGTCTTCCTAGCCCTTCCCCTTCTGTGGGCCCACCCTGGGCTGTCAGTGTGTTAGGTGCTGGAATGGTCTCACCTGGTTTGTAGTCATTTCCAAGGCAGTTTATGGTAACCTCACCTCTGTCCATACCATGTCCTGAGCAGAGGTCCCGGGGAGAAGTCCTGGGGGCCAGAGCCACCCATGTCACCACTAGCCATGGTAGTCCTCTTCTCTGTGAGGAGGCTGCACCCTGGAAGATGGCATCGGGTGGAACGGAGCATCTGTCCTGACCTCCCCGTTAAGCAGAGGTGGCTCTGGGACTGTGGGCAGAGATACTGGAGTGGCAGTGGGAAGCGAAGTGGGGGAGGAAATATTGCTGGGTACTAATGAGTCAGAGTTGATAGACTCATGTCTTCATGTGCTGTGGAGGAGGCAGTCTGGTGGGGTGCAGATGGCATATGTTTTGGTGACCTACAGGCTTACTTTCAAATAGCTGTTACCTCATGTTCCACGTCTGTGACCTTGGCAAGTAGAGCTCCTCAACCCCGAACCTTGCACTGCTGAGTGGGAGAAACCAGAAGGGTCTTGTGTTGTCAGGGACCTGGTATCATGCCTGGCACAGAGCACTTGCGAAATCTTCATTCTCAAGATTGGCATTTGTGGCTCTGGGGGATACACAGGGAGGTCTGTGCATGTATGGGCAGGTACATGTGGATAGGTGCGGGTCTGTTTGTGTGTGTGGGAGTGCATGTTTCAGGGACACAGGCTATCAAAACCAGCACAAGGTGACTCCAATAAGGGAAGGGAGGAAAGCGCATGGTAAACCACGAAGACACTCTAGACATGAGGCTTCCTGCATCCTACATGGCCTCTTGGTGCCTGTGCCATTGTAGCCTTCAGTGCTCACGCTTGTCCTACCCTCAGGGTCCTGCCCTGGATCTCAGTGCCTGGCTTGTGGAAAGCGTCAGTAAATGGGGAAACATAAACATAAGGGAATATAACTAGCTAATTAGGGTAATTCAGTGAGGAGTAGCCATTTCCAACATGAATTAAACTGTCCCTGATTATTAGGGGCTGGAGGTCTAGTGAGAGAGACAATTTGTGGCATGATGGGGAGGAAGTAGGATTCACAGAGAAGGTGAGCTTGGCTTTGTAGGTTAAGTAGAAATTCACCAGGCAGAGAAGATGTGGGAAGACGCTCCAGGCAGAAGAGCAACAGGATCGAAGCCATGTGGTGAAAGGACAAGGCAAGTCTGTCAGCAATGCTACTAGAGGGGGAGGGGAACAAGTCAGGGTGGAAATGGACGGGCCTCAGCTCCTCAGTGCCTGGGATGTTATGCTAAGGAATTTGGATCTTACCCTTTAGTCAAAGGGACAAGGGAGGGACATGACCAGGTTTGCAGTTTGAGAAAATTATCAGGCTGATATCTGGAAAGAGGATGGTCTGGGGCAGCGAGACCAGTGGGAGGCTTCTCTGCTCAGATGAGAGATGGTGGTCATCTGGATTAGGCAGAATTTGAACCCAAGGCTGTAGGAACTGAGAAGACAGTTCCAGTTTACCATATGAGGAATACCTGCTGTGGCTGGCAGGGCACCAGCACTTCTACCCAGATTATCTCACTAAAATTCTAAAGTAGACCTGGTCAGCTCTGGAAGCCACCTGGGCCTCAGGCATGAGAGAGGAGGAGGAATTGGGGCAAACCTAGTGGGTGGGTGCAGTTGGAGATGCTGAGCCTATTAGCAAAGACGGGACAGGAAAGTGGGGAGCAGGGAAAGGAGTGGCAGGGAGAGTGAGGCCTTTCCCTGCCTGGCTTCAGCCTTTACCCATGAGCCTCCCGTTCCTCATTTCTGCTGGACCCAGGACCAGGACCCTGGCTGGTGTTGAAGGTTCTGTCTCCTCTGTGGGCTTCCCTCCCTCTGCTTCTTCCTTCTGAGGATTGCTCAATGTTCTGCCTAAACACAAATCTGACTGCATACTCTCCTGCTGATAAACCTTCAAGGATGCCTCTGATTCTGGGCAAAGCCTGAGCTTCTTAGTTTTATGTTCTGGGGGTCTCCATTGTTTGATATCCCCTCCCCAGCTTCAACTCTGCCTGTTCTTCCTCATCAAAGTACCTGTATTTTAATATGCTACCTCCTTCCTTTTCCTCCAAGATTTTCATAATTGTGGTTGTGATGATGATGATGATGACGGTGATGGTGAAGGTGGTGATAATGATAGTGATAGTTATGTTGAGGATGATGGTGAGGATAGCGATGGTGATAATGTTGGTGATGGTGAGGAAGGCGATGGTGAAGGTGGTGATAATGATAGTGATAGTTATGCTGAGGATGATGATGATGGTGAGAATGGTGAAGGTGAGCATGGTGATGGTGATGGTAAAGATGGTGGTGATGAGGTGATAATGATGGTGATGGTCAGGATGGTGGTGGTGAAAATGGTGGTGGTGATGATGATGGTGATGGTGAGGATGGTGATAGTGAAGGTGGTGATGATACTGATAGTTATGGTGGGGATGCTGCTGCTGATGCTGGTGAGAATGGTGAGGGTGAGACTGATGATGATAATGAGGATAGTGATGGTGAGTATGGGGATGGTGATGGTACACCCCTTGATCTGGCAATTCGACATCTAAGAATTGTTCATTTCTTCTAGGATTTTTTTTTTTTGAGTCAAGACTTCCCTATGTTGCCCAGGCTGGCCACGAACTACTGGCCACGAGTGATCCTCCCACTTTGGCCTCCTGAGTAGCTGTGATTACTGGCATGAACCATGGTGCCTGGCTTTACCCTAGGAATTTATACTGAGGAAATAATCAGACAAGTGTGCCAAGTGATACTTAGAGAAGGATATTTATTGTTGCATTGATGATAGTAGGTAAGATGTGGGAAGAATGTAAATGTCCAGCAATAAGAGATTGGCTAAATAATTGTGCTACAGCTAGGCAAGGGGCTGGCTTATGGCCATTCAGAACACACTCCCTCCTGATTGAGTCAAATCTCCTGTCCCTGCTCTCACACACCACACACCTCCCACCTTTTCAGCACAAATTACAGTCGTAATTTTCCATTTCTTTGTGAACCTCTTTGATGAGTTTCTGTATCCCTCATTAGATGCTAAGCTCCATGGAGGCAAGGAGTATACTATGTTCATTATTGTGTCCTCCATGACAAGTTAAGTTCCTGGAACACAGTACACTCTCAATAATTTGTTGTTAAATGAATGACTGAATCTGTATTTCTCAGTATGGAATCCTGTTTGAAATATGCAATGAAGAGAAAGAGCAGATTATAAAACAGCATGCATACTGTAGTACACACTGCAAATTCCCTCCTTTCTTGATCTTCTTTGGGGGACCACATGTGCACTCTCAGTCAATAAATTATGATTGATCCAAAGTCAATCATGACATTGCTATTCTCTACTGCTAGGGATGGTCATGAGATCAGGTTCTGGCCAATCTAAACACAGATTTCCAGACCTAAAGAGAAATCCTCTGGGGGTCACCTCTGAAGTTCTTGCTTTTCTAATAAGAATACGGAAGTGACTGCTTTTGCTGGCCTTGTAAACTCATGTAGTGGTTGGAGCTGCAGTAGCCGTCTTACAGCCATGAGCTAAATTCCAATAGACTCACAAAGATGATGGGCCTAAAATTGTTGAACCAGTGAACCATAGCCAGGAACCATAGATATTCTAACTACGTAAGAAAAATGAACCTGTCTTTGTTTAAGTGACTGAACTTTCAGATTAATGCACTCTCAACAGATACAGAGCATGATCCCATATATACCTGTATGTGCAAATATGAATAGAAAAATAATTAAAGTGATTATCTCTGTCTGGTAGGATTCTCCTTCATATTTTTTTATTTTATAAAGTTTTCCCAAAGGGCATGTAAATAATAATCAGACAAATATTTCTGTACATTCAGAAAATAAAAAATGGTACTAATTTTATTTTTAAAAAATAAACAAAATATTGGGGCCCCAGAAGGTAGTTCACTACCATATGATAAGTTAATTAGCCACGACCGAGATGAACACTTGTGGGTATCCTGGAGGACAGGTTCGGCAGCAGTGGGAGGTCCCCTCCAGAACAGTATGTGGTTCCAAACTCCTGAGGGAGGCGGGACAGACCCCAAGGAAGTAGATGAGAACCTGAGTGAGGCTCTGTGGGGAGAGAGGATGTTCCTCAGCCCTCATGAGGACATGTCAGTTTTACTTGAGATTAGGCCCTGGCCTTGGCTGGGCAGCCTGCCAGGTAGGTTCTCAGCAGCATGGGGTGATAACAGGAGGAGGGGAAGGCTGGCAAGCTGGGATAGCTCTGGGGTCTTCAGGTGGGGCTGTCTCGGGTAGCAACTGTGTTGGCTGTAAACACAGATTTCCAGGAAGCAGAGCGTTGCAATCTCTTCCACCACAAACCTGGACCATCAGGGATGTTTCCATAGCAGCGTCTATGCTGGTGAGGAATCTGGGCATGATCTGTGATCCCCTCTCCCACTTTTTCTTTTCTCTTAGAATGGGACAGAGCAGCCTGGAGCAGCTAGTGTCCTGTAGTGACTCCAGTTTGCTGCTCTCTTCCTTATCTTCTTCCTCCTGCCTTCTGTCTGCTCTGCATCCTTCACCTTCTACATCAGGAAGCTCAAGTCACCGGGCTGAGCCTGGGCTTCTCATTTAAATCACGGAGTGCCAGTCAATGCCTCCCTTCCTCTTCCCAGGGAGCAACTTCAGTCTTCACTGCCTGCAGTGGGGAGCTAGACCCTGCTCCTTATTCCCTGTGGGACCATCCGCAGCCTGTTTCCTCACCCCTGTAATGGGACAGCAGTCCTCCCTGCCCACCTGGCAGTGCTAATTCCAGGCTGGGGGCCCTCCTGGGAAAATCACTAGTGTGGGTGACACGGTGGGTTTTTGTGTGTGTGGAGGGGTGGGGCTGCCACCTGGCCATTTACAGACCCCATCCTTCCTCTCTCCCTGTGCTTGTCACATGTCAGGAGTCCCTCTCCTTTGCGCCATGATACATAAGACATTTTCAGATCCATCATCTCATTGAGCCTTGCATCTCCTTGGTGAAATTGGAGTTATTGTCACCATTTTACTGATGAGTAAAATGAGGCTCAGAAAGGGGAACATCGTTGCCAGGGTTCCGCCGTGGACTTATAGCGGAGCTGGGATTATGATGCATGTTCTGGATTCCTGGCGGGGTCCTGGCCCATCTGCAGCTAAGGCCTTTCTTTCTGCTCCCATGAGGTCCGTTTTCCATTCCTTTCCTCCCCATGACAGCCACTCTCACCACCACTCAGGGTCTGTGCTCACTGTCACACCACCCCTTGCTGAGCCCTGCGTCTGGGCTGGAACCCACCATGTCCATCAGACGGATTTTCCTCAATGGTGGTTGGGCTCCAAATCCACTCTCCCCAGACTGACACAAATTGCACTACAGGGGGCTGCAACTGTAGGCGTTTCTGGTCTAGAGAGAGAGAGATAGTCCCATAGAAATGTCAACATCAGTTGGTGAAGAAGAGAATGGAAACACAGGAGAAAGTTCAGGGAGTGATGTCAGGAGGAGGTGGCCCTTGAGTTGGGTCTTGAGGGATGTGTAAGAGTTACCAGGCAAGGAACGCTGGGAAGGGCATTCCAGGAGGAAAGAGCAGCATTCTCCAAGGCTCAGACTGGTCTGGTGGCTACAAGGTAGAGCTGGGTGACCTGGACCCCTTGAAACAGTGCTCCCTTTTCAGGAGGAAATCTGCAGCTCCCATACTTTGGGCTGTCTCAGAGTCCCCCAGAGATCTTGGGAAATTCCTGGGTCCTGTTCCCAGGGATTCTGGTTCAGGCAGAGGAATCTGCGTTTCTCACAGGCAGGGGCTGTGACCTCACCCCACAGTTCTGATGCAGTTGGTCCCTGGATCACTCTTGGAGAAATACAAACAGGACTGAGAGGCTTTGACCCAAGCACTGTGCAGGGGGTGGGATGGGGATAGATGTGGAATGGGCCAGAGGAATAGTGGTTGGAGCTATACCCTCCTGGACCACCTTGTCTAAAATGTGGCTCTCCCATCCCCCTTTCCTACTGATACATTCTATCCTCCACTTTTCCTTTATTTTATTTTATTTTATTTTTTGTAGATACAGGGTCTCACTATGTTACCCAGACTGGTCTCAAATTCCTGACCTCAACCATCCTCGCATCTAGGCCTCCCAAAGCACTAGGATTACAGGCATGAAGCACCATCCTCTCATCACCAACTCACATGCTGAACATTTGACTAGTTTATTTATTACCTGTTTCACTCTACTGGCATGAGGGCTACATGAGGAAAGAGACTTTGTCTATGTCATTCACTGCTGTAGCCAGGTGTCTACAATGTGTAAGGCCATGGAAGCTGTTTCTGTTTTGGTTTGTAATTTTAATTTTGGGAAGCAGAAGATATCTGAGTGGACTCAGTGGCTGACAGGAAAAGGGAGAACAGTCTTGGTGTGCACAAGAGTGACAGGGAGATCTAGACAGAGAGACGTCAGAGGACAGTTCCTGGAAGGGGCTGATGGAAAGGTGGGGCAACTGGGGAGGGTCTCTCTGGACATCAATTCCTTTGAAGCTGGCAGGGAGGGAGGAAGTGCATGGGTGGAGAGGAATGCTTGAAGAAGACCTCCTTGGCTTCCATATTCTTCATGAAGTGACAGGTGAGGGGCTTCCTGGGAAGAGAGGGCAGGAGGGGAGCAAATGTAGGCTGGTGATGGTGGGCCTGCAGCAGTGCCCCAGGGTGAAGGGGTGAATGTATTACTGAGGCTGGATCCTGGTCATGACCCTTGCCTTGGCTTCAAGACTCATTAAAAACCAGCCTCCTCCAGTGAGCTTAGATCATGACACTGCACTCCAGCCTGGAGACAGAGTGAGACTCCGTCTCAAAAACAAAAACAAAAAAACAGCCTCCATTCCCAATGTTCCCAGCTGGACCATGCGCTGCTTCCTGGATGTGCCACCAACACAACTGGAACACAAATCCTGAGTCACTGCCTCTAGAAAGCCTGCCTGGATTCAGTGCCCATCTGACTGGGCTCCTGCAGCACCTGGTCTGCCACTACTATGTGACTTACCTCTGCCTGCCTCTTATCACAGGTGCCTGTGTTTTTACCTGCCTCAGTGAGGGCTGTTGAGGACCGGGCCAGGCTGATCCATCTTAGGGGCTACAGTAGGTGCCAGCAATGGCTGGACTGTGTCAGGGCTGGACAATAAGCAAGCCAGGTTCTCATGCTGGGCACTGGGTGCCCTTTGTGGGCTCAAGTGGGCATCACCACTGCTTCTGAGTGGCCAGAAGATTCCTGGGAGAGGCCTGGTTATCTTGGGCTGACCCTCACTCCCCAGTTCCATCCTCCCTCCCTCCCTTGCTGAAACCCTTTTGCATGTCCTCAACATCCTGCTCCAGCACCAGCAGCCCCCTGGTTTTCAGCAGCCTCAGGGAACTCTTCCTTTTCTTCCTTGCTGTGAGTAACAGGCCCAATCCCCTGAGGACACTGCTGCCTTGCGGTCCTCTGCTGCAGCCCTTCCCTGGACCTGAGCAGGATAGGTCCTCCTTGCTTCTCATTGCCTCCCTCTTTCAGCTCATCATCCTGCTCTCCCATAAAAATACATTCATGTGCCATGAAATGATGTTTCCATCAACCCAGATCGCATGTGCAGTGGTGGATCCATGAAACTATAATGGAGCCGAAAGACACCTACTGCCTAGCCCAGTGACATAACAATTGTAACGTTATGGCACAGTTACTTTAAAAATATATTTATTAAAAAAGATTTATAATTCTATAGAAAAAGAAATATATGTCTTGTAGTGTAGCCTAAGTGTCCAGTGTTTATAAAATCTACAGTAGTGCACAGTCATGCCCTAGGAATTCATCTTCACTCACCACTCACTGACTCACCCAGAGAAGTTTCCAGCCCTGCACATTCCATTCATGGTAAGTGTCCTAGACCAGTGCACCATGTCTAGGTACCATACTACATTTTTATATAGTGCAATACTATGTTTTTACTGTATTTTTCATGATATGTTTAGATGTGCAAGTACTGACCATTGTGCTACAACTGCCAACAATATTCACTGCAGTAACCTGTGCCCAGGTGTGCAGCCTGAGAGCGGTAGGCTGTGCCATAGAGCCTAGGTGTACAGTAGGTACAATATTGAGGTGTGTGTAAGCACACTCTGTGACGTTCACACAAAGAAAAACTACCCAAGGACACGGTGACACACGAAGGGAATCAATATTGAAGCTCTTGCCCTCAGATTGCACCCAGGGCCACATCCCTATGCATTGAAGACTTAGCTCCCAGTTCATGGGCACTTTTTCCTGCTGAGGTGATTCCAACATGCACATAGAGAGTCCTCCTCATGTTCTGGCTCTTGGTCCCTCCACCCCTAGAGACCTTGTCTCCACCCTCCCTGAGTCACCCACTCCTACCTGTATATTCTTGTCACTGCAGAAACTGTAGCTACTCCAGACTCTCAATTTCAAACACGCTTTTTTTGACCACAACTTTCCTTTTTCCAGCTGCCTCCCAACTCCAAGACACTTCAATGACTCCAAATTTTCACTTTTGTGTCTCACTCTGTTTCTTGCAAATTTCCCCTCCTCCCAGCTGAGACTATATGGTCCAGCCTGTCATCCACCCTCTCTAACACTCTCCACTCTCTTGCCCCACAATTAATTGTGCTCCCAGGGCAAAACTGCACTCTGCTGAAAGCCAGCCACCCGCTCCCTCTGCTCCTGCAGTCAGGTGGCTGAGCACAGCCAGAGAGAAACACACGTGCCTTTTGCTCTCACTTAATCATCAAGCCCAAACCTCCAGTGGGCCCTGGATGATGTCCTACAAACTCACTCATTTCCCAAGTCCATAAGTCTGCCAGACTTCTTTATTTGTTATCTTAATAAAAATATATATAATCTAAGTATTTTATGAATACCAACTGATTTAATTATGATAAAACTCTATGAATCTGTTCTATAATAATCACCATTTCACAGCTGAGGAGATGCTGGCACAGGAAGAGATGAAGTGACTTGCCCTGGAGCCCAGGCACCCAGCTCTGGAAGTGCTGCCCTGTCCCCAAGCAACAGTATCGTGCCTTCTCCTTCCTCCTTAAACCTCTAAAACCTTCCCCAGCCTTCCTTACACCTGCTGCCTTGCTTCCCACTTCAATTTGAAAATAGATGCAATAAAGAGAGAACCTTCCCTGGATCCCACCCCCACATCTCCCCAGCTGCTTGCCTCTGTGCTTCCTTCTCCACCTTCGCTTGTTATTGTAGCTGGAGTGTCTGCACTCATGTTAGGGGTGAATTTTCTCCATCATATCCATAGTTCAACCCTCAGGTTCTTTCCTGAGTGTCCACTTTGCACACTGCCCGGTTCCGCAATGCAGCTCTCCCACCCATCTCACACCCTGCATGCTTATTTATTCATCATCTGTTCTGCTCTACTACAGTGAGAGCTACACAGGGGCAGGGATTCTGGGTATCTTATGCACTGCAGATTCCAACATCTAGAGCAGTACCTGGCACCTAGAAGGTGTTGGTATTTAATGAAGTCAGTCATTTTATATGTCAGGCTCTGGCCTGGTGCTGGGGACACTAGGGTGATTCAGACAGGTCCCTGCTTGTACCAAGTTTATAGTCCCATAGGGGAGACAAACACATTACCTGACAAATTTGCAGGCAGCCATTTATATTTTGCATCTAACAAAGCAGCCCTTATTGTACTTGAGAGGAAATGCACTCAAGCCGTTAGCTGTAGCCCCACTTCCCCTGCTTCAGGACAGAAAGCCCCAGGCTCCAGCCCTTACATTCCTGGGCCTCCAGGGCTCCCTGGACTTTAGGAAACAGCTAGTAAGGGAGTCAAAGTCCACTTTGACTCAGAGCTGTGGGATGTCAACAAGGTGCTTCCCCTCTCTGGTCCTCAATGTCTTTGTCTATTACAAGAGATGATGGTGCCAGCTCAGCAAGCTCCACTGGGCTGGGGCAAATGGGACAGGGAGGGTGACAATGCTTTGTGGACAGAGAGGAGGAATTCTGAGTGGCTACTGGAAAGGCAGCATGTTTATTTGACAATTTCAAACATGACAGAACTGCGGAACACAGACATCAAGACTCCTCTGTAATTCCATTTGGAGTTTAAAGCTCAGATTTTGTTTTGTTTAAGCAGTGGCAAATGTTATGTATAGATATAGATGTGGGATCATAAAATGTGTTTAAAAGTTATTGATGTGGGACAACTTTGCATATCAATATACAAGCATTTATTTTATTTGTTTTAATAGCTGTGAAATATCCCACTGTATGAAGAGACTAAAATCTGTCCTTCTATTGTGGATATTTGGATTGATGAACCATTGGAACAAATCAGAGAGGCCAATCAAAGCATTTGACAGCCTGGCAGATCAAAGTGAGAGGTTTATTACAGAAGACAGTAATGCTAAAAGGGGAGGAGAGCTAAGTGAATCCACCTGCTGCAATCAGAGTCCAGAATCCCACCAAAATAAGATGCAGGAGACAACGCGGCCAAAAGGGCAGAGGCCCCCAGGGCTCCCAGCAGAGCCAGATGCAAACTTGTCATCCCACCCTGTGTGTGGGCTTCCTATGCCCTGGACAGTCTTTCCTGAGGCCGAGGCTGTTTTAAGAGCTTAGAGCACCCATTCTACGGCAGAATTTCTTATGAATGAGGTCCCTGTTCTGTGCTCCTCACCTATCCTGGGCCCTTTTCCCAACTTGACTTTGGGTAGTGGGTGCATATAGGCCCCAGGTAAACACCAGGCCCCAGGTGGACATCAGGGCTCAGGTGGACATACAGCCTCCAGGTGTATATCAGGCCCCAGGTATATACCATTTTCCTGGTATGTATTAGTAACCAAGGGGACACTGGACTCCAGGTGTACATCAGGATCACAGGTGGACACCCAGGCCCCATATGGACACCAGCCTACAGGTGAGCATCAGGCTGCAGGAGGATACCCAGGCCTTAGGTAGATATCAGGCCCTATAAGGACACCAGGCCTCAGGTGGACATCAGGGCCTAGCTGGGGACTCAGGTTCTAGGAAGACACCCAGGCCTCAAGTAGCATCAGGGCCAAGGCGGATACTAGACTCCAGGTGGACATCAGGTCCTAGGTGGACACCTGGGTCCCTGGTGACCATCAGGCCCCAGATTAACTGCAGGCCTTCGGTGAACATCTGATCCCAGTTGGATATCAGACCCCAGGAGAACATCAGTCCCCAGGTGGATATCAGCTTCCAAGTTGACATCAGGCCACAAGTGGACACTGGACTTGAGGTGTACGTCAGGCCTCAGATGGACACCCAGGCCCCAGGTGTACAGCAGGCTGAGGTAGAAATCAATGTACAGGTAACACCATGCCCTAGGTGGTTACCTAGGCTTCAGGTAGACATCAGACCCCAGGTGGACACCTGGGTCTCAGGTGGTCATCAGGCCATAGGTGGAAACTCAGGTCCCAGGTGCACATCACGTACCAAGTGGACACCCAGGCCCCAGGTGGACACCAGCCTACAAGTGGACATCAGACCACAGGAGGACACCCAGGCCCCAGATAGATATCAGACTCCAGAGGAACACACAGGCCTCAGGCGGACATCAGGTCCCAGGTTAATTCCAGGCCCCAGATGGAACTCAGGCCCCACCTGGACACAAGTCCCTAGGTAGATACACAGGCCCTGTAGGCCCTGGGGAACATCAGGCCTTAGGTGAAGTTCTAGGCTACAGGTGGACATCTTGCTCCAGTTGGACATCTGGTCCCAAGTGAACATCAGTCTTCAGGTGGACACAATGTCCCAAGTTGGACATCAGGCACCAGGAGGACTTTAGTCCTCTGGTGAACACCAGCTCCCAGGTTGACATCAGGCTACGAGTTGACACCCAGGGCCCAGATGGACATGTGGCCCTAGATGAACACTAGTCCCCAGTCAGCTGGGGCCTGGGTCCACCTGGAGCCTGATGCTTAGCTAGAGACTGGATATCCACCTGAGGCCAAGGTATCTACCCAGGGACTGGTGTCAAAGTGGGGCCTGATATCCACCTGGGGACTAGGTATCCACCTGGGGCTTGATATACACCTAGAGCCAGATGACCTTCCGGAGTCTGATGTCCACCACAGGCCTGGGTGTCCATCTGGGGCCTGGTGTTGATTTGGATTCCAGTGTCTACCTGGAACCTGGGACCATGTAGTCCACTTGGAGCCTGGAGTTTTCACCTGGGGCCTGGTAGACATCTGGCCCCAGTAAACATCAGCGTGGGGCCTCGTTGTCCACTTAGAGCCTGGAGTTTTCACCTATGGCCTGAAGATCACCTGGGACCCAGGTGTACACCTGGGACATCAGGCTCCAGGTGTAAACCCAGGCTCCAGGGTACAACAGGCCCCAAGAGAACTCCAGACCATATTAAACATCAAGTCTCAGGTGGATGCCCAGGCCCCATGTGTACACCAGGCCCCAGGTAGACAGTGGACACCAGCTGAACATTAGCTCCAAGTTTGACACCCATACTACAGGTGGATATGAGGCCCCAGGTGAATACCTATGCTTCAGGTGTGCATCAGTCCCCAGGTGAACATAAGGCCACAGATAGACATCAGGCCTCAGGTGCACATCTGGCTCCAGGTAAACATCAGGCCTTAGGTGGATACCCACTCCCCAGGTGGACATCAGAGACCAGGTTGACACAAAAAAATCCCAGTGGGTATCAAGTCCCAGTGGACGTCCAGGCTCCAGGTAAACACCCCAGCCCCACTGTAACTGTAACCACCATAACGAGAAGTGGTAGGTCTAAGTACCATCATGCTCCTTGCTCACAAAAGGATGCTTAGCTATTTTATTCAAAATACAACTCCATTCATCACTCTGAGCAGCGATGTGTAGAAAGGAAGAGAAAAATAAACCAGGCTTCAAGGAATCCATCCAAAATGAGGTAGATATTATAAGGGACAGAAATCCCCAAATGAAATGTTATAGTTGACATAGAATAGTCTTTAAAACCCATTAATTTTCTCACACATTTGATACAAAGCATTATTTCCAGAGACTGAACCTAGAAAGAATTGCTTAAGACTAGGAGTCTTGTTCCAGCCTAGATCCCACACTGTTGAACATCTATACTTAGTACATCACATTATACATAGCACTGATATGACCTGTGTGCATTTAATTTCCTAATACTTGTTCATCTCTGGCATAGTTTATATATATATATGTGTGTGTGTGTGTGTATATATATATATCATATGTAACATACGTGCATACAAGTACACACATACACACAAAAGGTATATAAGGGTAGGATAGTATAATTGTGCAGTAACGTTTCTTGTGAAAGTGGTGGAAAGCGGATTGCGTTGGCGACATGCTGGAATGTGCTTCCATTGGCAGAAGTAAGGCTTTCAAAACTAGTCGTTTTCATTTTTCTCTAGCAACTGGGAATATTAATAATTGAAGATGTGTTGGTATAAAACTAATCATAATAATCACAATGAAGTGGTTTTAATAATTATAAGATATAATAGACATTACAGATATTATAAGATGTCAAGAAAAAGAAGATGCTATAAAATCTTTGAGATGATTGACACGTTAAATGCAGCCTCCTGTGCCTCCCTGGGGCGCCACTCTCGCTGGGTTCTTGGCGGAGCTCACCGTACTCCACCTGCTCGGCCCAGGCTCCTGCGCCCCCGGAGTCACGCCATGGGAGCGAGGACCTTGCCGCGGCCCTAGACAAGGACAATGAGGAGGGGGTGCACGTGGAATCCCCACGGATAGGCCGGACGCCGGGCAGGAGCCTTTGCAGGGGTGCACAGCCTCCTCTGGAAGCCCTGGTCGCTGCCTGGTGCCTGCTGCGCCCTGCGAGCTCCGCAGCGGTGGAGCCAGGCCTGAACTGCCTGCTCTTGGCCCCGCCTGCGGCCCTCTGCCCTTTGTCTTGCCCGTGGGGCCCGGGGCCTCAAGCTGGCCCGGGGTTCCTGAAGTTAGCTGACGATGGGCTGGCCTCTGGGGCTGGGTCGTGGGCCTTGTGCACTGGCCGCCACGTCACCAGCGCCAGGCCTACCCGCGGTGCTGCTGGAGACGCGGGATGCCCGGGCTCGGGCTCTGCTGGATCCCCTGGCGCTGCGAACCCCGTCACCTTCCATCGCGGCCGGCCACCATGCTGCGTGCTGGTCAGCCGCCTTCCTGGGACCCCTCCGGCCCCAAGGAGGCATCACTCACAGCCGCTTGCGACACCGGGGCCGCCTGAACCTCAGCCAGGGCTGCGCCACGCAAGTGGCTCCAGCCAGCCAGCCCTGGCCCATGAGCAGGACGTTCCGATCCTAGAGATGATCGCCCTCGGCAGTGATACACGGCTATGGAGGAGGCAGCGGATACCTTCTAAAGTTTGTAGACACTCTACTGCCACACCAAAAGTTTCACCATCAGCTGCGATGCCGACTGGGGCTCAGAGACCCCTCTGGGATGTGGACCAGGCAGTGCCTTTGCTGGGCATGGCAGTGCTGACCACCCGAAGTGCGGACCTTCACTTCGTGTTCCTCATACTCCACGTTCCACATCCAAAGTTCTCTACCATTTCTAAGCAGGAGAAATCAAAAGAAACTGAAATCAGAAAGAAAGAGAGAGAGAGAGAGAAAGCCATGAGCAAAAATAAAAAAAAGAGCAAAACCTTCTGGAAAGCATAAAACGCCTCAAAGCCAAAAACTAATTCTTATCTCTTTTAAACCTTCTGCACTTCTCCAATGATGAATGATTTATTTTTTTTAACACTGGCAATTCGTAATTATTAACTTCTCTGGCATTAATGACTAGAAATTGAATCACATGTGGGAGTTTAATTTGTATTATATGAAGCTTTTCATATTTTAAAAAATAATCGTTCAGTTTTTCTCCGTGGATTAACAATTAATGGAAAATTTTCAACATTGCTGTGTTAATGTCTCCTGAGGTAATTAGATGTGAATAATCTTTTATAAACAGAATTTCCTGGGTGGGATTTCTCATCTTCAGGAGCTCGATAAATAACCATGTCCCAAGAGAACTGTGAATTTGGGAACTGCAAGAACTGAGTCTCAACTTGTCCAGCCTGGAAGCTCTTGGGTGAATCACTCTTGCAGGTGACTTCACTGCCTTCTGTTGAAGGGCCAGTGAGAGCCTGGGGGTTTCAACATGCAAGAGCCTTACCATTTTAGGGTTAACATTCACAATGAGGAAAAGACATACTTTTTTGATATTCTCCGTATGTAATAAAATAGTTACCAAAACAAAGCAAAGTGTGAGTGGTGACTATTGAGAGGACCCTTTTTATCTTTGCTGGATTCCCAGAGATTTCTGGGTTTCTTTTGGAGTCAATAGTATTTCCATGTTAATTCTGAGCTCTTAAATCCCACAATATGAGTTGCAGCCAGTGACTAGAGTTGCAGCCAGTGACTAGTGTTGCAGCTTGTTAAACTGATCACTAGCGGTAGAGCCTTTTCATTCTGTTCACTTCTTAAAAGGTCAGCTTGGTCAGATATCAGTGCTACCCTGCCAGAAATAAGCGGTTAGGAATCAAGTAAAGGAGTCAGCTAAAAGTGTAATTACTAAGTAGTGAGGTCACAGCTCGATGGTTGTTGATCTCATTTTCTCTCTGCTGCTGATTTCAAGGCTTTATACCGTGTTTTGATATAACAGAATGTATACTATGAAGGACAAATAGTCTGTTAGCTTCTTGGAGCTATACTCCATTACTGGAGCAGGGGACAACAATTTGAAGGACATTACTACTTAGACAGTTTAATCTGCCTTTGGCTAGAATAAACTTCAAGTTCCAAGGGCTGGGTTCAGTTGTTATGCAAATTTAGATTGTTGTGGTAAAATTTCCAAACCAGAAAGGATAGGACTCTTTAGATGAAATAAGAATTTAACTGTATTTGAACCCTGTTGAAGGCCAGACAAGTTTAGGCAAAATCCCATGACTGAATACTCTTTGATGAGTCCCTTTAAATTCCAACATATAATCTATGTTGGTAAATATGATACATGCACTGGAAAAGGATGTGTATTCAGTAGTTGTTGAGTGTCGGGTTCTGTATATGTCAGTTTATGTCAAGTTCGTTCATTGTGTTCATCAAATCTCCCTTTCTCTTATGGATTTTTTCTGTTGGTTCCATCGGTAATTGAAAGGTATGTTAAAATCTATATTGTAATTAGTCCATTTTTCTTTTAGTTATATCAGTTTCTGTAGTAAATAATTTGAAGGGATATTTTATATTTATACATATTTAACATTGGCATACTTTTCTAGTGACTCACATTGTAAAATCTCTTTTATCTTAGCAATATTTCTTGGCTTAAGACTAAACTGTCAATAATAACATAGCAACACGAGCTTTGTGCTGATTAGTGTTTTCAGACATGTTTTCCACTGTTTTACTTCCAAATGTCTAGATTCTTGTATTCAGATAAATTAATTAAAACATAAAAAATAAATATAATATAAAACATTAAAAAGTAAATATTCTAAAAATCCAGCCAGAGATGTTTCACTTTTAATTGAAGTGTTTAGGACCACTACTCTCACACTGTGTGCTAAGGTGCCCTGAGATGCTGTGTTTAACTGACGGGCACCAGTGGATAGTGTGTGAGTATGTGTATGTGTGCGTTTGTATCTGAGATGGGGGTCTCACTCTGTCCCCCAGGCTGAAGTGGAGTGTGAGGTCTAGGCTCACTGCAGCCTCTGCCTCCCTGAGTAGCTGGGACAACAGGCATGCACCACCATTCCTGGCTAAGTTTTGTAATTTTAGTAGAGATGGGGTTTTGCCATGTTGCCCAGGCTGTATATTTTTGAGGGAAACAAAGCAACATTTGCTGGAGACCTTAAGAACTACTAGCCTGAGGCAGTTCATAGTTTCAAAAGTACTTAGTTAGAAGTGCATTTCTTTACCTTTAGGGTGGGTGTTGTTAATTACCACGAAGAAAGCAAGTATTGTGCTAAAGTCAGTGTGGAATAAGAATAAGGTCCAGTGGTTGAGATCCAGTCCGATTTTAAGATTTGAAAAGTTGTGCTGTGTGCCCAACAGGCACACACATCCCAATAGTAAGTAAATTGTGCTTTTTTAAGAAAGGAACAAAAATACTGTTTCTACTTCCATTGCGTGTTATTTTGTATATGTACTTGCAAATCCATCACCAAAATAAAAATAAAGAACATATCCAGCACTCAAAAAAGTTTCCCCTTGCCCTTTTATAATCCCAAACTTTCTGTATCTTCCTACCTTACCACACTCCCTGGCAATCACCAATCTGTCACTATAAAATAGTTTGCCTTGTGTAGACATTTATATAAATGAAGTGTAGTATGCACCCTTTTTTGGAGGGGTCTGGCATTTTTCACACAGCATAATTATTTTGAGATTCAGCTATATTGCAGGCATCAATAGGTCATTAATTTTATGACTGAGTAGTATTCTATTGTGCAGATCGGTCACAACTTATATATCCATTTGCCTGTTGATGGGTTTTTGCATTGCTTCCGGTTTTGGACTTATACAAATACATTTGCAATGAACATTCATGTACATAAGTTCCTATAACTTTGAGTAAATATTAGGAGTGTAATAGCTAACAGGTTTAGGTTTAGTTTTAAGAGACTGTCAAAATGTTTGCCAAAATGGTTGTACCATTTTATATTTTTATCAGCAGTATATAAGAATTCCACACTCTTGCCAACATTTTGTATGGGCCTTCTTTTAAAATTTTAGGCATTTTCATGTGTGTACAATAGTATTTTATTGTGGTTCCATAATGCCTAATAATATCTAGTATCTATGTACTTACATGCCATCTGTATATATTTGGTAAAGTGTATGTTCACATTTTTTTGCTTCTCCCTTTTTTGTTTTATTCTTTGCTTATTTTCTCATTATTAAATTTTAACAGTTTCTTTATATACTTTAGATTCAAATCCCTTATTAGATATGAGACTTGCCAGTATTTTCCCCTTGAGTTTTCTTTGTGTTCTCATAACACTATCTTTCAGTTAGCAGATGCTCTCAATTTTGATGGGGTCAAATTTATTAATTGTTGTTTTGCATTTGGTTTTTGGGGCTTCATCTAAGATGTTTTTGATTAATTGAATATTACAAATTTTCTTTATTTTCATCTCAAAGTTCATAGCTTTTAATACTTTATTTTATATTTAAGTCAATGGTCCTATAAGTGACAGAGCTTTAACCCAAGTCACTGTCATGCATAGCTGGACCCAGGGGCTTATATAAAATCATCAAGAAATGTTTTCCTTCTTTCTCTTGACACTTTTCCTTTTGTTTTAGCCTCATTTTTTCCTTCTGAAGATGACTCTCTTCTCTCTTTGTAGCAAGAGATAGTACTAGAAATAACCCACTTTACTTTGTCCTCACATACCACAGTGGTAGAAAAAGCAAGAGTCCTTCCTGATGATTCCAAAAAAATAGTACTGAAACAGTTGCTATGATCCAAGGGTAGAGTCTTTTGCCAGAACTTGGCATCATGATCACCTCTAGGGCTGGGGCTTTTAGGTTGGGTCAGGCCTAGTTGGTGCTCATTGAAATGGTCCCCAAAGAAAAGGGGGGCTCTCAAGAGGAGAGTTGCTGAACACCCCACCAAAAAATAGCCACTGTGTACATACCTACAATTCCTTGCCAGTTTATAAGCAACTGGTTGGGTGGAAAATGACTAGAAATTCAGTTGTCATTAACTTTCCTTTATAATGTCAGTAGAATGAGCCATACATTTCACATGTTGTGGGTTACATCCATGATAGTCATTTCTGTATATTAGGTATCAATTTGGAGTATCATCTGAAGAAATATATTATTTTGTGATGTTATCCTTAAATTAATATTTTTAGGATAAAGATTTATAGGATGAAAGAAAAGTCTAGGATAGAAATAAAAGAATAGAGAAAATGGGAGCATGGATATACTGCAGAAAATGGCCAAACAGGAAAAGTACTTGTGAGAGGTATTGAAGTACATAATTGATGTCACATAGACCTCCAGGAAATTACAACTACTGGCATAAGAACAAACTATCTGAATAGTCTTTGCTAATACTGAGTCTTTTCTGCTTGCAAAAGTAGTAAGAATGGTAAGGAATTGGGACATTGTTCAGATAGGCCTCAATGCATTTGTTCATTTACCTGTTGATGGGGTTTGGGGGTATTAATGAAGGATGTTAATAAATAATAATAGGCATGTTAGGTAATCATAATTGATTTGTCCATTTGGTCTGAAGAAAATGTTGCCTACCTTCTTTTTTGTCGAGGGATTCATTTTTAATGTCATGTTGGATTATATGACTTACTAAATGTGTAATTGCCTATTTATGGATTCTGAAGAATTTTATAAAATGTATTTGCCAAACATTTTGAAAGCTTAGAACTTCTCCAAGGAAGAAGTTTTTTAGTGCTTTAGTGCTGCCCTGATAAATATGGTAGCCACAGCCATGTGAATATTGAGCATTTGAAATGTGGCTAGGCTGGAGTGAGATGTGCTGTCAGGGTAAAACACACACCAGATTTTGAAGACTTAGTAGGAAATAAAATTAAACATATCTAATTAATAACTTTTATATTGGTTAGACATTGAAATAATATTTTGTATGTATTTTACATATAAATATACATTCATGTGTATGTGTAATTAATATCTTCATATGAAATACTTCTCAATTACAATTGGAAGAATGATGACTTTGTGGTGGAGAAATCTGGCACAAACTTGATCATGTGCCTCCTGCTGTGATGTCCTAGGAAGACCACAGCATTATTTCTGTGGTTTTCTTGTGAAAGATACATGACCTAAGTCTGGATGTGGAAACACATCAGATGGAAAAAGGTGAACACATCCTTCATAAGTGTGTATGCTCTTTAAAACTCTTAAGGTTATGAAAAATAGGGCAAAACAGAGGAACTGTTTGAAGTTGAAGGAACTTAATAGTCATGACAATTAATGCAATGGGAACTCCTGGATTGGATCCTGGATTACAAAGTTCAAAAAAATGTATTTAGGGCACAGCTGAGAAAATTTGGATCTGTTGATTGGACAGTAGTGTTGGGTGAATGCTGATATCCTGATGTGGATGATTATATTCTGGTTATGAGAACTTTTCCCAGATTCCTCATCGTTTGCCCAGTGGGTTCATGGACAATGTGGCGATGGTAGCAGGAGAAGATGCTACATGTTTCCAATAACATGAATTTCCCTGCAGCAGTGCTGCCTACTGCCCAGATGAGTGCCCTGACTGCCGACAATGAGCAATGCTGAGACCCTGGAAAGAGGAACTACCTTGCCTAGACCAGACAGATTTCTGGTAATGTTGTAATAATATTTTTTCCCTTCCTTCATGGAAGTGGTAAAGAATTGCCCTCACTGGAATAGATGCATTTCCAAATACGGACTCCACTTCATATGCTTCTCATAGCATCAAATTATTTACATTTGCTGAGTTCTTATTCTCTGCTATCATACAATTACTACTGATGATGGAGCTTATTTTACAAAAAAAGAAGTGATGCGATGGGCTTCAACCCATATTTATTGGTCTTGTGACATCCCACATCACCCAGAGGAATATGACCTCACAAGAATCAGTTATTTCACCAACTGTGAGACCCTGAGGGGCTGGGTTTCTATCCTACAAGATGTGTTAGATGCCCTGACCAAAGATCCCTCCTACCCAGAATGCATGGTTCCATGTAGCAAGGATCATTTTGATGGTGGTGATGATGATAGTGATGGTAATGATGATAATGATGACGATTATGAGGATGGGGAGGGTGACAATAATTATTATGGTGAGGATGGTGATGGTGAAGGTGGCGATAACGATAGTGATAGTTATGGTGAAGATGCTGGTGTTGATGATGGTGAGAATGGCAAGGGTAAGAATGGTGATGGCCATGATGATAGTGTTGGTGATTGTAAGGATGGTGATGGCAATCATGGTGATGATGATAATGGTGCTGACTGGGCTATGAGGTAATGGAGGCAGAAAAGTGGCTGTTTCTAGGAAGTATAGAGCCAGCTGGGAACTGCAAGGCAACCTTAGTGGGGGTGGAAGATGTCGGGCCCCTGCGTCATTTCTAGACATCTGGGGAAATCTCACCCCTCACAGTAGTTCCAGGAAGCCCTCCATCCAGCATTTCCTTCTCGCAATCAGCATGGAGCTTTTGGGGTGCAGAGAAGTGTCTTCTATTCACTGCACTCTGTGGGAAGGGAAAAGGGGGAGTGCTATTTATGAACCCAGTATAATACAGTAGGGTCTCAGAGAAGTCAGGTAACTTTATCTTCAATAGCATCCAGTTGTGATTTATTGAGCAATTACTATGTGCCAGGCAACATGCTGGGTGGTTCCTTATATGTTATCTCATGAAATCCTACAGCAACACAAGGAGACAGGCATAACTACCCCATTATAAAAATTGTGGCAAAATGAACTAAAATTTACTGTCTAACTATGTTTAAATTTACATTTCAGTGGCATTAAATACATTCGCAATGTTGTGCAACCAATTTCCAGAGTGCTTTTCATCTTGTAAAACTACAGTTCTGTAACCCATTTAAAAACAACTCCCCAATCCCCACCCTCCCCAGGACCTGGTAGCCACCATTCTCCTGTCTGTCTCTATGGATTTGACTACTCTAGGTGTCTTGGAAAAGTGGAATAATACAGCATTTGTCTTTTTGGTCTGGCTTATTTTGTTCAGCCTAATGTCCTCGGGTTCATTCTTGACGCAGCACGTGTCAGACTCTCCTTCCTTTTCAAGGCTGAACACTATTCCACTGTATGCATAGACAGCATTTTGTTGATCCGTCCATCCATCCATTGACACTTGGGTTCCTTCCACCTTTTGGTTATTGTGAATGATGCTGCTCTGAACATGGCTTTGCATGTATCTCTTCCAGGTTAGCCCCATTATACAGAAGAGCATAGAGAGATTCTGGGAGGAGGGATGAATGCCTGGGGCCTTTGGTGAGGTCCTGGTGGAGGATCTCCCAGACCTCAAAGGCAGAGCTCCTCTCCTCACCCCACTGCCTTTCTTAGGACCTGCCTCCTGCTCCACCACACAGTGCCCACTCCCTGGTACTAGACTTGCTAAGGCCTCTTGATCCCTGAAAGTTCAGGGACAGGAACTAGCAGGCACAACTACAGTCACTCACTTCTCTGTCCCCTACTGCAGATTCGGTTGCAAACAATACATGACAATGACCTGCTTTCCACTCTTTCACCAGATGTGGATGAGGCGCCTACTGCATGCCAGGCATGTGTGGGCACTGGATGGAGACCCCTGGGAAATGAGAAGATGTGAGCTCCTCAAGGCCAGGGGTATCCCTTTCACTTGCTGCTACCCTGTGAGGGATGGAGGGGAACCCTGAAGCATTGGAGAAGTGCATGAGTGACCTAGCTCAGATGATGATATCATAGTAACCCTGTTTATTATCACCTACCATGTGCCAGGCATTGTGCGAAGTACTTTGCACACATTACCGGCTGTAAAGCTCAGAGACAACTGTAGGAGTGAATCTTTTATACCTCCCACTTTACAGTGGAGGAAACTGACGCTCAGAGAGGTGAACCAGTCTTCCCCAGGCCTTGCAGCTAGTCTCTGGGATGTGGATCCAGGCGGTCTGACTCAGAGATCCCCTCATCCTCTTAGTTTTTGCCCCTGCAGCCCTCTGGCCTGTCCCCAGGGCCCTGTACCGTTGGCCACCCCCAAGATGACCTGGACATGGGCTTTAGCAAAGGCAGCAACCCCAGCATATCTCCATTTGATAGGGTGGAACCTCAGGCCCACCACAGGAGCCCTGGGTAGGCTGCAGGTGGTGTAGGTGCTGGCTGAACCACAATGCACCCATGTTGGAGGATGCACCCTAGGATTGGCAGCAGCAGGAGGTCTCCCGGCCCAACAACTGGTAGTGGTACCTGAGAACAAAGGAGGAGAAGGATGCTTCGGATACGGGTGTGGAGAAGCCCAAGGAGGAAAAAGAAGATTTGGACTATGGGCTGCTGGATGGCCTCAAGGACCCCCTCCCAGAAAAGGAACTTTGAGACTTATACCGAGGGCTGAGATGAAAGTGCTCCCTCTTTTCTATCCTGGAACTGCTGCAAACTTCAGTGTGACATCACAGCGCCTTGTTTCCCTATTTGTAAAATGGGATTTTATGGGGGTTCCAATGAGACACTGGACCGAGAGCATTTTGAGAATTGTAAAAAATGTACAGTGAGTGAGGGAATAATTATTATCAATGGACCATTGCTCTTCCAATAGTTAGTATTCTTTAGCAAATATTTAAAGGTATTTTTAAAATATGTTGAGGAGGTTTGCAGCAGCTGAGGCCCTCAAGAGTCTTTTCTGTCTCCGTTGAAAGCTGGCCTCTGACAGGGACCTTCTTGGTGCTACCCCTGGGCCCCTCATCCTTTGTGCAGGCTTCTCAGGGTTCTTATTTATATTGCATCTTGTGGTTCCCTAGTGGATGGCATGCTGCATCTTCACTCAGAGCTAACTGCATCTCCTCCAGGCCCATGTCCCTTGTGCAGCACCCACTGGTCCCTCACCAGGATTCAAAACCTTCTGTGACTGACCTCTGCTGACCTCCCAACTTTATCCCCCCTCATTCTTTCTGCTCCTCCAGTTCCATGCCTGTGCCCCTCAATCCTGTGGCTCACACTCTCACCCAAGCTGTTCTCCATCAGGATTTCCTTGGCTCCCTTTTCTGGTAGGCAAATTTATTTTCATCCTTCCAAGCCCTGCACAGATGTCCTCTGTGCAGAAAGCTCTCCCTGAGGTCACACAGTCCAGGAACAAGGTAGTTCTTGCTCCTGTGCTCTCTCTGGGTTTTGTGCCTTTATCACTTTGGTGTAACTGCCTGCCTCCTGCTGAAGGGAGGCATTTTGGCTTTACTCACCTCAGTATCTCCTGGGTCCAGCTGGGTGTCTGGCCTGGCCCAGAATTGGCGCTCATCAAGGGTGTATAGAACTCACAAGGACCCAGGAATGTTTTGCAAATAATACCACCCTCCCACACTTCTCCAATGTTTACTTTCTAAGATCCTTTACTCTTTGACATTCAAATTTCTAAATGGCCTGTATGTATTTACAAAGCCTGGGAAAATGCCTTCAGAGGACAAACAAACCCCACCAGCAGAATGTATTTGCATTGACTAGGATTATGGATGAAATTCAGCTTTCCGGCAAATGAATCATTTGGCATTGGCTAAGTATCTGCTCTGTGCCAGATACTCAGCTGTGATCTCTAGAAAGAGACATGAACTACTGACACAGTACTTGACCCCGAAGAGCTCAGAATCCAGTGAGCTTGATTTCTTGTAAGTTAGAGACAGAGTTCAGAGCAGAAGCTCAGGCAGGAGAAGAGAAGTAAAATGGACACACCAGAGGCAGTGACAGCCACACAGCTGTCTGGGGACACTGAGTGCAGCAACAAATAGCTTAGGCTGCCTTGGCAGCCCACGAAGGTATCACGGTTTCCTATTGCAGCATCTCAGTGATGCTTTTGTTATGCTGATCTCTGCAAAGCCCTCTGTGCCCCAGCCCAGGATGGTGACAGCCATGCTGTGGAGAAAAGGGCAGTGACCAGGACCACAGGCTCAGAGCTTGTACCCTGGACCACCTGGGAATGGGAGCCCTTCACATGTTCTCTGCCTCTGTGTTCAGGTTGGGGGTCCTGGCCAAGGAAAGGAGATGACCCCCATGCTGGGTCAAAAGAACACACTCCCGGGAACAGACTCTCTCTTCTTTCTGGGTAATTTCTGCCTCTGCAGTGAATGGTGTAACCAGACACATCCTCTCTATTGGTATGACACAAAGACAGGCGTTCCTGCTCATGGGCTGAATCCTCAGGTGAGGGGAGGTGTAGTACATTCCTGTGCTCTGCTGACTAAGGCAGGGACACATGTCACCCCATCAGAATGAGTGCCAGACAAATGGCTACAATAAAATCATTTCCAATAATCAAAGGAGTCACCTTCATTCATCTACAAATACTTTTCCTTTTCTTTTTCTTTTTTTTTTTTTTTTTTGAGATGGAGTCTTGCTCTGTCACCTAGGCTGGAGTGCAGTGGCATGATCTTGGCTCACCACAACCTCCGCCTCCTGGGTTCAAGCGATTCTCCTACCTCAGCCTCCTGAGTAGCTGAGACTACAGGAGCCCACCACCACATCTGGCTAATTTTTGTATTTTTCATAGCCAGGCTGGTCTTGAGTTCCTGACCTTGTGATCCACCCGCCTTGGCCTCCTAAAGTGCTGGGATTACAGGTGTGAGCCACCACACCTGGCCCAAGTTTTTTTCTATAAAACCACCTATTGCACTCAGGGTAGGGTAAATGATGCATCATGCCTGCTGGCAACTTGGGCCCTATCTGGAAAGCGAGTGCCCACCACCATGGCACAGTGCTGTGCAGTGCCTGTGTGGTGCTGAATCTCAGGAGCAGCCCCTATCCTGTGAACCACAACTACAGGGAACTTAGACGTAAGCAAAGACCTCTGGTGGCCAAGCCTGCCAGAAAGCAGATGCTAACCCTGTCCTGGGGATCTGCAGGGAGGTCGGGCCAGTGGAGAGGTGGCGAGACCAATGTGTGGTCTCCCCAACTCCCGCCCATGCTATGCAATGGGGGCGACCACACACCCGATCTGCCTGGGAGGGTCCTGGTGTGCCCACTGCCTCGCTGAGTTATGAGGGGTGCTGCCTCTCACATCTCACCGGTATCGCATTTGAAGGACAAATTATGTCTTCCCTTCCCCACCCTGTGGACCTCCGTTTCCTCATGTGCAAGTGGGGGATGATATGTTTACATGGTTATGCAGTGGTGGTATCGATGGGATCCATCTGTCAATACCCTGCATCCAGCGACCATCTGGAGCACACCTGCAGTTCGCAAGCTGGGCTTCCTGCTGCAGTGAGGGGAGCAAGCACTGCCTGGAGCCAGGGAGCCTCTCTGAAGGAGGTGTTGGAAAGGACTTGTTCCTGAATTTGGGCTTGTATTGGGAGCTTGGGGGAGGGTTGAAAGAAGCCTTTGCTCTAGATTGCTTGCTGACTGTATCATGGTGTGGCTTCATTTCTCAGAGAAGAGCCGTGAAAATATACAAGCATCTTCTCTGGCGTGGATCCACTGCTCTCCTGTGGGACAAAGAGTTCCTCTGGGGCTCTTGTCCTTGGCTGCAGTGTGTTCATCTTGATCCTAGAAAAGAGGCCGCTCAGGATGGGGATGAGATTTCAGTTGCTCCGGGAGCGACGCATCTCCTCACGTGGGCCAGGCTTTCACACACCCAAAGCGGATCTGCCGCGGCGAAAACGATTGACAGCCGGCCTCATGACCCAGGCAGAGATGGAGAAAGAGGCTCACCAAAGACAGGCCGCCATGCGACAAACCGCTTTGTGGCGCACAGGGCACATTTGGCCAAAGACACACATGAACACGGGCATACACACACAAACCCACAGAGAGAGGGAAAGAAACACACAGAGACTGAGAGACAGAGAGAGGAGAGAATGGGAGAGACACACACACACACACACACTCACACAGAGACACACACACAGAGTCATACAGCAGAGGCATTGAAACACACACCACCGGCAACCCCTGAGGCTGCGGGGTTCTGCTCACGACGAGAACGACCCTCAGGTGAGAGAGCAGCCCAGGGGCACGCAGGCCAACCTGTCCTCGAGATCACGGATGGCGGCACGACTTTTGGGGAGACTCACCCCAACCAACACCATCCGGGCAGGCCTGAGGCTGGGATCCCGTGCTGCTTCCCCCGTCCCCGCCTGGGGTTTCCTCATGGTGGTCGGCCCTTTGCGACTCCTGGCATCTGGAGAAGTTCCCGTCGCCCCCGTGGAGAGGTCAGGCCGGAGCCTCGGAGCCCCGACACACAAGCACTGCCACGGAGGGCTTCTGCTTTGCCAAGCCTCGGGGACTGGTTTCTAAGACAACTGTGGGAACCACTGTGATGGGGGAAGCCGCTCACGCCTCGCGCATGCGCATTGGCTGGGCCGACTCGCGCTCCGCTCCTGGCAGTCGGGCTGCATCCCCTTTATTTTTTTTTTATTTTTTATTTTTTTTTTTCATCTTTGCCCTACTGTTTTTATTTTATAAAGTTCTCAAATCAAAATACAAAATGAAACCAGAAAACCCTACAAAGTAAAAATGACAAAATGTGAACATCTGTTTATTCTGGTTGATGGGTTATTACATTATTCTGCTTTTCTATATTTTCTAGACTTTTTATTTTACTTTTTTTTTTTATTGATCATTCTTGGGTGTTTCTCGCAGAGGGGGATTTGGCAGGGTCATAGGACAATAGTGGAGGGAAGGTCAGCAGATAAACAAGTGAACAAAGGTCTCTGGTTTTCCTAGGCAGAGGACCCTGCGGCCTTCCGCAGTGTTTGTGTCCCTGGGTACTTGAGATTAGGGAGTGGTGATGACTCTTAACGAGCATGTTGCCTTCAAGCATCTGTTTAACAAAGCACATCTTGCACCGCCCTTAACCCATTTAACCCTGAGTGGACACAGCACATGTTTCAGAGAGCACAGGGTTGGGGGTAATGTCATAGATCAACAGGATCCCAAGGCAGAAGAATTTTTCTTAGTACAGAACAAAATGAAAAGTCTCCCATGTCTACTTCTTTCTACACAGACACAGCAGCCATCCGATTTCTCAATCTTTTCCCCACCTTTCCCCCTTTTCTATTCCACAAAACCGCGATTGTCATCATGGCCCGTTCTCAATGAGCTGTTGGGTAACCTCCCAGACGGGGTTGTGGCCGGACAGAGGGGCTCCTCACTTCCCAGTAGGGGCGGCTGGGCAGAGTCGCCCCTCACCTCCCGGATGGGGTGGCTGGCCGGGCAGGGGCTGACCCCTCACCTCCCTCCCGGACGGGGCAGCTGGCCGGGCGGGTCTGACCCCCCACCTCCCTCCCGGACGGGGCGGCTGCCGGGCGGAGAAGCTCCTCACTTCCCAGACAGGGTGGCTGCCGGGCAGAGGCGCTCCTCACATCCCAGACGGGGCGGTGGAGCAGAGGCACTCCCCACATCTCAGATGATGGGCGGCCGGGCAGAGACACTCCTCACTTCCTAGATGGGATGGCGGCCGGGAAGAGGCGCTCCTCACTTCCTAGACGGGATGGCGCCGGGCAGAGACGCTCCTCACTTTCCAGACTGGGCAGCCAGGCAGAGGGGCTCCTCACATCCCAGATGATGGGCAGCCAGGCAGAGACGCTCCTCACTTCCCAGATGGGGTGGCGGCCGGGCAGAGGCTGCAATCTCGGCACTTTGGGAGGCCAAGGCAGGCGGCTGGGAGGTGGTTGTAGCGAGCCGAGATCACGCCACTGCACTCCAGCCTGGGCACCATTGAGCACTGAGTGAACGAGACTCCGTCTGCAATCCTGGCACCTCGGGAGGCCGAGGCTGGCGGATCACTCGTGGCTAGAAGCTGGAGACCAGCCCGGCCAACACAGCGAAACCCCGTCTCCAGCAAAAAAATATGAAAACCAGTCAGGCGTGGCAGCGCGCGCCTGCAATCACAGGCACTTGGCAGGCTGAGGCAGGAGAATCAGGCAGGGAGGTTGCAGTGAGCCGAGATGGCAGCAGTACAGTCCAGCTTCGGCTCGGCATCAGAGGGAGACCGTGGAAAGAGAGGGAGAGGGAGACCGTGGGGAAAGAGGGAGAGGGAGAGGGAGAGGGAGAGGGAGAGGGAGAGGGAGAGGGCAGGTGTTTTTCATTCATTCCTCTGAAGCACATGGTGTTTTCATTTCTAATTTGTGGAAGAATTTAGTGCAAAACTTGGAGCACAATTATTAGGGCCAATGACAACCCACATATGTGGAATTTTGAGGACTTTTGCAGATTTTATGGATTTGGTGCAGTTCCACAGCAAACTATAAAATTATTATTGCAGACTAAAAGATTGTAAAAGTTAAAACACAAACTATCTGAATTACAGCGCCCAGCAAAACGTGCAAGAAACAGTTAAGTCATCACGCACATCCCTATCATTTGGTATTCTAATGCTTCGTTTAGCTAAATATTTTTTATCAGCTTTTTGTCTTAATAATTTCTGGAAATAGGATGATAATTTTGTTTTCACAGTTGGTGATTGTATATGGACAGAAGGTATGAAAGAGGATGAGATTTCTAACTTTCAGATAAAAAGTTTGGCATATTCTATTAGTTCCACCTCATTAATTTTATTACTTATTTTTTTCAGTTCTTATTTTGTTTCATTTTTGAATATGGTATCTGCTGTATGTTGATAATGGTGAGTTAAAAATTTATCAGCTGCAGCCATACATCTGTCTGTTTTTTGTTTTATATATATACACTTTGGGGCTTTTTTATTTGGTATATTAAAGTTTATTCATGTCATATCTTTATTATTAGCTTACCAATTTAACATAATACAATGCTCTTTTAACTCAATAAGAGACTTTAAATACTACATAGCCTGCAATTATATTACCAAATCTGCTTTTCTTTTGTATATATTTAATTAGTTACAATGTACCCAATCCTTAATTTATGCCCCTCTAATCCAGCTTTCGGTTGTTTCTAGGCAGCAACATCTTGTAACATTGTGTTGTTGGATTTTGTTTTAATTCAACTTAAGACACGGTAAACATAGATAGTGGAATTTAAGCCCTTAACACCCAATACCAATTTATTTTGAACTGTTTAAACTCACGATCCTCTACTTCTTTTCCTTGCTTATGGCTTTGTAGAGGCCGGCGTGCAGCACTAAGAGGGTAAGGAACGCAGTGGGAAATCTCTGAGCCCCATTTAGGGTTGTCGCAAATAGAAAGAGGCCAGGTCCTCTTGCTTACTTTGTTGGTGGGGTTCCCTCGCACACTCATGCCTTCTTGAATGCTCATATTCATGCACTTTCACACTCACTTCCCCACGTTCACGCCTCACACAGTAGTGTATATAACATTTTCTGGTTTTACAGTGTTTAAAACTTAGCCTTTAGGGGTGACTGATGCTTTTCTGGGTAAAATGCTGAGCACTGTGAAGGGACTGCATGAGATCAAAAGATCCCCCATCCTGGGAGAAGTTCTGGCTGATTTGGGAGCTGATCCCTGGAGAAGTTCTGGTTGATTTGGGAGCTGATCTTTGGAGAAGTTCTGGTTGATTTGGGAGCTGATCCTGGGAGAAGTTCTGGCTGATTTGGGGGCTGATCCTTGGAGAAGTTCTGGTTGATTTGGGGGCTGAACCTTGGAGAAGTTCTGGTAGATTTGGGAGCTGAACCTTGGAGAAGTTCTGGTTGATTTGGGAGCTGAACCTTGGAGAAGTTTTGGTTGATTTGGGAGCTGATCCTTGGAGAAGTTTTGGTTGATTTGGGGGCTGATGCTTGGAGAAGTTCTGGTTGATTTGGGAGCTGATCCTTGGAGAAGTTCTGGTTGATTTGGGAGCTGATCCTTGGAGAAGTTCTGGTTGACTTGGGGGCTGAACCTTTGAGAAGTTCTGGTTGATTTGGGAGCTGATCCTTGGAGAAGTTTTGGTTGATTTGGGAGCTGATCCTTGGAGAAGTTCTGGCTGATTTGGGAGCTGAACCTTGGAGAAGTTCTGACTGATCCTTGGTGAGCATCATGCACTCCTGGGTTTTATCCTCTGCGCATTAGAGAGGTCAGGCCATGAATGGTCCTAGATCAAGATGAGCACTGAACTTGGTTATTTTCTTCCTGACTTTCATAACCAACAATCAGTGCATTATCGTTATCTTCTACTCCATGGATTTAAACATCTTGTTTCTGTATAACAAACCAAACTGTGTACTTTTCACACTACATGTGATTTAAAAATAATGTTCCTAAGTTTTCAGGGGGTGTCTGTTCATCCTCCTGCTGTTCGTAATTATGCCAACAGTAGTAGCTACCACTGATTGCATTTCTTTACTGTTCTGACCCTCACTATGTACCCACAGCACCTTACCCCAGCCCCTGCCTAAGGCACGGGTGTTATTTCTAGTTGATAGATGCGGAACCCGAGGCTCCTGTAGCGAATGAGCATCAGAGCACATATTTAACCCAGCTTTTGGCTCTAGAAGTCCTCGTTCTTTGTTTTTCAAGGAAGGTGCCATCTGGGACACTGTCTTTCATGCACCAGGTTGGAGAATGGCATGAGTTAGGGAATCAGCCTTTTTGGGAAGGCAGAAGCTTGCAGAACCCAGGAGGAGAAAAGCCCAGTGTCCCTCATCCTCTCATCTTTGCCATAGAGAAAACATGAGGACCAAGATGTTTTTCTGACCAGTAGCATGGACTTGCATTCCACTGGGGCCACTCTGACTTTTACAAAGGGCAAGCCTGAAAGCAAACTTGTCGATGTTGAATGAGATTTCCTCAGTACCAAGCAGTCTGCATGTGGTGTAGCTGTTTATGAATTGCCTGGGAACAGGAACTGCCCAGAACCTGGGTATCCTGGGACCTGTGGGGAAAAGGGGCTATGAGGATATCAGTGCTACAGGTCGCTTAGTGTCACATGGTCCCTATTTCCAGGGACCCAGTGTTGAGGATTCTCAGTGAGCATGTGTTTCAGGCAAGTCAGAGCGAGCGTCTGGAGCCACTTTGCGACAATCCACTTATTGCTCCTTCTACAATCCAGCACTGTTCTCATGTTGTTTGGTAAATTTTGTTTTTTAATATCTCAGCTGGAGAATGTGTGTTTTGTGGAAGAAATGACCAACTAGTAGAATGCCTTCCATTTGTAATAAAATCCTTGCTGGGTTTGAGTTAATAGGCCTCCAAGGAAGAGCAAGTTAAAATAGAACTGGACAGAGTGCTAAATAAAATACTGTCCAGCATAATCTACTGCCCTCAAGGGAGAGAGCCAAATGACTCAATACGGGTTTTCCATCTTCAATTTCAATAGCCCGATGTCAGGATCAAGCAGCAGAACATGCTGACTACCTCAGTATGCTCCCTGCATTCAAAGTTTCTTTTCCCATGGCCTCTTCTGCTCCTGTGATGCCATCCCCAAGATGCTTAAAGTGCACAGACATGAAAGTCCTTTTACTAGCATTGCAGATCGAGGGGTAGGTAGTGACGTTCTAAAGGAACGAAACAGAATGTGGACCACAGAGAGATCGGCAATTAACACTGCCACCTGTTTTAGTCATTTGTTTGTTTTAATTGGGAGGTTTATATATGGTTATAATCTGTCATTTGTATTAATGTAGCTATCTGTGGGGATGGGGAAAAGAAAGAATAGAATTAGTTATTCATTCATTTATTTATTTATGTATTTATTTTTTAATGATTTTGAGACAGGCCTGGCTCTGTTGCCCAGGCTGGAGTGCAGTGGTGCGATCTTGGCTCACTGCAACCTCCACCTCCTAGGCTCAAGCCATCTTCCCACCTCAGCTTCTTGTGCAGCTGGGACTACAGGTGCATGCCACAACACCAAGCTAATTTTTGTATCTTTTATAGAGATGGGATCTCACTGTGTTGCATAGGCTGATCTCGAACTCCTGAGCTTAAGGGATCCACCCGCATTGGCCGAGTACTAGGATTACAGGCATGAGCCACCGTGCCCAGCCTTGAAGTTTTTTAGTTCAATGATCTTGGCATTTTCAAGATTTGCTATGTAATGACTGCTCCATACCCCTTTCCTATCCATGGGAGTTCAGTTTCAAATGCACTGAGCATTCAAAGTAAGTCATCCTGGAAACAGCATGTCTGGTGATTTCCTAGTTGGGAAAATCTTCTGTTTAGCTGAGAGGGAAATTGCTATGGTTTGAGAAGAGACATTCTATGGTGAAATTTAGGGGAGAAATATATTATCTTTACAGGCGTCCTGGATACAAAACCAAACTGCGCTGCGCTCTACATGAAGAACTAATTTTATTGTGGGGTTTTTTTTGTTTTTTTTTATTTTCAGAAAGTCTGAGGCTGATATGAATGGAGTAGAGAAAGAGGGAAGGATGGTAGGAAAACACACCTCATTTTCCAGCCAGTGGCCATAGCCAGCCTCATCCCCAAGAAGCCTAAACATTTTATACTTGTGTGAGTCTTCATATGAGCACATTCACTTCACTAGGGCTGCAGCGTCCTGGAGAGATGAATGGTTTCCATTCACAGATGACAACCCTGATGGCCCATACTCAGTGACAGGGATGGTCCACAGCTGACAAACCTGGTGGCCCATACTTAGTGACAGGGATGGTCCACAGCTGACAACACTAGTGGCCTATACTCAGTGATGAGGATGGTCCACAACTGACAACCCTGGTGGTCCATACTCAGTGACAGGGATGGAAGTCCTTCTCCATTTGCCGTTTATTAGAGAGATATATCAGGCTCATTGTGTGGAAGGAAACATTTTCCAATGTACTCCACATGCACTCTGTGATGCTCATTGTCCTCTGACATGTAATTAAACACTGACACTTTTCTCCTAGCTTTCCTAAATGGCTAATGACAGAGGGGTGGTACCAGCTGCCCCAGGGTAAACTACTGAGCAAATCTAAAGGTGTGTCTTCTAGTTCCATCTTCTGTTAGAAAAACCAAATGCTCACAAAATGCAATAACAGTTTAAACCACAACTGCTCTCTCACAATGTTTTTCATCAATCATTATAATAATATTGTTTTTAAAATAAACTTTGTTTTAGGAGATTTGCATATCTACAGAAACATTGTGAACTTAGAGTAGACAGAGTTCACATCCACTCCCGGCTGTGTTTATCATTAACGTCTTACAATATTATATATATTATATTAGTGCATTTATTATTATTCATGTACCAATATTGATATATTTTTATTACTTAAAGCCTATATTTTACTTATATTTATGTGGTTTACACTGAGTGTCCTTTTCTGTTCTGGGATCTCATTCAGGATCCCAAGAAACATTTAGCTGTCAAGTCTCCTGAGGCTCCTCTGGCTGAGGCAGTTGCTGGGACATTTTCTGCTTTGTATGACCTTGCAGGTTTGGAAGAGCACCAATCAGGGGTACAGTAGGATGCCCCATACTGAAATCTTTATGTTGTTATTCTCATGATTAGACTGGGGTCATGGCTTTTAGGGAGGAGAACCACAGAGGTAAGGTGCCATCGTCATCACATCATCTGAAGGGTACATACTGTCAACATGACTAATCACTATGGTGACCTTGTTCACCTTGCCAAGGTGGTGTTTGTTAGGTTTTCTCTTTCCATAGTGCACTCTTTAGAAGGAGGCTACTTTGTGCAGCCCACACTTAATGAGTGAGAAGTTTTGCTCCACCTCCTGAGGGTGGAGTATCCAGACAAATTATTTAGAATTCTTATGCATAATTTGTCTCATATCTCCCATTTAAATATTTACTCAATTATCTATTAGTACCAGTATGGACTCATGGATATTTATTTGGTACTTTGAGTTAAAATTATATATTATTCTATTTATTTTATTGCTCAAATTTTTCCAGTTCAAAAATTACCCACTACAATAGTTATGTAGTGGTACTTTGTTGTCATTTTAAGTTGCAATTCTCTGTTGACAAACAATATTGAGCATTTTTTCATATCCTTATTTGGCATCTGTTTACCTTCTTTGGTGAGGGGTCTGTTCAGGTTTTTTTACATTATTTAACTGGGTTGCTTGTTTTCTTATTGTTGAATTTTAAGAGTTCTTTGTACATTTTAGATACACATTTTTTATCAGATATGCATTTTGAAAATATTTTCTACAAGTCTGTGGCTTGTCTATGATACTTTTAAAAATCTATTTTCACACTCTAATGAGACATATGAAGAGGAAAGAAGTTAGTTAATTATAGGAGACCAATCATGTCTCTACATGGGGGTGTGTGAAGCCTCCTCCCTGGAGGAATCTACTTTTCCTTGGTCTTCCAAATACATTGTTATTTCCAAAACCATATATGAGGAGTATAAAAAAGATATGAGAATATATCAATACTCAAATAAAGAGAAAGTGTACTTAAAAAAAGAATTCTCACAATGACCAGTGAGGTAGATAAAACAGACATACATAAGCGTTCACGTTTATCAGATGCAGAAACTGAAGCCCAGGTAAGCCATATGACCCAGCTAGAGTCACTCAGTCGGCAAGAGATGGAGCCATGACTACACTCCTAGATTCTATCTCCTGGCCCCAAATTCACTTACCTTCATCACACTAGAACCATATCATGTTAGCCAACAGACCATCAGTGTGTTTGTTTAAAGTGCTAACTTACTGATAATTCATGCATTTAACAGTGTATTTTTCAGATGCATTTGACCCTTGCTGTGTCAGATAAGTCACTTATTCAAAATGGAATAAGTTAAGATGTAGCATGAGCCTAACCATGTCTTTGCTTTCTTGGCACTGTAAAGCTACAGTGGATCCTAAGTATTCTATCATCTGATTCTTCCAGACAATTCTTTATTGTACTCAACATTTTAGTGGCAGTAGTCCTTGGAATTTGCTAATCATTTTCCTTAAGAGTTTTGGAGGAAAATATCTGTTACTTAGCCAGCTAGCCAATTAGAAAATTAAAAGTCCCTTTAGATCATAATTTACCAGTCTTGAGACTACTGGCTTTTGGGCTGGATAATTCTTTGGTGTGGTGGGCTCTGATATATTATAAGATGCTTAGCAGCATTCCAGGACTGTCCCTGCTAGATGCCAGTAGTATCCCTCCAGGATGCCACAACCATAAATGTCTCTAGAGATTGACAAGTGTCCCTTGGGGGCTCTATTGGTCCATTTTCACACTGCTGATAAAGATATACCTGAGACTGGGAAGAAAAATAAGTTTAATGGACTCCCAATTCCATGTGGCTTGGGAGGTCTCACAATCATGGCAGAAGGAAACAGACACTTCTTACATGGCAGCAGCAAGAGACAATGAGAACTGACTGAAAGCGGTTTCCCCTTATAAAACCATCATATCTCGTAAGACTTACTGTCACAAGAGCAGCACAGGAAATACGTGCCCCCATGATTCAGTTACCCCCCACTTGGTCCCTCCCACAACACGGAATTGTGGCAGCTACAATTCAAGATGAGATTTCTGTGGGGACACAGCCAAAACATATCATTCTGTCCCTGGCCCCTCCCAAATCTCATGTCCTCAAATTTCAAAACCAATCATGCCTTCCCAGTAGAACCCCAAATTGTTAACCCATTTCAGCATTAATTCAAAAGTTTACAGTCCAATGTCTCATCTGAGACGAGGCAAGTCCCCTCTGTCTGTGAGCCCATAAAATCAAAAGCAAGTTAATTACTTTCTAGATACAATGTAGGTACATGTATTGGGTAAATACAGCTGTTACAAATGGGAGAAATTGGCCAAAACAAAGGGGCTACAGGCCCCATGCAAGTCCAAAATGCAGCAGGGAAGTCAAATTTTAAAGCTCCAAAATGATATCTTTTGACTCCATGTCTCACATCTGGGTCATGCTGATGCAAGAGATGGGTTCCCGTGGTCTCAGGCAGCTCTGCCCCTGTGGCTTTGGAGGATACTGCCTCCCTCCCAGCTGCTTTCATGGGCTGGTATTGAGTGTCTGTGGCTTTTCCAGGTGCATTGTGCAAGCTGTCAGTGGATCTACCATTCTGGGGTCTGGAGGATGGTGGCTCTCTTCTTACAGCTTCACTAGGCAGCACCCTAGTGGGGAGTCTGTGGGGATCCCCACCCTACATTTCTCTTCTTCACTGCCCTGGTAGAGGTTCTCCATGAGGGCCCCACTGCTGCAGCAAACTTTTGCCTGGACATCCAGATGTTTCCATAATATCTTCTGAAAAACTAGGCAGAGGTTCCCAAACCTCAATTCTTGACTCCTGTGCACCTGCAGGCTCAACACCACATGGAAGCTGCCAAGGCTTGGAACTTGCACCTTCTGAAGCCATGGCCCAAGCTGTACCTTGGCTCCTTTTAGTCATGGATGGAGCAACTGGAACACAGTCCTTAGACTGCACACAGCAGAGAGACTCTGGTCCCGGCCAATGACACCATTTCTTCCTCCTAGGCCTCTGGGCCTGTGGTGGGAGGAGCTACCACGAAGGTCTCTGACATGCC
This sequence comes from Homo sapiens, assembly GCF_000001405.40. Classification (NCBI taxonomy): domain Eukaryota; kingdom Metazoa; phylum Chordata; class Mammalia; order Primates; family Hominidae; genus Homo; species Homo sapiens. The sequence goes on from NC_000021.9 coordinate 9,602,883, forward strand.
CTGGAGACATTTTCCCCATTGTCTTGGTGATTAACATTCAGCTCCTCATTAATTATGCAAATTTCTGCAGCCAGCTTGAATTTCTCCTTAGAAAATGGGATTTTATTTTCTATCACATTGTCAGGCTGCAAATTTGTCAAACTTTTATGCTCTGTTTCCCTTTTAAAACTGAACACCTTTAACAGCACCCAAGTCACACCTTGAATGCTTTGCTGTTTAGAAATTTCTTCTGCCAAATACCCTAAATCATCTCTCTCAAATTCAAAGTTCCACAAATCTCTAGGTCAGGGGCAAAATGCTGCCAGTATCTTTGCTAAAATATAGCAAGAGTCACCTTTGCTCCAGTTCCCAACAAATTCCTCCTCTCCATCTGAGACCACCTCAGCCCGGATTTCATTGCCCATATCATTATCAGCATTTTGCTCAAAGCCATTTAAAAAGTCTCTACTAGGGAGTTCCAAATATTCCCACATTTCCTGTCTTCTTCTGAGCCCTCCAAACAGTTTCAACCTATGCCTGTTAGCCAGTTCCAAAGTTGCTTTCACATTTTTTGGTATCTTTTCAGCAATGCCCCAGTCCACTGGTACCAATTTACTGTATTAGTTCATTTTCACACTGCTGATAAAGACATACCTGAGACTGGAGAGAAAATAGGTTTAATAAACTCACAGTTCCATGTGGCTAGGGAGGCCTCACAATCATGGTGGAAGGCGAAAAGTACTTCTTACATGGCAGCAGTAAGAGAGAATGGGAACTAAGTGAAAAGAGTTCTCCCTTACAAAACCTTTATGTCTCATGAGACTTATTAATTATCATGAGAAGATCATGGGAAAAGCCTTTCCCCATGATTCAATTACCTCCTACTGGATCCCTCCCACAACATGTGGGAATTGTGGAAGCTACAATTCAAGATAAGATTTGCATGGGGGCACAGCCAATCCATATCGGGGCAAAGTCCCCTCTGTCAAGAACCACTACTCTAGTGTTTAAACTGTTTGATGACTAAAGATTGCAGCAGCAGTAGATTATAATATGTTAATTTCAAGAAGCTGTAGACTTTATAAGTATAATTTATTGTTTTGTATTTTTATTACTTTATTTATATCATAATTTGATCAAGCAAAACAAATTTAAATTTTCATTTCAAAATTGATAATAAAATGGAAGGAATAGGATTAAATGACAGGAAGGATAGAAAAGGCAAAATGGAGGTCAACTAGGGCTTAAATTTATTTTTGGCAAAATGAAACAATTTTCTGATTCAAAGAAATGTCCCTCATGGGAACATCTTTTGCCTTTTGTCTTTTCATTATAGAATCATAGAATCTTAGAGCCAGTTGGGCCCACAGAGATTACCAGGTGAGTGCTAGAGAAAGAAGGGTAAAGCATTGGTGATAGGTTCATGTTCCTTCTTACTGCAGCCTGTTAGTCTGAGTGCTATAATACATATGACTTAATTATGGAAAATCTATAGTTAATTATAGCATTAATTATAGCATAGAAATAATCTGAAAATTGGCCGGGCGCGGTGGCTCATGCCTGTAATCCCAGCACTTTGGGAGGCCAAGACGGGTGGATCACAAGGTCAGGAGATGGAGACCATCCTGGCTAACACAGTGAAACTCCATCTCTACTAAAAATACAAAAAAAAAAAAAAAATTAGCCGGGCGTTGTGGCGGGTGTCTGTAGTCCCAGCTACTCAGGAGGCTGAGGCAGGAGAAAGGCATGAACCTAGGGGGCAGAGCTTGCAGTGAGCGGAGATCATGCCACTGCACTCTGGCCTGGGTGAAAGAGCGAGACTCCATCTCAAAAAAAAAAAAAGAAAAGAAAGAATCTGAAATTATACATAGCAACACATGGAAGTTGATTTGAAAAGTTGTCCGTTTTGAACTAGGACTCCCTGGAGAACTGGCTGACTCAAGGGCTAGGGAAGGGAAAATGCATGATGAACCTGGAGGACCTTGTGTTGCCAGAAAGTAAGGGGTCAGGGAACAGGCCTGACAAAGCAACATGCAGCCAACCTGAAAGAGCTCCCAGTGGCCAAAGCTGGAAAACTTTGAACAACAAAATTAATAAAAATACTACTGAGTTATAACCCAAAGAAAAAAGTAAATATCTGTGAGTTTATACTGATAAAAATAAATGGTTAAATACATAATAACTGAAGAAGTGAAAAAAATCTTCCTTGTGGAAGATTTCCAAATAGTAAACATAAAAGAAAGGAGGGAAATGGAAGACACCACTTGATGTGGTTTGGCTGTGTCCCCACTCAAATCTTGTCTTGAATTGTAGCTCCCATAATCCCCACCTGGCCTGGGAGGTACCCAGTGGGAGGTAATTGAATCATGGCTCTGATTTTTTCCCATGCTGTTCTGGTGATAGTGAATAAATCTCATGAGATCTGATGGTTTATAAAGGGCAGTTCCCCTCCACATGCTCTCTTGCTTACCACCATACAAGATGTGCCTTTGCTCTATCTTTGCCTTCCACCATGATTGTGAGGCCTCCCCAGTCCTGTGGAACTGTGAGTCCATTAAACATCTTTTTCTTTATAAATTACCCAGTCTCCCATATGTCTTTGTTAGCAGTGTAAGAATGGACTAATACACCACTAGAATACCACAGTAATAGTCGCCATAGGAAAGATTCATGGATGACTGCTGAAATTAGTGTCTGAAACATAAGGAAGAAACAGGATATTTGAATAACCTCAAATATCTGTGGCCAAAGATTTATTAATTACTGTACTGAATTTAACATATATCCACAAATTCTTTCATAGTTTTTCCTCCAGCAGGTGGAGTTTAATTTCCCTCCTTATGAAAGTAAGCTGGATTTAGTGCCTTGCTTGTAATAAATAGAGTTTTGGAAAAGTAAAAATAGTGACCCTACAGTGAAAAAATCTGAAAGATTTGGCCTTATCCAAGTGATGGAGGTGAGCATCACCAGTGATAAGTAGTGTTGATGTCAAGCATCCCTGGAAATGATGCAATGAGAAGGACATCACCACTGTGTTACCTTACCCCCAAATCCAGAATGCCAGTGCAATCTATAGAAAAAATCCGCAATTGAGGAGCATTCTACAAAATACCTGACTAATACTCTTCAAAAGTGTCAAGTTCATGAGTAACAAGGGAAGACAGTGACGCTGTCACGGATTGGCAGAGACTAAGAAGACATAACAGATGAATGCAACGTGGTATTCTGGATTGGATCCTTGAATAGGAAAAGGGCATTATTGGAAAAACTGTCAAAAAGCCAAATAAAGTCCATAGTTTAGTCAATAGTGTAGCAATGTTGATTTCTTAGTTTTGATAAATGTGTCATGGTTATATAACACGCTAAAATTAGGGGAGACTGGGTGGAAGGCTCACTGGAACCCTTTATACTATCCTTACAACTTTTCTATAAATCTTAGTATTTCAAAGTTAAGTAAAAGTGAAAAATTGTGAAGTCCCTTCTTTCTTAAAACAAATCTAGGATGCTTGTTATGTGTTAACAATTCTTGTAAATGCAAATCACTTTGGAGAACAATAAATATTACCCAGAAAAACTGACCACTTTCAATCCCCATGACCTAGCAATTTTATTGATTGTATGTTTTTAAAAATGTGCCTGTGCCCAATATCACTAATTAATAGGGATGCATATCGAAACCGCAACAATGTACCACTTCCCAGCCGTTAGTTTGGCTACTACTAGAAAACAAAAACAAAAACAGATATTTGAACGCTTGACACTGCTGGTGGGAATGTAAAATGGTACAGTAACAATGGAAAACAGTTTGGAGGTTCTTCAAGAAATTGAAAATAGATATATCTTGTCATTCAGCATTTTCACTTCTGGGGATATATCCAAAAGAATTGAAAGTAGGGACCTAAACAAATGTGTGTATACGCATGTCCATAGCAGCATTACTTGCATCAGCTAAAACATGGAAGCAACCCAAAGATCCATCAGTGGAAGAATAGATAAGCAAAATGTGCTACATACATACAATGAAATATTAATCAGCATTAAGAGGCAATGAAATTCTGAGACATACTACAACATGGATAAACCTTGAAGATTTTATGCTAAGTGAAATAAGTCAGTCACAAAATGACAAATATTCTGTGATTCCCCTCATACAATATACTTAGTAAGACTCATGGGGACAGAAAGAAGAATGATGGTTGCTAGGGGCTGGGGGAAGGCAGAATGGAGAGTTATTGTTTGAAAGGTACAGAGGTTTTTTTTTTTTAATTATTATTATTTCAATAGTTTTGAGAAAGCAGGTGGTGTTTGGTTACATGGATAAGTTCTTGAGTGGTGATTATGAGATTTTGGTGCACCCATCACCCAAGCAGTGTACACTGTACCCAATGTACAGCCTTTTGTCCCTTATCACCCACTTCTCCTCAAGTCCCAGAGTCCATTATGTCATTCTTACGCCTTTGCGTCCCCATAGCATAGCTTCCACTTAAAAGTCAGAACATACGATGTTTGGTTTTCCATTCCTGAGTTACATCAGTTAGAATAGTGATCTCCAACTCCATCAAGGTTGCTGCAAATACCATTATTTCATTCATTTTTATGGCTGAGTAATGTTCCATGGTATATATATACACCACATTTTCTTTATCCACTATTGATTGATGGGCATTTGGTCTGGCTCCTTATTTTTGCAACTGTTAAATTGTGCTGCTATAAATGTGTGTGCCAGTGTCTTTTTCATATAATGACTTCTTTTCCTCTGGGTAGATACTCACAAGTGGGATTGCTGGATCAAACGGAAGTTCCACTTTTAGTTCTTTAAGGAATTTCCATACTGTTTTTCATAGTGGTTATACTAGCTTATGTTTCTACAAGCAGTGTAAAAGTGTTCCCTTTTCACAACATCCATACCAATGTCTATAATTTTTTGATTTTTAAAATTATGGCCATTTTTGCAGGAGAAAGGTGGTATTGCATTGTGGTTTTGATTTGCATTTCCATGATAATTAGTGATGTTGTGCATTTCTTTATATGTTTGATGGCCATTAGTATATCTTCTTTTGAAAATTGTCTGTTCATGGCCTTAGCTCACTTTTTGATGTGTTTGTTTTTATCTTGTTGATTTGTTTGAGTTTCTTGTAGATTATGAATATTAGTCCTCTATTGGATACATAGTTTGTAGTTTGCGAATCTTTTCTCCCACTCTGTGCATTGTCTGTTTACTATGATGATTATTTCTTTTGATTTGCAGAAGGTTTTTACTTTAATTAAGTCTCATTGGTTTATCTTTGTTTTTGTTGCATTTGCTTTTGAGTTCTTGATCATTAACTTTTTGCCTAGGCCAATGTCTAGAAGAGTTTTTCCAGTGTTATCTTCTAGAATTTTTATGGTTTCAGGTCTTAGATTTAAGTCTTTGATACATTTTGAGTTGATTTTGTATAAGGTGAGAGATGAGGATTTAGTTTCATTTCTGTACATGTGGCTTGCCAATTATCCCAGCAGCATGTGTTAATAGGGGATCCTTTCTCCATTTTATGTTTTGTTTGCTTTGTGGAAGATCAGTTGATCATAAGTATTTGGCTTTATTTCTGGGTTCTCTATTCTGTTTTATTGGTCTATGTGCTTATTTTTTCATCAGTTCTATGCTGTTTTGGTAGCTATAGCCTTGTAGTATAGCTTGAAGTGAGATAACGTGATGCCTCCAGATTCGTTCTTTTTGCTTATTTAATCTTGCTTTGGCTATATGGGCTCTTTTTTGGTTCCATATGAATTTTAGGATTGTTTTTTCTAGTTCTGTGAAAAATGATGATGGTATTTTGATGGGAATTGCATTGAATTTATAAATTGCTTTCAGCAGAATTATCCTTTTCACAATATTGATTCTACCCAACCACGAGCATAGGATGTGTTTCCATTTGTTTGTGTTGTCTGTGATTTCTTTCAGCAGTGTTTTGTAGTTTTCCTTGCAGAGATTTTTCACATTTTTGTTGGGTATATTCTTAAGTATTTTACTTTTTTGTAGCTGTTGTAAAAGACATTGAGTTCTTTATTTGATTCTAAGCTTGGTCATTGTTGGTGTATAGCAGTGCTACTGATTTGTGTACATTAATTTTGTACCTGAAACTTTACTGAATTCATTTATTAGATCTATGAGCTTTTGGGATGAGTCTTTAGGGTTTTCTAAGTATACCATCATGTCAGTGGCATTAGCAACAGTTTGACTTCCTCATTACTGATTTGGATGCCTTTTGTTTACTTCTCTTGTCTAATTGCTCCGGCTAAGACTTTCAGTACTATGTTGAATACAAGTGGTGAAAGTGGGCATCCTTGTTTTGTTCCATTGATCAGAGAAAATTCTTTGAGCTTTTCCCATTCAGTATGATGTTGGCTGTGGATTTGTCATAAATGACTTTTATTACCTTAAGGTATGTCCCTCTATGCTGTTTTGCTGAGGGTTTTAATCATAAAGGGATGCTGGATTTCATCAAATGCTTTTTCTGCATCTATTGAGGTGATCATATGATTTTTGATTTTACTTCTGTTTATGTGCTGTATCACATTTGTTGACTTGCATATGTTAAACCATCCCTGTATCCCTGTTATAAAACACACTTGATCATGGTGGATTATCTTCTTGATATGCTGTTGAATTGAGTTAGATAGTATTTTGTGGAGGATTTTCACATCTATGTTCATCGGGGATATTGGTTTGTAGTTTTCTTTTTTTTTGTTATATCTTTTCCTGGTTTTGGTATTAGGGTAATGCTGGCTTCATAGAATGATTTAGAGAGGATTCCCTCTTTCTCTATCTTTTGGAATAGTTTCAGTAGGATTGGTACCAATTCTTCTTTGAATGTCTGATAGAATCCAGCTGCTCCTGGACTTGTTGTTGCTGGCAGTTTTTTTTATTGCTGTTTTAATCTTGCTACTTGTTATTGGTCTGTTCAGAGTTTCTATTTTTTTCTGGTTTAATCTAGGAGGATTATGTATTTCCAATAATTTATCCAAATCTTTTAGGTTTTCTAGTTTGTGGACATAAAGGTGTTCATAGTAGCCTTGAATGATCTTTTGTATTTCTGTGGTATTAGTTGTAACATCTCCCATTTCATTTCTAATTGAGTTTACTTGGATCTCCTCTCTTTTTCTCTTGGCTAATCTTGCTAATAGTCTCTCACTTTTGTTTATGCAAAAAGAACTAGCTTTTTGCTTCATTTATCTTTTGTATTGTTTTTGTTTGCTTGTTTCAATTTTATTTAGTTCTACTGTGATCCTGGTTATTTCTTTTTTTCTGCTGGGTTTGGGTTTGGTTTGTTCTGGCTTCTCTAGTTCCTTGAGGTGTGACCTTGGGTTGTTTATTTGTGCTCTTTCAGACTTTTTGATGTAGGCATTCAATGCTATGAACTTTCCTCTTAGCACCACTTTTGCTGTGTCCCAGAGATTTTGATTGGCTGTGTCACTATTATTGTTCAGTTCAAATATATTTTTTAATTTCCATTTTTATTTTATTTAACCCCAGGATCATTCAGTAACAGATTATTCAGTTTCCATGTATTTGTATAGTTTTGATGGTTCCTTTGACAGTTAATTTGTAATTTTATTCCACTGTGGTCTGAGAGAGAGTATTTTACATAATTTCAATTTTCTTAAATTAATTGAGACATGGTTTTTTTTTTTTTTTTTTTTTAGATGGAGTCTCACTCTTGTTGCCCAGGCTGGAGTGCAGTGGCATGATCTCAGCTCACTGAAACTTCCTCCTCCCAGGTTCAAGTGATTCTTCTGCCTCACCTTCCCTAGTAGCTGGGACTACAGGTGCATGCCACTATGCCCAACTAATTGTTTTTGTATTTTTAGTAGAGACACGGTTTTGCCATGTTAGCCAGGCTGGTCTCAAACTCTTGACCTCAGGTGATCTGTCTGCCTTGGTCTCCCAAAGTGCTGGGATTACAGGTGTGAGCCACCACACCCGGCCGAGACACATTTTGTGGCCTATTATATAGTCTATTTTGGAGAATGTTCCATGTGCTGAGGAGAAGAACATATATTCAGCAGTTGTCGGATAGAATGTTCTGTAAACATCTGTTAAGTCCATTTGTTCTAGGGTGTAGTTTCCCACTGTTTCTTTGTTGACCTGTATTTATGACCTTTCTAGTGGTCAGTGGAGTACTGAAGTGCCCACTATTATAGTGTTGCTGTCTATCTAATTTCTTAGGTCTCATGATAATTGTTCTATAAATTTTGGAGCTCCAGTGTTAGGTGCATATATATTTAGGATTGTGATTTTTTTCCTGTTGGACGAGTTTTTTGATCACTATTTAACTGTTGCTGATTTAAAGTATTTTCTGTCTGATACAAGAATGGATACTTCTACTCACTTTTGGTATCCATTTGTGTGGAATATCTTTTTCCACTTGGTTACTTTAGGTTTAGGTGAAGCCTTATGTGTTAGGTGCATCTCTTAAAGACAGCAGATACTTGATTGGTGGATTTTTATTCATTCTGCCATTCTGTATCTTTTTTTTTTTTTTTTAAGATGGAGTCTCGCTCGGTCACCAGGCTGGAGTGCAGTGGTGTGATCTTGGCTCACTGCAACCTCCACCTCCCGAGTTCAAGTGATTCTCCTGCCTCAATGTCCCGAGTAGCTGGGACTACTGGCTTGTACCACCGTGCTTAGCTAATTTTTGTGTTTTTAGTAGAGACGAGGTTTCACAATGTTGGCCAGGATGGTCTAGGTCTCTTGATCTCGTGATCTGCCCACCTCTGCCTTCCAAAGTGCTGGGATTACAGGTGTTAGCCACCATTCCCAGCCCTGTATCTCTTAAGTGAAGCATTTAATCCATTTACGTTCAACATTAATATTGAGATGTGAGGTACTGTTCTATTCATCATGCTAGTTGTAGTCTCAATACGTTGTTTTTTAAATTGTGTTATTGTTTTATAGATCCTGTGAGATTTATGCTTTAAAGAGGTTCTATTTTGGTGTATTTTAGGTTTCATTTCAAGATTTAAGACTCCTTTTAGCATTTTTTGCAGTGCTGGCTTGGTAGTAACAAATTCTCTCAACATTTGTTTTTTTGAAAAATACTTTTTCTCTCCTTCATTTATGAAGCTTAGTTTCACTAGATATAAAATTCTTGACTGTTATTGTTTTGTTTAAGGGAGCTAAATATAGGACCCCATCCCTTCTGTCCTGTAGGGTTTCTGCTGAGAAATCTGTTGTCAATCTGATAGCTTTTTCTTTATAGGTTACCTGCTGCTTTTGCCTCACAGCTCTTAAGATTATTTCTTTCATCTTAACTTTAGATAACCTGATGGCTATGTGCATAGGTGATGATCTTTTTGTGATGAATTTTCCAGGTGTTCTTTGAGCTTCTTGTATTTGGATGTCTAGATCTTTAGCAAGGCCAGGGAAGTTTTCCCTGAGTATTCCCTCAAATAAGTTTTCCAAACATTTAGATTTCTTTTCTTCCTCAGGAATGCCAATTATTCTTATGCTTGGTTATTTAACAAAACCCCAAATTTCTTGGAGTCTGTTAATTTTTTAAAATTCTTTTTTCTTTGTCTTTTTTTTTCAGTTAATTTGAAAGCCTTGTCATTGAGCTCTGAAGTTCTTTATTCTACTTGTTTTATTCTATTGTTGAAACTTTTCAGTTTATTTTGTATTTTTCTAAGTGTGTCTTTCATTTCCAGAAATTGTGATTGTCTTTGCTTTATGATACATGTTTCTCTGGAGACTTTTTCATCCATATACTGTATTGTTTTCAAAATTTCTTGAAGTTGGTTTTCACCTTATTCTGGTGCCTCCTTGAATAGCTTAATAACCAACCTTCCAATTTTTTTTTTTTTTTTTTTTTTTTTGGCAATTCAGAGATTTCTTCTTGGTTTGGTACCACAGCTGGAGAGCTAGTGTGATCTTTTGGGGGTACTATACAACTTGTTTTGTCATATTACCAGAATTACTTTTTTGGTTTCTTTTCATTTGGGTAGACTGTTTCAGTGGAAAGATCTGGACCTCAAGGGCTGCTATTCAGATTCTCTTGTCCCACATGGTGGTGCTCTCTTGATGTGTGCCCTCCCCCTTCCTCTAGGGATAGGGCTTCTTGAGAGCCAGATTGCAGTGATTGCTAATGCCCTTCTGGGACTAGACACCCAGTGGGGCTACTGGGCTCCAGGCTGGTGCTGCAGAATGTCTGCAAAAAGTCCTGTGCTGTGATTTGTCTTCAGGTCTCCCAATTCTGGATAACAGCCCCTGCTCTGGTGGAGGTGGCAGGGGAGTGAAGTGAACTCTGGGATTTTTTGGTTGTTGTAATGTGATGGTTTTCTCAAATGCTGGTTATGCTAGCAGTGAAATTTTCACAGGGACAGACTCAGGACCTCTGGTTAGCCAGGATGTTGCAGGCAGTGGAATTAGCTGTTGTTTTCTCCTTCTATGAAGCAGGGTTGTTCTCTTATGAGTTGCTGTAATGGCTTGAGTTGGTTGGCCCCAGCCAGGAGGTGGCACTCTCAAGAGAGCACAAGCTACAGTTGTAGAAGGGGGCTACCACCTTGCCCTATGTTGGCCAGGATAAGTACTCGGGTTTCTCAGGTGATGGGCAGGGACATAGAGCTCCCAAGAGTTTATGTCTTTTGTCTTCGGCTACCAGGGCAGGTAGAGAAAAACTTTCAAAGGGTCTGTGAATTCTTTCAGTCTCCCTAGTATGTCCTTGGAACAGAAGTTCACAATGTGAATCTCCAGACGCTGATCTGTTTGTCTAAATGGGAGCTGCATGTTAGTCCTGTCTCCTCTCTGGTGTTTTTTCTCTCCTACCTGAAAGGTACGGAGTTTCAGTGTGGGATGATGGAAAGTGCTGGAGTGGATATTGGTGATGTCTGCACAACAATGGGAATGAATTTAATGCCACTGAGTTGTACATTTGAAAATCATTGAAATGGCACATTTTAGTTATGTATATCTTACCACAATAAAACATCAGTTAAAAGAATTTTATTTATAGACCAAATATGTCTGTGCTCTATTTATAACTCCTAGTATGTTAGGAATCACCCCAAGTACATGTTCCTAGGATTAATGCTTTCTAAAATAATCCTGTGGTCTGGTACGTATTCTCAAGGAAGGGATTCCTGTTGAACCCAGCTTGAGGAATTCTTTGCTGTCTACTGCTCAGTGTCTGTTGACTGGAACGCTGGAGATGATGCAGCACACATTGGCCCCTGTGGTGCTCACATGATTTCCATGTGCTTTCCTCGGGTGGGATGCAGCATGGGAGTGCCGGGGTGTGGAGTGCAGCGTGTGAGTGCCGGGGTGTGGGGTGCAGCGTGGGAGTGCCGGGGTGTGGGGTGCAGCGTGGGAGTGCCGGGGTGTGGAGTGCAGCGTGGGAGTGCCGGGGTGTGGGATGCAGCGTGTGAGTGCCGGGGTGTGGAGTGCAGCGTGGGAGTGCCGGGGTGTGGGGTGCAGCGTGTGAGTGCCGGGGTGTGGGGTGCAGCGTGTGAGTGCCGGGGTGTGGGGTGCAGCGTGGGAGTGCCGGGGTGTGGGGTGCAGCGTGTGAGTGCCGGGGTGTGGGGTGCAGCGTGGGAGTGCCGGGGTGTGGGGTGCAGCGTGGGAGTGCCGGGGTGTGGAGGAGCAGCTGGTGTTTCACGTTGCTGAACTAAAACCTTGGTTGCACTCAGCATTCAGATTCTGGGGACACTGTGGTGACCTGACACAGGGTAGCATAGAGACGGCATTGCCCTCAGCCTGCTAGCAGCAGGAGGGTCGGGGTCCATCCTCAGCATGTGCGGGCTGCCCCTCGTCCGCAGCGGGAATCAAACTGACGCTGCATATCTCTTAACAGTTTCAGATTTTGCCTCGTCCCATGTTTGGATGTGATGATTTGGGTTGGCTCTGGCCACTGGCAATACCCTGAGTTATTAGAAAATGTAAGGAGCTGTTCCTCATCCCTGTTTCCTGTGTCCTTAACCTTTCTCTGTTTTTAGTTTCTCAGCATTCAAGGGCTGAGCCAGTGCTCTTTAGTGAAGGACTTCTACTTTGTGGATATGAGCAATTTCTCCCCATTTCTCTTTCCCATCTTGTCTCTAACGTGGAGGGAAGGGAGTGATGTTTGTCCACAGCACCTTCGGCAACTATCATGACATGTTTGCGAGCGTCACCTTCTTGTGCTAGACTCATAGCCATGATGCATATTTGGCATATTTGGTGCTCAATAAATGACCTCACATAGACACACAGCAACATGTGAAAAGCCAGTAGGAAGGAAGATCGACTGCCTCATACAAGGTCAGCAAACCTTTCTGTAAAGGGACAGAAGTAAATATTTTTGGCTCTGTGGCCATATGGTCTCTGTCACAAATACTCAACTCTGCCAGTTAGAAAGCAGCCATGGACAAGAGGCAGGTGAACGGGCATGGCTGTTTCAATCATCTTTATTTATAAAAAAAAAAAAAATGTGGGCCAACCTGGCCTTCAACCTGTAGCTTTCCAGCCTAGTATAACCTTTTCTTTAGCTATTCTCTTTTGTTTAGTCTTAGAGTTAATGACTATGTCGAAAAAGTCTTTGAGACCAGGAATAAAATTTAAGGAAAAATATGCTAATCACGTTATTTCCAAATTATAGGTAAAATAAGTACAAATAATAGCAGATTACAGTGGGACTAGTTTAGTGAAAGACTAGAGGACATATAATAGAGGCACATGTAAAAATTATAGATAATAGTGTCAACTTTCATAACTTAAAGTGAAAAATTTCTTTTACCATGTTTACTTTGCAGGCAGAAAAATAACATTAGTAAGGAATAATTGCTATTTCTTTTTGGTTATTTTTCTCTCATTCATATTAACTTTTCCTAAATTTCAAAACTGTTAGGCTCAATATCTCATAATCTGTATGAGGAGAATATTTTTGTATCATCTGCTCTGAAAAACTAAACTGATTATATTCTCTACTAAACACCTGCTCATATCCTGTTAATGTCTCTAAGCAGAGGAAGAAATGGTTGCTCTAAACAGGTGACAAAGCCCTGATTTTGCACACGTAAAGATTTCCTTGCTTCCCACATGATGGGCATCTTTCCACTCATGGTAAGCCATCATTGTCTTCTTAGTTTATATTCACTGATTCAGTATTTCCTGAGTACCTGCTATGAGCCAAGCACTGCTCATAAGTTTTCTGTGCTTCAGCAAATCAGTGAGCAAAAGAGACAAAGATCTCCATCCTCAAGGTGCTTGTTTTTCACAGGGAGGGGCAGGTAGTCAACAATAAACACAATAAAGTGGGCAGTACAGAGTGGTAAAAGTGAACAGAATTATGGAGAACAGTAGGACAGAGTGATGAGAGTGCAGAGCGCTGTGCTGTGTGTATCTGGGTGGGGGAGGTTTCAGGGTTAAGCAGGGTGATCAGAGCAGTGGGTAGACCCCCTGAAAAGATGAAGCTTGAGACAAAATTTGAAAAAGATAAAGAAATAGATCATGGCTATCTGAGAGAAGAGACTTCCAAATGGAGAGCAGATAGAGCAAGGATCACGAGACAGGTGCTTGCCACTTGCATCCATGGATGAGCATGGAGTCTGGCATGGCTGCAGCAGTGAGGGAGGGTGGAGCTTTCAGAGGGGAGGCTGGACTGGTATTGGGTCCAGACCATGGATGGCCTCAGAGCCCACCAGCTCAGAAGTGGGAAGTGATTGCAGGGTGCTGGGCAGAAGTGTGTCTAAAAGGAAGTCTCAAAGAATGCTTCTGACTGCTCTGCTCAGAGTAGACTGCAGGGGTCAGGGGTAGAAACAGTGGAGTCTGTGAGAGGCTTGAGCAACCTCCCAGTGAAAGATGATGGTGACTCCAACCAGGTTGTAGCATTGGAGGTGGTGAGAAAAGCCAGATTTGGGTAGATCTTGAAAGTAGGACAATCACATTTTCTGAGGGATTGGAGGCAGGGCGTGAGAGAAAGAATGATGCTCAGGATGATGCTCAGGTTTTTGGCCTGTTGTATGTTAATAGAAATCCTCTCTATACAGAGATTTAAAAAGAAAATGCTGTTGAAGTGTTATCCAATAACAACTACCCTTATATATTTTTTTTTTTTTTTTTTTTTTTTTTTATTATACTCTAAGTTTTAGGGTACATGTGCACATTGTGCAGGTTAGTTACATATGTATACATGTGCCATGCTGGTGCGCTGCACCCACTAATGTGTCATCTAGCATTAGGTATATCTCCCAATGCTATCCCTCCCCCCTCCCCCGACCCCACCACAGTCCCCAGAGTGTGATATTCCCCTTCCTGTGTCCATGTGATCTCATTGTTCAATTCCCACCTATGAGTGAGAATATGCGGTGTTTGGTTTTTTGTTCTTGCGATAGTTTACTGAGAATGATGGTTTCCAATTTCATCCATGTCCCTACAAAGGATATGAACTCATCATTTTTTATGGCTGCATAGTATTCCATGGTGTATATGTGCCACATTTTCTTAATCCAGTCTATCATTGTTGGACATTTGGGTTGGTTCCAAGTCTTTGCTATTGTGAATAGTGCCGCAGTAAACATACGTGTGCATGTGTCTTTATAGCAGCATGATTTATACTCATTTGGGTATATACCCAGTAATGGGATGGCTGGGTCAAATGGTATTTCTAGTTCTAGATCCCTGAGGAATCGCCACACTGACTTCCACAATGGTTGAACTAGTTTACAGTCCCACCAACAGTGTAAAAGTGTTCCTATTTCTCCACATCCTCTCCAGCACCTGTTGTTTCCTGACTTTTTAATGATTGCCATTCTAACTGGTGTGAGATGATATCTCATAGTGGTTTTGATTTGCATTTCTCTGATGGCCAGTGATGATGAGCATTTTTTCATGTGTTTTTTGGCTGCATAAATGTCTTCTTTTGAGAAGTGTCTGTTCATGTCCTTCGCCCACTTTTTGATGGGGTTGTTTGTTTTTTTCTTGTAAATTTGTTTGAGTTCATTGTAGATTCTGGATATTAGCCCTTTGTCAGATGAGTAGGTTGCGAAAATTTTCTCCCATGTTGTAGGTTGCCTGTTCACTCTGATGGTAGTTTCTTTTGCTGTGCAGAAGCTCTTTAGTTTAATTAGATCCCATTTGTCAATTTTGTCTTTTGTTGCCATTGCTTTTGGTGTTTTGGACATGAAGTCCTTGCCCACGCCTATGTCCTGAATGGTAATGCCTAGGTTTTCTTCTAGGGTTTTTATGGTTTTAGGTTTAACGTTTAAATCTTTAATCCATCTTGAATTGATTTTTGTATAAGGTGTAAGGAAGGGATCCAGTTTCAGCTTTCTACATATGGCTAGGAATCCAACTTACAAGGGATGTGAAGGACCTCTTCAAGGAGAACTACAAACCACTGCTCAAGGAAATAAAAGAGGACACAAACAAATGGAAGAACATTCCATGCTCATGGGTAGGAAGAATCAATATCGTGAAAATGGCCATACTGCCCAAGGTAATTTACAGATTCAATGCCATCCCCATCAAGCTACCAATGACTTTCTTCACAGAATTGGAAAAAACTACTTTAAAGTTCATATGGAACCAAAAAAGAGCCCGCATTGCCAAGTCAATCCTAAGCCAAAAGAACAAAGCTGGAGGCATCACACTACCTGACTTCAAACTATACTACAAGGCTACAGTAACCAAAACAGCATGGTACTGGTACCAAAACAGAGATATAGATCAATGGAACAGAACAGAGCCCTCAGAAATAATGCCGCATATCTACAACTATCTGATCTTTGACAAACCTGAGAAAAACAAGCAATGGGGAAAGGATTCCCTATTTAATAAATGGTGCTGGGAAAACTGGCTACCCTTATATTTGTATTGTAACTTTATACTGTCAGATGAAAATGCCAACAGAATGTCTCTTCTGGTCTGAGAAGAATAGCCATGTATAAAGCCTGTCTGCAGCTTACTGTTCTCTAGCAGAGGTTGTGCTTTTATGGATAGCTCACTGGCTTGCTTCCTAGCAGAGGCTCCTAGCTAGAGGGAGGACTCTAACTCTCATGGCGTGTGCTGCTTAGTCTTGAGACTAAGAATAAGGGTTTGGAGTATAATAATTAGTTCTTGGTTCTGTTCTGCTTGGAAAAAAAACTCAGAAAGCCTCTTGGTACCCACAATGATGAAAATAGTCATTACTAATTGTATTCGTTGGCACCCAAGGCATAAACATGTACAAGGCACTTAATAATAACACCATCATCACATCGATTTTTATGATTCTCGGGCTTACCCTGGGCCACACACTTTGTTGGGAGCTCCACACATTGTCTTTCAACCCCTCGCGGCACCTTGAAAGCTATAATCCTTTTGTAACACATGAAGTGTCTGAAATGCAGAAAGGTTACTGGACTTGTTTAAGTCCAAATAGATACTGAAGAGTGGGGCTGGGGCTCCCTTGACTCCAGACTTGCCTGCCTCCAATGTCAGCGTCCTTCTGATTTTCCTGCCTCCAAAACTCAGGGATTTAGATGAATGATGTATTCATAGCATGCTAACTCAACAAACACATTGATTTAGTGTTTTCTACGTGTTAGAAACTGACTTAGCTTGACATTGGAGGATAAAAGATAGATTGATTGGTTGATCAAATGGTTTTTGAATGCTTATTATATGCCAGAGGTGTGCAATACTATAGAAAGATAAAGATGAATGGTCCTTTGTCTTAAGAAGGAACCACCATTTCTTGGATGTCCTGGATGGTGGTGTTTAAATACTACAGGACAAGAAGCAGAAGAAACCTAAATGGGAAGCCTTCTGTTTGAAAACCCTTCCTTATTTAGGCATTTCAAAAATGTATTAATCTAAGAAACTTGGTATCTTTTGAATTGCAAAGTGGACAATCATATTTCAAGAATGATTTGAGGCAGGCTTAGCTTAGGTACAAGTTATTATAATTATTATAATTTGTACATAAGCTAAGTGTATTAGTTTGTTCTCATACTGCTAATAAAGACATACCTGGGACTGGGTAATTTACAAAGGAAGGAGGTTTAATTGGCTCACAGTTCCACATGGCTGAGGAGGCCTCACAATCATGGCAGAAAGTGAAGAGGAAGAAGGACACATCTTACATGGCAGCAGGCAACAGATAGCTTGTGCAGGGAAATTCCCCTCTATAAAACCATCAGATCTCATGAGACTTATTCACTACCACGGGAACACTATGGGAGGAAATGGCCCCCATGATTCAATTATCTCCACCTGGCCCCGCCAGGTGGCTAATGTGCGGGGATTATTACAATTCAAGGTGAGAATTGGGTGGGAACACAGCCAAACCATATCACTAAGCCTACCTCAAACCATTTGTAAAATATTCTTGAAATATAATTAGTTTTCTAATGTACTCTCATTCAAGTTCTTGTTTGCCTCTGAAACTCACCAGTAGATATGTAAGAAATAGTATTCAAATCACGTGAGGCTCTGACCATATCATTTCAAAACACGCTCATCTCTACTTGAGAACATGACTCCAGCGCCATCTCTTCTGAGATCCTTCTTGCTGATTTTACTTAAATTAGATGCCTTCGCATACCTGCCACATCACTTTACACTGTTAGATTTTTACATAGCTTTGTCACTGCCAGAAATTATCACCTACCTGTCTGTTCATTTATTGCTTTGTTTTGACAAAGTGTTTGATTTATGCAATATAACATTTAAGTGAAAAGAGACTCAATGTTCATCAATAGAGTTTAAAATTTCCAATCTATATGACATTATCAATAGCTTTTTTATATTAAAATACATTTTATATTAAACATACTTGTATTCACAGATGACCCAAATTGTTGGAACTAAAATTTACATTTATATAAACTCATCATTGATCTAAATACAATATGGATATGAATTTATATGTACTTTAATGTCATCAATATTAATGTGAATTTCAAATAAAAATCCATAAAATTGTTAAACATGGAGGAGACAGATATAAAGATATAAATGCTGTCTAGGGGAACAGCATTTCAGATGGAGGAACAGGCAAGGAGAGAAGCTTGGAGTGTGGTGAGGAACAGGCTTGGAGAGAAGCTTGGAGTGTGGTGAGGAACAGGCAAGGAGAGAAGCTTGGAGTGTGGTGAGGAACAGGCAAGGAGAGAAGCTTGGAGTGTGGTGAGGAACAGGCAAGGAGAGAAGCTTGGAGTGTGGTGAGGAACAGGCTTGGAGAGAAGCTTGGAGTGTGGTGAGGAACAGGCAAGGAGAGAAGCTTGGAGTGTGGTGAGGAACAGGCAAGGAGAGAAGCTTGGAGTGTGGTGAGGAACAGGCAAGGAGAGAAGCTTGGAGTGTGGTGAGGAACAGGCAAGGAGAGGAGCTTGGAGTGTGGTGAGGAACAGGCAAGGAGAGGAGCTTGGAGTGTGGTGAGGAACAGGCAAGGAGAGGAGCTTGGATTGTGGTGAGGAATGAAGAGCATTTGAAATACTCACAGAAGGTCAATGTGACGCAGATGCGGTAAGCCAGGCAGAGTGTGGCAGGAGATAAAAATAGAAAGATAAACAAGAGCCAGATAATACAGGGCTTTGTGGAACATAGTAAGGAGTTTGAATTTTATCCAAGAGGAATGGGAAGCTACTGGAAGGCTTAACCAAAGAATGACTTGCTTTTATTTATACCTAAAATAGATTATTGTGTTTCCTCTGTGGAAAAGGGATTATAAGTGGGCAAAAACAGAAACAGTTAAGAAGTCATTACAGTACTTGAGGAAATGGTTCATGAGTTAGACTGGGTGGTGCAATGGTGTGAGAGAGAAGAGGGTGGATTCAGCTGGTGAGCTGATTGTGGGAAGTGAGGGGGAAACAATGGGACTTCTAGACTTTTGGCTGAAGCAACTGGGTGGATAGTTCTATTTTCTTGGATTTAATGTTTTGGATGTGTTAAGTTTCAGAGGCTTATTAGGAATCTATGGCTAGTCAGGACTAGAAAATATAAATTTGGAACTCATGCACTTAGGGATGATAGTATTTGAAAGCATGACCCAACTTAGCTTAAGTAGAGATAGGGAGGATAGAGAGAGAAGGGAGGAGGCCCAGGACAAACATCAGGGTTTAGAAGTCTGGCAGAGAAGCCGAAGCCCTCAGAGAAGACTGAGGAGTAGCCAGAGAAGCAAGGGGATTGACAGGAGAAGGTGGCAGGGAAGCTGATAGAAGGAAATGCCTCAACAAGCATTCTCAGGTCTGTCGGCTGCTGCTGAAAGAAAACGAATCACCATATTCGGCAGAAAGAAAGAAAATGAATCACCATGTTTGGAAACATGAAGGCCACTGGTGGCGATGATAAAAGGAGCTTTATGGGAGTGGTGGGGAAGGACACTGACAAGAATGGGAGGAAGAGAATGAAATTCAAGGGAGTGGAAATGAGGAAAAGAGCTAGAAAGACACTGGCTCAGGGCAGGGTTTCAGAGGGAAGGATATCATGGAGTTGGTTAGTGTGTTGGTGAGAATTCTCTTGTGTGGATGACATTATGATGGTGCAGAGGAGAGAGCGGAAAACAGCTGAAGCACAAAGCCTTTGTGCCTTGAGAGCTGGTGAGGTCCCGAGTGCTGGGGGAGGTGTTGCCTTGAGACAGGAATGGGAACACCTTGACGTTGCTTCCATCCTCTTGGAAGGTTGGAGTTGGTGGAGGGGAGATGGAATTCCTCTATCTCTTCTCTATAGAGAAGGAAGAAGAAGAAATATTGGAGGCTTCAGCAGCATAAAGAAAGTGTGAAATACTTGGATGTCTTGGATACTGGAGTTTTGTTTAGAAGGGAAGTGTAGCAGAACCTCTGGATGGTGATAAGTATGTGTTTCAGATTTGTGACCTTGAGTTTAGAGTGTGGACAGTCACTATGGCTTTGTGATTTTCTTCAGCTACTGGCTGATGGTGCAGTGAAATAGAATTGTAAATGGGACCTCAAGCTCTCCGGAGGAAATGGGCTCCTGGTGACTAATGGAGACACCCAAATTTAGATAACAGATTCAAGCGGCCATAGGGGGTGGTGAGAGGAGAACCATCTCTTCACAAACATCCTACTTCATGTGCTTTCTGTGACCAGAGCCAAGAAAAACAGTGGCTAGACTCCTCACCTCCACCCCATTGGCCATTTTAAAAGAAAACACCTGACAAAGGCACTTCTAATGTTGGGATGGGAAGCCACCCAGTCAGGGCTTGGCTATCTCAACCAATAAGAACTGAACACACGTGAATCCTACATTTGCATAAACAGACGTGACAGAGAACCTGGGAGAAAACTTTTCCTATTTGAGCCATAAACCCTTCCTTTGTTCTTCGGTGCACACACTTTCATTTGTGCTTCCCCAGTCTGCGGGAATTTTTTTTGTCTTTTTTTTTTTTTGACTGTTTTATAGAGAACAAAGCTCTTCCTTTTTCCTCTGCAGATTTCATGATCTTTTGTTAACAGCGCTGAGTAGGTGAATAGTTGGTTTGAATAGGTTATTGCTTTGCTGTGTGAATTCAATGGAAACAAAGTTTGTGGTTATAGTTTATCAAATTGAATAACGTGATTATAATGATGGGCCCTGGACCCCAAAGTGGGAAAGTTCAAAGTAAGACCAGGAGGGGATGACAGATAATAAAAACATTTTAAGGTCAATGGATTTGTGGTTTACAATGTTGAAAATGGTTGGAGTAGGCAGCACAGAGTAAGTGAGCTGGAAAGATAAGGCTTAGTAGGAGAATGAGATGTTAACATCAGTCTTTTTAATATTATTATTATTATTTTGAGACAGAGTCTCACTCTGTCGTCCAGGCTGGAGTGCAGGGACATGATCTCAGCTCACTGTAACCTCTGCTTCCCAGGCTCAAGCAATTCTCCTACCTCAGCCTCCCGAGTAGCTGGAACCACAGGCACCTGCCACCACGCCTGGCTAATTTTTTGTATTTTGGGTACAGATGGGGTTTTGCCATGTTGCCCAGGCTGGTCTCTGACTCCTGAGCTCAGACAATCCACCCACCCTAGGGGCTGGGATTACAGTGTGAGCCACTGCACCCAGCCAGTATCAGTCTTATGGGGTGGGACATTTATTGTTACATGGCAAGGGCTAAGGCGTGATCGTGGGGCTGGGCCTCATGGGATGGTGGAGGAAAGAGTGTCGTGGGAGAGAAAGCTAAGGATTTGAGAGCTCACTGCTCAGTGGATTATCTACGCGCAAGCTGAAGTCACTGAAAATGGTAACAAGAGTAGGTAGAGATGAAGATGGAGCCAGCCGCTGAAGTCCGTGGTGGATGAAGGAAAGAACGTGGGAGGTCTGAAGATGGCAGGGAAACGCAGGTGGTGTAGTCAGATGGCGTGTGCTCCAAAGGAATTGGAGGCTTTTGGAGGAGAAAGAAGGAGATATCGTGTGAATACAGCAGTGGGAGTAAGGGCGTGCTTGCCCCACCTGCAGGCCATGGCTTATGTACAATATGGGAGGAAAAACATTCCTGTGGAGAAGGAGGCTGGGAAAGTCATGCTCGCTGATAGCTAGGGGTGAAGAGAATTTTTAAAGAGGAACTACAGTATGCAAGAGAGGATTTAGGGAGCTGATATATACGAGCAGGATGCAGAGGAAAAGTTTGGGAAAATGGGATAGGGTGAGAAATTATAGAATGCACAGGAAGTGATGGAGAGGAGTTAGAAAATGGTCAAATGACTTTGAAAATCCAATCATTTCAAAGCACATAGCCTTCTGTGCTAAGGAGAAACACACAACTGCTTTGCTAAGTCAGGCATGGCAACATTAACTGTCCTCTGCTGCCCCTTCCCCTGTCTGCCTTAAACTCAGAAGCCCCATTCTCCTGAGCTTTGGTTGGGCATATGGCTGCCTGCTGGAGACTGCATATCCCAGCCTCCCCAGTGAAAAAGCTGGACCATGTATCTAAGTCCCCCAGCAGTGAAAGGCCCTTAAAAGGAGGGATTTGGGGCTCGGTTTCTCTTCTCATAGGATTAAGCATGGGTGTGGTGGGGAGTCAGTATCGACGGCATGGACGATTAGAACATCCCGAGGAAAGCCAGTGCAATGTCAAGGGTATCAGAGCCCTAGATGACTTCATGCAGCGGAGCTGCTTACCTGCCCTGAGCCGCCTGCCTGCTTCTCGAAATTGTGAAAGATCAATCAGGTCTACTTCATTAGGCCCTAAACACTACATCTCATGTCCAGGTTCTGGCTTTGAAAGTATTTGAACATATGCTAATAGCCAGTCTCATTACGTCACTTTATAGGATCACATAAATCACCATTTCAGACCCTAGAATATTCCTGGTCGAGGTCAGGACACATTTGAAAATGTGGGAAAGGCTGTATAATAGCCTTCAGGTTTTTATGACTTCTTTACTACCTGAGGGATTAGTCAACAAATTTCGTAATAAATCCACAGATATTTGAATCAACAAAAAGTACTGACAAGTGTCATGTAATTTTCCTCATGTTTTTGAGGGTTACATGGCAGGTGCTGTTTGTATCATGTACTCTTCAGCTCCTTTTTAGGGGAACAGCATGCTAGCATTTCTGCGTTTTGGGGTGAGGCCTGCTGTCGTCACCCTGGTGCGAGCACATGAAGTGAACTGGACACCTAACAGTGTGGTTTTCCTCTCTGTGCCAGCGGCTCGGATTCCCTCCCTCACCTGCAGGCTGAGCAGGTCGGCTTGTCCATCATTCTGCTTTTTAAGTGAATCAGAGGGCAAAACTTCCCTTTCCCTGGAGCAGTTGAGCCATCTCTTTTGATTCAGTTGTGCAAGTCTCCAGCCTCAGTGAGGGCTGTAAAAGGCAATCATGCAAAGTGTCTGGTTCTTTAAGGGAATGGTATTCGTCAGATTTCTGACTTTTTTGAGATGCTGTTGGTGGAGAAATACTTTCTGATGCTTCAAATGCAACATCTTTTATGCAGTTCAGTAAGAAAAAATCTTCCTCAATCCTCATTTTTACAAACATGTCCATTTGATTTGTTACTTTGCATGGTTACATTATTTTTGTGTAATAATTACTGTGGCTCTTAATAACAAGGTTAATTATCACTAGCAAGTTAATGTGTTCCACCAGGAGCACTTTTTTTTTACCCTGTCTTCCTGTTATGTGGTAGTTTTTCTGTTTCTTCCAGTAGAAGCTTCAGTGAGTCTGCATGCATGCACAATAAAGGGTTGTACGAGCAGTGTTTTGGGCAAGACAGGCCTGGAGAGCTTTGTCCCATGCCAGTGCCATGGGGCCCAATGAAAGCCTGGCCTGGGTCTTAATTAAGGACAGAGAGACATGGAGCACCATCCAAGGGGAGAGAACAAATCTGTTCCTTCACAGCAGATCCTATTTGCAAGTGCCACTCTCTCTGCCTGAAATTCTCTTCTCTCAACTTTCCATCAGTTTCCTGATAGTTTTCTTTTTTTTTTTAAGAAAAAAAAAAAAACTTCGTTGAGATATAATTCACATTCCGTACAACTCACCCACTTAAACTGTATGACTCAATGGTTTTCAATATATTCACAAGTAGGTGCAAACATCACCACAGTCAATTTTAGAACATTTTTATCACCTCAAAAAGAAACCTAGAACTCTTTCCAAATGGCCCCATCTTCTCATCACCATGGCTAAGAAACCATTTACCTCCTTTCTGTCTCTGTGGACCCCTCCATTCTGGATTTTCATGTGAACAGAATCATAGAGTATGTGGTCTTTTGTGACTGACGTCTTTCACCTGCCACGATGTTATTAAGGTTCAAGCATGTTGTAGGATGTATTAGTACTTCATTATCTTTTATGGCTGAATGAGGTTTCATTATGCAGATAGACCTTATTTTGCTTATCCATTCAGCTATTGAAAATCTGGCTTTTGTGAACAATGCTGCTATGAACATGGACATGAAAATGCCTCTTCAAGATCCTACTTTCAATTATTTGGAACATATGGGTAAGTTGTCTTTAGTGGCTTCATTAAAAAAGTAAAACACAAACAGGTGGAATTAATTTTAATAATACGTTTTACTTACTTCGATATATCTAAATCTCACATCAACAAATCATCAATTAAACACGTAATAAGAGAGTTTGCATTCTTTTCCACTCTAAATCTGTGAAATCCAGGACATAGTTTGCACTTGCAGCTGACCTCAGTTGGAACCAGCCCATTTCACGTGGGCAATACGCACAGGTGCCTAGTGGCTACTGTGTTGAACAGGACCCTCTAATCCTCGAGGTGCTGGGATTCAGGAGGAGCTGACTGTGTGGTGATAGCTGCTCCTGAACTTCAGGTTGCATCCTCTTTCTCTCTCTCTCTCACTCCTCGAGAAACATACAGCAAAAGCTCTTGGCAAAGCTTCCAACCTCATTGTCAGACCCATCTGATTTTATTCAGTGAGAAGGATTACGTGATCTGGCTCTTGATATGATGAGCTAAGTTCGAGTTGTATTTCTTTCAAGAGAATTTTGAGTCTGAAATACAAAAAGTGTCCCAGCAATACACCTATTCTCCCTTGCGCTGAGTCACTTTGGACAATTTAACCTCAAATAATGACAGGGAATTCTTGATACCTTGCTGTTCAACATTTTGTCAGCTCTAATGAGTGTTCAATTTATAACTAATGACAATGCATCTTATAGGGTGGGCCAGCCCATATGGGTGGGGGTCGATGTGAGAGGGTAATCGTTATAATTTCAGCACATACTTTAACAGTGGCAGTTGTACATTTTGCATAAAGGCCTGAAGTCATGTGACATCAAGAATATATGAGGAAAACAAAAGCATCTTCCGATACAAATAATGTAATATGATAGTTATTCATATAATATTGCCCCTTTTCACTTGAGTTGTTTATTTAAAACCGAGTTAGGGAGGGTGTGACAAAATAACAGATGCTCCCATGAATGCTCATCTCTTTAAATCTGGCCTCAGCTGATGTCAGTCAGAGTCTACTAGACTAATGGGGCTGCTGCAAATCTCAGCTTTGCCGCCGGCTTGGGCACGTTTCCTCAGCGTCTCTGGCTCCCCGTATTCTTGTCTTCAACACAATGGGTGGAAGTGTGGTTCAGTGTCTAAGAAAGTCTCCAGCACAGTGTGGGATGGGGACAGGCTCCTGTTTTCCTTTTCTTCTCAGAAGCCCATGAGCTGGTGCACCATCTTGTTCATCTCGACTCACAGGTACAGGTTTGGGATCACAGTGTGCATTATTAGGGACAGAAAGAGAGTGCCACTGAGATAAAGGCAGGAAGAGAGTACCACTGAGATACAGGCAGAAGGCTACCAAGGACATCTTTATATTCTTTTGCAGACCACTGGGGTCACTTGAATTTAGAATTTACCAGGTGCAATTTTGCAAACTATCTTAATTATCTTGACATTATAAAAGCCTGTAATCTTGTACTTCTGACATCTGAGTAATTAGGACTTTGAACACCAGTGCCTTCTAGGTCACAGGCTTGCATTTTTTCCACTGCAGATTGGCTGTCAGCCATTACCACCTTTCTGCTCCAATGGAAACCTTTCTAAATGAGAGCGGGATTGGACAGGATGGCTTTGATTTGAATCGCTGTAAAAACAACTTTCATGTATTGAGCTGCATTGAATTTTTATTTGCGCACTGAACTTTATTTTATATTTTAAAAAGACAAATAACAAGCTATTATATTTGGCAGATAAAAAGAGACATATGAGCGTGATAAATTTGGCTGTGGATCTCTCTGACCTAATCTAATAATCATTTTGGTTTCAAAACCCGAATGATTTCTCAGAGCAGCTTTTTACTTGCTTATACAGCTCAGTTAAGAAGAACACAAATAGTTCCCCAGGCACACCCAAGATACAGAAACATTATAAAACATTGCTTATTAATTGCTTTTTAGGTTAAGAATTATGGTAAGGAAAGATTTTGATTTTTGAGAGACATTAAAGTAAAATGATATTTACCCTTCACATGCTAATTTACCCTTGTAAGTTATGGGACATTTTTATCCATTCTGTAAGTTGTGTGAAGCTTTTGAAACATCTTTAGATAGAAGTTATTTCTTTTCAGTCTATTTTTCTAAGGACCTTTGCTGGCAAATAAGAAAGTTCATTTACCAGGGGATATGTATAAGTATTGAATGTTAAATATTTGTTGGGGAAAGATGAAAATGACATTAATGCATCAATTAACACTTAGTGCAAATATTTTTAACACATTGTTAGGCCCTACTTCTGGTTTTCAAAATTGTAACACCATTATGTCATAGGAATAAAATTCTCCTTATAAAATATTTATATACATATAGTACATATTATACGGTGTGATATACATATATATATAGTATATATTATCTGTTATTTTATATATAAATACACAGTATTTTACAGGACTTGTTTTTTCCAGAAGAAAGCAACTTTGTTAGAATTTTATATAAACCTACTTTTTGACTAAAATTTACTTTAAAGAAATGATACAATCCTTTGGGCAAACTATTGAACAAACAAAAATTCCCTTTTCACTTTCCATTGAGTTGATTTAGTTGAAAACATTCAGTTGAAAAAATCAATGTACGTATTTTAGAATACTTTTTTTAGACCAAGCTGAGGATTTAGGGTCTGTTCTTTACTGTGGGGGAGGGAATGAAGCCTCAAAAATGATCTTGTGCAATCGGAAAAGTTGTCAGAAGCCTGTGTGTCCGTGAGAATGAGAAGCAGGTAACCGTAATTGGTGAGGATGCTCAACCAGCTACCATTGCGCTCCGGGGAGCATGTGACCAGTGTTACTGCGGCAGACCAGAGCCTGGGTCACCCCCGGTATACCGACTGTGAGTCAACCACTCCCTTAAAAAAATGGAAGCAGTGCATCAGAGTCATGCAAAATATCTGCTACACCTGCCTGACGGGTCACTGCTGGGCCATGCTCACCCTGCAGTGAGTTCCCTTAGAGGCGGGTTATGACGAGGGTCCCATCCCTGCCTCCTACTGCTGCTTTAATGCTGCTGGCCTGCCCACTCACCATCACCCAGAATAGCCTAAGATCCCACCCTGGGCACTAAGCTCTGTTTCTCTGTCTTTCACAGATTTCCCTCCCATGTATCGTCATGGTCCAGTGTGTCTTATTTCACTTCCCTGGACCTTCACTGCCTGGGTTAGGATCAGTGCAGTGTTAGAAATACAGACTTTAGGTCGCAGCTCCTACTCGGGTAAGTTACTTAGCCTCTCTGTCTCAGCTCTTTCCTCTCCAAAACAGGTAAATTTATTACCTTGACTCATTAAAACCCCAAGCCTTGAGAGGAAGGTTGATAGTACATGGATCTTTTCATTTGCAAGGATGGGGAAGAAAGGAAAAAGAGAATTTAAAGGTAATAGAATAAAGTTGGAGAACTTGTTCAAATGACAATTACATTGTCTGCTTTTAAATCATGTATTTTATTTATTTGTTTTGCCATATTTTGTTATTTAGTACCAACTAATTGCCAGACACTGTGCTGGGCTCTCGGTGTACAAAAGTACAGAGAACCCAGATCCAGGGCCTTCCATTTGCATGGAGAGGAGGTTGTAATAGACATATGAACACATAGGTATAGCAAGTGTAGAAACTGAAGTGTGACAAGATATTTGTCAGGCAAGAGGAAGGCACTGACGGTGGCCCAGAATTCTGTCACAGAGGAGGAGACATTTGTCTTGAATTTTGAAAGGTGGAAAATGGTTAATCAGCATTAGCGGGGAGGGATCTGGGCAGAAAAGGAAAGATTAGAGTGTGCTCAGCCTCTTTGGGAATTGATAAGTGGTTTGCACAACCGAAAAGCAAGGTGTGAGGGGAGGACCTATGAGATTCAATGGTGGGCATGTAGACAAGGGTCCTAGGAGCCAGACAAAGACATTTAGAGTTCACACTTCAGGAATCAATGACCACGACAATGATGTGACGAGGTCACAGAAACCAGCAGAGAACATAGTTTTTTTTAAAAAGTTGCCTGGATGCAGCGGCCCCTGCCTGTAAGCTTAGTAATTTGGGAGGCCAAGGATGGAGGATAGCTTGAGTCCAGGAGTTCAAGACCAGCCTGAGCAACATAGCAAAATCCCATCTCTACACAAAATTTAAAAAATTAGTCCAGTGTGGTTGCACGTGGCTGTAGTTCCAGCTGCTCAGGAGGCTGAGGCAGGAGGATCGCTAGAGCCTGAGAGATTGAGACTGCAGTGAGCCATGATTGCACCACCCCATCCCTGCCTGGGCAACAGAGTGAGACTGTCTCAGAACAAAAAATATCGTTAACATTTGTTTTGATTGACAAATCATAACTGTATACATTTGTGGGATACAATGTGATATTTTGATAATTGTATACAAGATGAAATAATTAGATCAAGCTAACATATTCATCGCCTTGCTTACCTGTTCTCTTTCATGGTGAGACAATTGAAATTTATGCTCTTAGTTATTCTGAAATATATGACACATCATTACTGACTACAGTACCTTGCTATGCAATGGATCACCAACCCTCTGTCTATCTGAAACTTTGTTCTCTTTGATCATCAACTCCTCACTCCCTGTCTTCCCGCACCCCGCACCTGTCAGCCTCTGGTAACCATCATTCTACTTCCTGCTTCTATGAGTTGAACCTTATTAGATTTCACATGCCAGTGAGATCATGGGGTATTTGTCTTTCTGCGCCTACCTTATTTCTCTCAGCATAAAGTCCTCCAGATTCATCCATGTTGTCACAAATGACAGGATTTCCTTCTTTTGAAAGGCTGAATAGTATGCCATTGTATATATACCACATTTATCCATTCATCCACGGATGGACACTTAGGTTGATTCCACATCTTGGCTGTTATGAATAGGGCTGCAATAACTATGGATGTGCAGACGTCTCTTGGACCTACCTTCGGTTCCTTTGGATACACACCCAGAAGCGAGATTACTGCATCATTTACTGGTTCTATATTCAGTTTTTTGAGGAACCTCCATGTCATTTTCCACAATGGCTGTAGTAATTTACATTTCCACTACGCATAAGAGTTCCCTTTCCTCTGCATCCTCTTCAACATTTATTTTTCATGTTTTTGATGATAGTCATTCCAACAGGGGTGAGGTGATAACTCATTGTGGTTTTTATTTGCATTTCTCTAATAATTAGAGATGCTGAGCATTTTTTCATGTACCAACTAGCTACTTGTAAATCTTCTTTTGAGGACTTTGGGTCCTTTGCCCATTTTAACATCATCTAATTATTTGTTTTCTTGCTATTGAGTTGAGTTTCTTTTATATTTTGGACATTAGCTGCTTATTTGATGTATGATTTGCAAATGTTTTACTCCATTTTGTGGGTTGTCTCTTCTCTCTGCTGATTGTTTCCATTGCTGTGCAGAAGCTTTTGAGTTTGAAGCCATTTTATTTGTGTGTTTTTGCTTTTATTGCCTGTGCTTTCAGGGTCTTATCCAAAAAAAATTATTGTCCACACCAACGTTATAGAACTTTCCCTTATGTTTTCTTCTAGTTATTTTAGAATTTCAGTTTTTATATTTAAGTCTTTTATCCATTTTTAAAATTTTATTTATTTATTTAGAGACAGGGTCTCACTCTGCCACCCAGGCTGGAGTGCAGTGGTGTGATCTCGGCTCACTGCAACCTCCGCCTCCTGGGTTCAAGTGATTCTCATGGCTCAGCCTCCTGAGTAGCTGGGATTACAAGCACCTGCCACCACGCCCGGATAAGTTTTCTATTTTTAGTAGAGATGGGGTTTCACCATGTTGCCCAGGCTGGTCTCAAACTCCTGACCTCAGGTGATGTACCTGTTTCGGCCTTCCAAATTGCTGCTATTACAGGCATGAGCCACCACACCAGGCCAAATCTTTTATCCATTTTAAGTGGATTTTTGTGTAAGTCATAAGATAAGGGTCTAATTTCATTATTTCACATGTGGATATGCAGTTTTTCCAACATCATTTGTTGGAGAGACTCTCCTTTCCCCATTGTGTGTTCTTGGCACCCTCATCAAAAATCAGTTGACCATAAATGTGGGGGATTATTTCTGGGTGTTCCATCCTGTTCCATTGATTGATTTGTCTGTTTTTTATGCCAGTTCTAGGGTGTACTAATTGCAACTGCTAAAAGAGTTTAAAATGAGGGAGTGTGATGCCTCCAGCTGTGTTCTTTTCCTTCATGATTGTTTTGGCTATTTAAGGTCTTTTGTAGTTCCATATGAATTTAAGGATTGTGTTTTCTATTTCTGTAAGAAATGACCTTGAATATTTGATAAGGGCTGGACTGAATCTATAGAACATATTGGGTAGTTTGTACATTTTCACAACATTATTTCTTCTACCCATAAACATGGAAAATATTTCTATTTATTTGTGTTTTCATCATTTTCTTTCATCAGCATTTTATAGTTTTCAGTATGCAGGTCTTTTACCTCCTGGGTTAAATTAATACCTAAGTATTTATTTATTTTGTTGCTATTGTAAATGGGATTTTTTTTGAAATTTACTTTTTAAATATTTGTTATTAGTATATAGAACGCTACTGATTTTTGTACGTTGATTTTATATCCTGAAATCTTAATTTGTTTATATGTCCTAACAGTTTTTTTGTGGAGCCTTTAGGGCGTTCTATATAAAAGATCAATTTGTCCGCAAATAGAGACATTTCACTTCTTCCCTCAATTAGAATGCCTTTTGTTTCTTTCTCTTGCTAAGACTTCTAGTGCTATGTTGAGTAGGAGTGGTGAGAGTGGGCATCCTTCTCCCTGATCCTAGGAGAAACGCTTTCGACTTTCCACCATTGAGAATGACGTTAGCTATGGGTGTGGCATGGGCGTCTCTCCTGTGCTGAGGCAGCTCCCTCTATGCTGGATCTGCGAGGGTTTGCTATTCTGAAGGGCGTTGAAGCACGCTGGGGGCTGAGCCTGGAGCACCTGTGGGGGTGCTTCCTGTGGCGTGGTGCCTCTGGCTAGTTTTTCTGATGTGCCACCTCCATGGGCCAGGCCCGATCTGTGCCCTGTTTGCTGTGAGCCCCACCTGTTTTTGTTTCTGACTGGCCCTGTGGGCACTCCCAATGTTTCCCGTGGGACAAGACAGGAGTGAGCTCCTGCAAAGGGGCCCAGAATGGCGGGGGAGCATTTTCCGTGGGACAAGACAGGCGTGAGCTCCTGCAAAGGGGCCCAGAATGGTGGGGAAGCATTTCCCGTGGGACAAGACAGGAGTGAGCTCCTGCAAAGGGGCCCAGAATGGTGGGGAAGCGTTTCCCGTGGGACAAGACAGGCGTGAGCTCCTGCAAAGGGGCCCAGAATGGTGGGGAAGCGTTTCCCGTGGGACAAGACAGGCGTGAGCTCCTGCAAAGGGGCCCAGAATGGTGGGGAAGCGTTTCCCGTGGGACAAGACAGGCGTGAGCTCCGGCAAAGGGGCCCAGAATGGTGGGGAAGCGTTTCCCGTGGGACAAGACAGGCGTGAGCTCCTGCAAAGGGGCCCAGAATGGTGGGGAAGCATTTCCCGTGGGACAACACAAGTGTGAGCTCCTGCAAAGGGGCCCAGAATGGTGGGGAAGCAGAACTTCTGCCTCCAACTCACTTTCTCACTGTGCTACTGCGGATCCAGAGGAATCTCTGCATGTGAGGCTCTGCCAGGTTGGGGAGGAGTGTGCGCTCAACATCTCTCTCCACTTTTTACCATTGCAACAGCTTTTCTTAGCTCTGGGGTCCAGGAGTGTGTCTCAGCCTTAGTCCTGAGTTCTGGGACATGCACGATGGTATTCTTGCCTGTGGAGAGCTGCTAGTTGAATTTCTGTGGTGGTGAGTGATGTCAGTGAAGTCCCATTCTGGTTTCTCTCTGATGTCACACTGAGAGCAGTCTTGGTGAGAAGATTATCTTTGTGTAAAAGCAAAGAACAGAGGAGAGAACCTGCATTTCTCCTCTGCAGTATCCGCTGCGTTTTTCTGTAGAATTGGGTGTGCCATTTGCAAGAGCTGTGTGTGTGCAGCAGAGAAGGCAGCCAACCAATCCTTGCGGTTCAGCGTGAGTTGGGAGGGAGAAAGCGCAAACCACTAAGTGTAGACAACACGCAGGGAGTTCAGTTGGGAAGTTTAGCGAGTGGTGTCCAAAGCAGAGTTGCTCCCTCAGCACTATGGGCAGGTTGGGCCACACAATTCTTTGTTGTTGGGGAGGGAAGGCTGTCTTGTGCCTTGTAGGAGGTTTGGCAGCATCCCTGGCCTGGACACCCCATGACAGTGGCAACCCCTCCCCTAGCGGTGACAAACGTAAAGGTCTCCAGATGTTGCTAAATGTCCTCTGGTGGGGGTGGGAAGGGCATTGCCCTGTGTGAGGACCGCTGGTAGAGACTGATGCAGGGTTCAGAAAAGAGATTTTTCTTTTTCAGTTGGGACATACATGATCAGTCTTGGGGAAGGAAGCAGAAGCAATGGTGGAATAGGACAAAGATAAAGGAAAGAGGTGGAAAGTGATGCACAAAGACCGCCATGACCCGGTGTGGGGCGATATGAGTGAGGACAGCATCCAGTGAAGAGGTCCTGGCTCCTGACTGCGATTTGGTGGCTCTACTGTACCCTGTGCAAAGGGTATAAGTTGGTGCTTATTTTCTCTCCATGTGGTCAGAAGTCTCATCTTCAAAGTGCTTAAACTGTAGCCCTTGCCCTGTCACCTCTGGTTACTGCTGGGACCTGGGTCACACTCCTGGTTCATCTGCTGGCCCCAGGCCGGGTGAGGCTCCCACGTGCCTGCTGGCCTGAGAAAGGCTTACGTGAGTCACAGGGGCTACTAGGGGCAGAGAGAAGGGAACAGGATGGAGAAATTAAGTGAGGAATAAGATTGTACAAAGCCAGGAAGAAGCCGAAAGGGGACTTGGCTCTGGCAGCATTTTGTTTTGCGTGAGTCTGTGCTGGAATAAGCTGTCGAAAGGTTGTCTACCCATTGCCTTCTGGTACCTTGTGCTGTGCTCATTGTTGGCAAAACACTTGAATGATTGTGGCCTAAATGTGCAGTGATAAAATACAGAACATAGCTTTGTTATTTTTCCAACCAGACTAGGAGAGTGGCTTTTGGAATCAAGATTTAAAATTCATGATTTGCTTGTGTTTTGGCTTGTATTTTGGCTTGTGCTTGAAATGACAAGAAAGATCAAGGGTTTAAATGTGATCTTGAGAAGACATAAGAGAGAGAATTGATATTTTCCTATCTAATATTTATATTACTTTCCTGTATAGAGTAGGCTAAGGATTTTATTTGGACGCTAATTATATGTAATTCCTATAGCAGTTATTTTGATTAAGCCAACTAGATTTACCTCTAATTATTCATTTTAAGCCCTAGATTTAAAGATAACTTTTTATTCTCTGTAAACAACCTAAAAGTTGCCTTAGATTTATATTTCATAATATGTAAAAATGCTGAAAAAGGGCTTGTTTGGCTGGAGAGACATTTTAATTTTTTCCTTTAATTTTAAATGACAATATTGTGTGTATAGGAGCTGCGTTTCCTACCGAATATTCACCTGGTGTGGAGACTGAATAACATGCCACTCTAAGGGTTAATAAAAGCATTAAATAACTTGCATCTGGGAAACATCAATTGAACAGATAATTGCTTCTTTGTGTTTCTGCTTAGTAGTGGCTGGACATGTAAAGTTTCTATACCACAAAATGAAAACAGTTGAGCAAACAAGAGGCCCGGGGTCACATAACCGATGCATGCTCAAAGCTCAAAGCAGCGTCAATCAAACCTGGAGGGTACCATGTCAAGAGATGGTATCTTTTTATTAATCAGGAATTGGTACCCGGACGATAGAGGGCCTCTGTAATGAAAACCTCAGTTAGCAAACAGCCAGAAGAGAGAGAAAATAATCCAACCAGCCAAATAATCAGAGAACACATGAAGTGTCTGTAGGGAGATTTCCACAGTGGGAAACCCATAGAAAAAGTTCTATCTCTCACTCTTGTTTTTGTTTTTTGGTTTTGGATACAATTTCATTTAAGTAGAAAGATCATCCATGATTTTCCCAATCTTCCTTATGTCTTTTATGCACTATACTTGCCAAAGTAGCATAGGCAGAAAAAAAGCAGGAATCCTATGGATTTCCACCCTTAGTCCTTCAACTAACTTTAAAATAACTTTTTATTTTTTTATTCAGGTCTACGTTCTAAGTCACACTCCCCTCCCACATGTCTTTGCCCGCTATTTTACTTCATTAATATTTACCAGCTTTTCTGAATTTAGGCACCAATTTTGTATTTTCATATATTTCTATGCATATCCTTCAGATCCTTATTTTCCTTAATATTCATGTAAAATATATAAACTATAATTTCTGTGTTCTTTTAAGAGATAGCAGGTACCTAAACAAAGGGGTGTTCTCCCGTGATTTTTTTAACTCAGCATTTTTTGCCAGAAATGGTCACTTGGGATTTATTCCTATGCCCTTGTGTTTTTCCCTCCCCCTCCCCTTTCCCTCCCTTCCCTCCCTTTATCTTTTTCTCTCTCCCTTCCTCCTGCCCACCCACCCTACATTTTTCCCTCCGTCCCTCCCTTCTTGCTCCCTCCCTCTCTTTCTTCCTTCCTCCCTCCCACCCTCCTTTCCTTCTTTTCCTCTCTTTCTTTGTCCTTTCTTCTCTTCCCTCCTCCTTTCCACCCTTTTCCTTTCACCAATATTTATTGAGTGCTTATTGCATAAGAGACTTTGAGTGCCCAGTGCTGGCTTGTGGCAGGACAAGCTGCAGACAAAACCCCTCAGACACCAAGTTGTAGAAGGAAGGGCTTTATTCGGCTGGGAGCGTTGGCAAGACTCACGTCTCCAACAACCGACCTCCCCGAATGAGCAATTCCTGTCCCTTTTAAGGGCTCACAACTCTAAGGGGGTCCGCGTGAGAGGATCGTGATTGACTGAGCAAGCTGAGGGTTCATGACTGGGGGCTGCATGCACTGGTAGTTAGAACAGAGAAGAACAGGACAGGGATTTTTCACAGTGCTGTTCCATACAATGTCTGTAATCTACAATTAACCTGACTGATTAGGTCAGGGGTCGATCTTTAACTACCAGGCCCAGTGTGTGGCACTGGGCTGTCTGCCTGTGGATTTCATTTCTGCCTTTTAGTTTTTACTTCTTATTTCTTTGGAGGCAGAAATTGCGCATAAGACAATATGAGGAGTGGTCTCCTCCCGTAGCTAAGGACTCTGACCCCTCCTTCTGTGGGACTCCATGTATTCTTTCTCATTGGGAACACTGGGAATAGCAGGGCCCAGTTGAGTTTGGAGAGTGTCGCTTAGTGCTCTTTAGTTGCAACCATCTGAAAATAACATGAAAAGAAAGGGGAATTTCCTGAAAAATGTTGGTGGTAGCAATGAGAGCAAGGCTCAAAGAATAAACTGGAAGCTGAGAAACTAGGCTTGGAAATAGAAATCAAAGGGACTGGGGAAGCAAGGACCCTGCATTCGTCTCTAGGCAGGAAGGGTTCACTCAGCGCACTGGTGCTGTGATAAATATCACGTGCCTCTGCTGTTCTCTCATCACGGATCAAGAGTCCAAGCCTGGAGGGAGAGCGACTGAAAGCCATGGGCTGGTCACAGGCCTGCCTGAGAGCTGCACGGGAGCTGGCGAGGAAAAGCCCTTGCTGCTTCCAGTGTAAGGCAGGTGTCTGGATTTATCTTCAAGAGAGCCAACATGATGAATGAAGGAACTTAAATCATGGCACGGTTAGAAAGAAAAGTAGCAAGACAGGAACTACTCCTTCTCTCCAAACAAAAAGAAAAACAAAATGAGATATTCACTATAATTAATATGAATTTGCAAGGGAAATAACACAGTATATGATCTCAGTCTCAACTTATATCTTTATTTCAACTATATCTACTTCAGAAAGGATTTGAAGGGTTTCCAATAAAAGACAAATAAAATGTTATAAATGGTAGATAAATGAAGATCAAATATGACCCTGGTAGAGGTATGATAATTTTCTCTGTCTCGTTCAAGAGCTACACTGGCTGCACCTGATATAGTAGATGCTCAATAAGTATCATTACCTTCTGCCAGGTCCCTCCCAGGACACGTGGGGATTATGGGAACTACAATTCAATATGAGATTTGGTTAGGGACACAGCCAAACCATATCAGTATTACATTTTATTGCAACTATTGGCTCAATAGTTGCACTATGTATTTTTGTTTAAAGTTATTGCTCAAGCGTTTACCATATATATTGTTAACTTATCACAGTTTATTCTTAAGTACTATTATATCATCTCCCAAGTAATATAAAAATCTTACAGCAGTATATAAGCAGTCCTGGCTTTTCGTGGTTCTTATATGCAGGAATTTTTGTTACTGTGCTTTGATTAGATAACATGTATAATTCCTTCATGGACACAGTGCAAATTTCACTTTCCACAGTGTATTAACTACGTGTAATTTCATTCAGTAAAAATTTTGATGCTGGTTTTTAGTACAAAAATTAGTAAGTATTTAATGGACAAGCATGATGATCAGTGAGCAATCATGCTCTCTCTGTGAAAGTGTGCTGGTTATTTGTCGCTGTGTACCTGTGCATCTGTATGAATTTAGTTTAGACAGATATCAAGGTGTGTAGTTGTGTAAACTACTTGTCCTCCAGTCATAAACTCACATAATTTAACTTCTAAAGCACCATCACTGTTGGATAAGTGTCCAAGTCACCTTTATTCATTTGGATACCTCCATGAAAATGTTAAAAAGCTGCTTTTTACTAACAAATACAACTTTAATCGTCCAGCTAGTGGACCAAGGAGTTATTTCAATGTTTAAAGCCTACTGTCTTAGACAAACTTTTCAACAGACTTCTGAAGCTACAACTGGAGATCATGCAATTTTTAGGCTAAGTTTTGAAAGATATATTAGTTAAAAATGCAGTTGAAATACTTAAGCATCATGGCAGCAAAGAAAGTGAGTAATATGTGCGTGCAGTACAGCAGAAACTTGTATTGCTCTGTGAAAATAACATGCAGGATACCAACAGAATGCAAGTGGAGCTATTGGCTCATTTTGCTCCTGCTTGTGCAGAACTTTTCATGTCAGGCCATCTCCTGGGCTACTGGTGAGTTTATGGATCGGCCCAGCTGTAGTCTATCCTGTTGTTCCTGAAGTGGGGTGGAGGTCAGCCAGCAGCCTGCAAAAATGTTAGAAAATAAGAGTCAAGCAGGACTTCTGATGCCCCCAGATCATGTTATTGTTATGATCAGCCATCCACAGCAAGTGTCTTATTTGAATTATATCCGATGATAGCGATGGATCTACGTTGCTGTTTGCCTCTTGTAACCCACAGAGTGAGAATGCAAAATCCAGGGTTAGGAGTGCAGTCAGTGGCAGTGTGACTAGGTGTTTCTCTGTAGGATACTAAGAAAAATACAGCCCAGGAAACTGTTAGTGCTTTCATTTTGTTTCACTATAGGTCTGCCTGGATGATCAAAACAGATGGGAAGGAGCCATGGTGGGGCAATGATCCTCTTCTGTTGCCTCCTGGAGATTCAAGCATTATATATGGAGAGCTATCATCTCTACCCCTCCTCCCGGTTTACTCTCATGGTGAGGTCAGGTAGAGTTTAGCAGGGATGTTCATGTGAATATCGTCTGTGTTTGTGAATAGGCTCGTATTTCAGTTGCAAGCAACATGATAACTTTAAAGTTCAGTTGCTGGTTAATAACTGTCTTTTTTATTAAGTTGATACTGAACTTGATGTCTTTTTGCAGCACTAACAGAGATTACTGGTGCTACCTTTTAGCTTTTGATCATTTATGCAAGCCTAGATCTTTAGCTTTACGTTGCAAAAGGGGTATTTTTTTCAACATTTTTTTGGTGAGAGTATTAAAGTTGACATTATTATGATCACAAGTGTAAACAGGTATATAAGGAAGTGGCGATACATTGTTAAGACTGCTGTTATTCATGATGCTTAGCCAAATGAAGGTGCAATTAATACTGCCATGTAGAACTGGAATAACATCAGCTCAGGAACAGCAAGTTTAGATAGTTTGACTGTAGTGAATTTTCATGAATGGAATAGTTAATCATTTTAGTGGATCTTGGGGGTCAATTCAGGCTGTTTTACTTGATCCACTTCTTATCATTATCCTTACAAAGTCTTCTGAGATAACACAGCACTGATAGTTGCTAACAGACTTTATATCTACCGCGTTATTAGCATTTTATCTTGATACACTGATAAAATAAGCTTCAGGAATACTTAAAAGATTGCAATGGCTTCCAGCTGCCAAATGCTAGATTTAATTATTTTTAGGACCAACATGAGGGTTTAGACACACCACTTGTGGTGCAGCACACATGTATTATCCAAACTGAAATTAGCAATTCAACTGAAGTCCATGTAGAGTCGAAAAATGTGAATATTTGGAGATGATTTGGCTCACTTTATTTTGTAGAAAAGAAAACAGATTCAGGGAAAGGGCATGCATTGCC
Organism: Homo sapiens; assembly: GCF_000001405.40. Classification (NCBI taxonomy): domain Eukaryota; kingdom Metazoa; phylum Chordata; class Mammalia; order Primates; family Hominidae; genus Homo; species Homo sapiens. The sequence goes on from NC_000021.9 coordinate 9,641,227, forward strand.
TAAGGTGATTCAGCAGGTTTGGAGCAGAAACGCAATACAATCTCTGTTCTTTTGCTGCTCAGATCCAGAATTTTTTCACAATACTGAACTACTTATGTTTCTGATTCCTTATTTTTTCTGTTTTATATTTTGCCAATATTGTCTTACCAAGATCCTATTCTTTACCCCAAATATTTAAATTCATTACCACTATTGTCTCTTTATAAGTAAAAGTACTAGTTGTTATTATAAATGATTATTCGATCACTTTTCATTTTTTGGGGGGTCCAGTACAAAGTTAGTAACAAATAAACATTATAGGCCTTGGCAATCCAAGGGGAGCTCAAGTCCTCCAGGGCACGTCAGGAAAAGCCTAAATGACAGCTGAGCTTCGAGTGGACAGAATACAGCTCTCATACGGACTGTTGAGTATTTGATATTCTTCAACAGTTTCATTCATCTTCAGTTTTTTCGTCTTTGAAGTGATGGATTTAGTCCTTGCTATACTCGACTTTCAAGTTTCTTTTGAAATAATTATAGATTCACAGGAAGTTGCAAAAGGTGCAGGGATGTCTTAGGTACTCTTCACTAATTCTCCCAGCGGTGACATCTCGCATAGCCATAGAGCATATCAAAACCTGGAAACTGACATAGGTGCAATTCAGAAAGCTTGCTCAGATCACAACCATTTTGTACACATTTGTTTTTGTATGTATTTGTGTGTGTGTGTGTGTGCATGTGTTCTGTGCATTTTTATCTCGTGTAGATCTCTGTAACTACAACCTCGACCGTCAAGATACAGAACTGTAGCCTCACCACCAGGCTCCAACTTGCAATCTTTGTGGACACTCTGACACATTTTCCTCCACCCGTTCCCCTTGGCAACCCCATAGTCTGTTCTCCATCTTTACAATTTTATTTCTATAATTTATATAAATGTAATTGTACAAAATCGTATTTTTGAAGGGAAGAAACAAGTCACAGATATTTTTGTTCTCACTGCAAAATAATCTTTAACACTCATTTATTTTATGTTCTATTTGTCTCAAAAAATGTGCCTTGTTCTTTCCCATATTTTCTGATATCAGGATAGGAAATCAATAGCAAACAAAACATAATTCCATTCATTTTTTTTCCACAGCTTGGTTTTCACTGCTGTTTCCTAACGCTTATTGTTCCATTTACTCTTTCTCTCTGTTTTCCATCACATAAAAGTAACTTTGTGTTCTTTATCTCTTCTAAGAAAACTTGGTAATGAGTCTTTAATGTGAAGCCCGGACCACCCTTGTTTTGATTTTGTGTTATGGGTGTTCTTTTGTGTGATCGCTTTCATGGAGAGTCCTTGTGAAGCTGGGCTTTTCCAATGGTTTGTCAAAATGGAAATAGATATTTAACAAACCAAACACAAAATGACCTTGCTCCAGGAATGCATCATTTCTGAGAAAACACTACCTCTTCCAACTAGAGACTGTGAATATTACTCATATTATCCTTTACTCCCTTTTATTAAAACTGTATTTTTTTTACACATTTGTATAACTCGGGTAATGAAATGTGAAACTAAGTGATTGCCTACCAATTACAATTGATATTAATGATGCTAGTGGGAGGCCACCTCTACAGTGGCTGTGCCATGTCTAGGGACTTGCTAGCTTTGCTAAGTTACATAGGATTGCCTACGTACTAAATGCAAACTTACTCATGCACATAGGAAACCATTTGTATTAATATGATTAAGAAGCCCTGCCTAACCCTGATGAAAAATTACTTGAAAATAACAGAAGAGAGTCCTTATTTTAAAGTACATTAACTATTGGGAGTAATTACTATCAGTCCAAACATAACTGGATCTAATGAGACTGAACAGAAACAAATTAGACATAATTGGAAGCTAAGCAAAAGTCAATTAAACTCCTATAATTTTACCTTTATAAAAATTATTGAATTAAATGACCTGGATCAATTAGCAGAGGAAATAAAGCCATGAAGAATATTTCCGGGAAACTATTACCTTTTTTGAGGGAAAAATATTGTTTCACTTAATGATTAGAATTTAGTAAAATGTAGCTTAATGAATTTTGCTGCCTTAGCAGTTTAATAACTTCAAATGAAGTAATTATGCAAATTTTTTGATAGCTTGACCTACAAAGTAATGCAGGAGTTGTTTTAGGGAATCCAGGAGTAGAATTTATTTGATAGAATAAAATAACATATTTATAAAAATCAGCAAATTCAGATGGTTTGGAATAAAGATATGATTGCTTTTACTCAATATTCACTTTAGGGCTGGGTTAGCTGTGTGGGGATTGCAGTTGACCTGTTGTAGAAATTGTGTGCTTGGAAATATATCACCACATTGCTCCATGTAGACTCCCTCTGTGATTCAAGTCTTGTTCCTACAGCACTGCTGTCAACCTTCAACCACCGTCACCCTATAGACCCCAAGTCAGTTTGTATTCAGTAATGCAAGTGGTGTTCTGTGCAACTGGTCACCCAAGAACTTGGTGCTAAGAAACTGAGAAAGTGATGACCAAGACAATCTCATCAAAACACAGCCAGGGCCAGTCACAGTATCGTAATTTCTGCTTTCTGGATGTTCAAGGAAATGTAGATCATGACTCCTTCTGTGATGCCTCATTATCTTCAAAAGGAGCTATAAGCGTACACTCATTTCCAAATGTGATGGAATAAGATTGCAGTTTCAATTAGGTCCTAAAGTATAATTAATTATATAATAGTTATAAAAATATTAATTCTGTAAGGACAGTCACAAAGGAAAGAACAGTAGCAAATAGGTCTCAGGAAATATATCAAATGAGATGTTAAGGTGTGATGCAGCTTTGTACATACTATGCTAAATACATTATGTCTGTAATTAAACCAGCTGCATACACAATGTAGGTGTGGCAAATTCTTTGCTGAAACATGTATGCCAGTTTCCTCATTTTTTAAAATGACAAGTGCATGCTTAATCAGGTTAGAGTGGATAGATTATGATATTATCAATGCACTGGACAAATCCATTAATGATACAGTGAGATTTTGTGCAGAAAAATGGAATAGAGAGGTGTGAATCCAAACTTTGAAGAATAAAGAACATACATTTGTAATTAAGAAATATCTCTCACTTTCATCCCTTATGTGCCACACATAGCACAATCCAGCCCCACCCAGCCATGACTCTTACATATATCACTCCTGACAAAGCCGGCCTGGCAATTCAGACCTGGAGCCCAGGGAAAAGAGAGGAATCCCATGATTTCTGGCAAACACTGCTGCTTCTTTTGTAGTGGTGTGAGATGAATGCCTCTACATGCACACAAGTGCCATGTTGAGGGGGATGAATCTTTCAAGATTTGTTTAAAGTCAAATAATGTGAAGGTCCATGACTGACCTCCAGGCCTCTCAGAGCTTCAGTTAACTCCTTTGTGTTAGGGGATGTTAGAAGAACGTTTACAAGTCAGAGCAGGTGATGCTCAGGAGCAAGAGTGAATGAGGAGGAGGAACCCAAACAGGTCCAGCACAGAACATCAGCATCTGAGCATCAAGTCTACCCCTGAGAAAAAGTGGTCCAAAGGTTTGTGTGGACCCCATTCTCCAGGCCTTACAAACCCTGTGATTTCTGCCTCATTCTGTCCCGTCCTGTCACTTTGAGTCTGAATTGGAAGAGAGAAAAACAGTAACTAGATCAGTAAAGTAAGGAGGAGTGAAGAGCAGGAAGGTGGAGGTCGTGATGGTGGAAGATGGAAACCTCCTCGCGTGAAATAGAACAGTTTGGATGTCAGCTGTCACTGCTCTAGATCTCCTAAAACCCACTCCATTTTTATTAAAAATATACATTGCATTTTTCCAGTGTACACGATATCATGTTAAGAGTTCATAAAGTTTTGAGGATGTGAGTAATCAGAAAGGAGGTTTAAAGAACCGATTATTTTGGTGGTCTGGCTCCTTTACCCCAGTAGGAAAAGATGCCATTTTGCTTATGCCCTGTGCTGAATTTCAGAATGCCTGTCAACCCAACACGCTTCAGCATGAACTTTAACTCAAAAAATCAAAAAGTACCAGGATCAATTTACAATCCTAGCTATATGATATTTTAGAAATTACAAAGCCTGTAAATGAGCTATTTTGTCAACTTCATAGATGAGAAATCTAAGAGTGGGTTAGTCAGTTCTCTTAGATTTCTCATATCCATAAAGTGGATAGAACATCTAATTTAGAGGCTTGTTGAAGGATAGACAGAAATGGCATTTACAAAGTATCTAGTGAAACTACTGGTAGGGATTATATGCTCAGTAAATGATGAGCACTATAATCACAAATAATTTGATCTTTGAAAGTGTAAAATGTATTTGTCTGTCCGCTTGGTTTTTCTCGGAGGCATAGTTTCCCTCTGTCACTCAGGCTGGAGTGCAGTGCTGTGCTCACTGCAGCCTCTGCCTCTCAGGTTCAAGTGATTCTCCTGCCTCAGCTGGGATTACAGGAGCCCGCCACCATGGCCCAACTAATTTTTGAGTTTTTACTAGAGATGGGGTTTCACCATGTTACCCAGGATGGCCTTGAACCTTGGCCTCAAGTGATCCATCCACCTTGGCCTCCGAAAGTGCTGGGATTACAGGCATGAGCCACTGTGCCCGGCCACATTTATTTTAATTCAGAGAACAATTTTTCAGTAAGGTTGTACAAATGATTGTCCTACATTCCTGCATGTTTGAAACTCTTTTTCTCTTTTTGTCTCCATATGTGAATGACAGTTTGGCTAGGTATAGAATGCTTGGTTTACACTTTTTATTGTTCATAAATCTATAGTCTTATCTTTGTTCCCATCCTCTATACCAGCTTGAGTAGGATTAGAGTGTGGGATTCACCTATAAAACTCTATACCCATTGAACAAGTCCTCTTTTCCCCCTCCGCTAGTCCCTGGCATCTGCCATTTTACGTCTCTGTTTCTAAGAGTTTGACTACTTTAAAAACCTCATATAAGAAGGATCATGCAGCACTGTGTTTGTATTTTTGTGACTGGTTTATTTCACTTAGTATAGTATCCCCAAGGTTTATCTATGTTATGACATATGAAAGGATTTCCTTTTTTTTTAAGGCTGAATAATAATTTATTGTGTATATACCACTTTTTAAAATCCATTCATCTCTTGACAGATATTTAGGTTGCTTTTACCTCTTGGCTATTATGAATAATGCTGCAATGAACATGAGATGAACAAGCTCCTTTTTTATCTCTTTACTTTTGTTAGAAGCTTTTAATTCCTGATTAATGAGTTCTGAACGTATGCAGAGGTCTCTACCTGGCAGTGACCTAAAGCCTTGTCTTCTGCCACCCCACTCAGCCTTCAGATTCACGTCTCTAGATTCTTGAGGTTGGGAAATGTTTCTCTAGCAGCCATGGTTTTGCATTCATTGGCCATTCAGGTTTTCTGCTTTGCCATCTTCCCCCGGGGGTTTCCTTATCCTCCTGGAAGCACAACTAGGCATTTAAGTCCATGTTGACTGTATTTTACCTGCTATTTCTATGTGTTTTGCAATAAGGGCTTTTCAAGATACCCATAACTTGTGGCTAAAAATGAGGTTTGTTCCAATGTGCCTTAGAAATATCCAGTTTCATACTTACCTGGCAGGGCAGATACCATGATCTTAAAGGCAGTTTTCCCAGGGCAAGGCTTATCCATTCCACTCTGGATCCATCATAGGGATATGCTGATCCCTGGAATTGCCCCAAATGTGGGAAGCTCTACTGCAAAATTTTTGGTAGTGAGCGATGGCATTATGCATTCATGTATGAATTCAACTGAGTATCCAGTTTCATAGAAATAATAATAACATCTTCTATAAAATGTATTCTTGTGTATTAACACATGGGGCTCTCTAGTACTCCTGCTGAGATATATGGGAATCTACCCTAGTTTTGCCATTTTCTCCTAACATCAGTCTACTTCTTTTAATATTCATTGCTTCTCCCCATTTCTGTAGTTCAGTGCATGTTCCTTTCCTCTGCAGGAACTATTTCTCTTTCCTCACCCAACTCATAAATCCCTGCCTCCCACCCTAAGGGTAGGCACATGACCCAACCTGGGAGATCAAAATGTCACACCCCCAATACAGGATTGGTTTGTGAGTAGGCAGATGATTCTGTCCATGCACAGAACTAAGTAGAAGAGAGTTTTTATACCTCAGCTTAGCTTGATGCTAGCAGAGAGCTACTGGAGTTCTATTTCCTCCTCTAGGGAAGAAAAGGATTTTGGTTTGGAGATAAAGCCAAGATACCAAGAAAGTGGGAATGAAAGACTTAGAGACAGGGAGTCCTGGCCCCTTTTCAGATGCTCAGATGCTGGCACTAGCTTGAGGCCCAGTTCTGCTTCTGCTCTTCCCAACAGCCCCTTTTCAGATGTTGGCACTAGCTGGAGGCCCAGCTCTGCTTCTGCTCTTCTCAACATTTGTTAAGGGGAGCTCCCAATTTCTTTTCTAAGATAGCTGGTTTGACTTGGATATCCATCTCTTCTAATCAAGGGTCCTGATTCCTTGTCATTGTCATCAAAAAAAATTTGTAAATATTTCACTTCTTGCTGACATGCTTTTGGTGTTGAACAAAGTGATTTGCACAGATACAATCTCTGCATCTTAATAGCTTACATTCTAAGAGCTGTACACCTGGCACTCTTTCTCTGGAACTATAACTGCTACATTCAAGAATCTTTATTAATAATACTTTTCAGATATATAGTTAAAAAATAATTTTAATAGTTGAAAGGCATCCATCTTTCCAAGAGGTTTAGACATACTGCAATTGAGTGCTAAGTGACTTTTAGTTTGTATTTTTGTATTTTTTAATATTTGTATTTCCATAGGTTATTGGGGAACAAGTGGTACTCAAGATGGATGAAGGATTTAAATCCAAGACAAGAAACTATAAAAATTCTAAAAGACAACATTGGGAAAACTCTTCTAGACATTGGCTTAGGCAAGGATTTCATGAACAAGAACCCATAAGCAAATGCAATAAGAACAAAAATAAATAGCTGGGACCTAATCAAACTAAAGAGCTTTTGCACAGCAAAAGAAACAGTCAGCAGAGTAAACAGACAACACACAGAGTGGGAGAAAATCTTCACAATCTATACATCTGACACAGGACTGATATCCAGAATCTACAATGGACTCAAACAAATTAGCAAGAAACAAACAAATAATCCCATCCAAAAGTGGGCTAAGGACATGAATAGACTTTTAGGTATTTGTGTGTGCAGACCTCTTGGTGTCAAGGCTAAACTGTTCCTTTCTCTGACACATAGGAAATTGATGCACAATACCTTGCAGTGTATAATTCCAGGCCCCTAGGCTTTGGAGACTGGGTTATCTTTTCACTCAACTGACAGTTGATACATTGTTTGCACTGAAAAATCTGGCTTTGTTGAACCACACCAGTTTATGTTTTTAATTCCAAATGTTACCTTGTTATGAACTATTTTTTTGTCCTTTCCTCTAGAGAAATGCTAATGCTGCTTGCTTACATGGAAAGTAAAGTTAAGGAGTTGGTGTTGACATTTTGGCTTGCTGTCACAGGCAAAAAAGAGTAGTGCTGTTTTTGTGTGTTTAATTTTCTTTCACTTTCCCCACTCTGTGTATTGGAGGATGCCTTTAGCAATAAGTAGTCCTTATCCAGGTCACTCACTCATTAACCACCAACCACTGACAGTAATGTCTTTACTAGATATTTTGCTTCTTTTGATTAATTTGTCTCTATTTCCTTTGTTCTAAAGCCTATAGTGAGTAATCATATTTGGAATAATAGTAGAGCTCCCTGCTGTGTTTTCATTTGCTTAAATCAAGACTTAGCTGATGTATTGAGGAACCAAGACTGAGATGTGGGGCTAGGAGGGCCTAGGGTCTGTCAGGCACTCTTCAGTGACTTGAGGTGCTGAATGACTCACACTGTACTGGGAGATGACCACCTGTGTGCATCCAACACTGTCACAGATGTGCCATTGAGCCACCAGGAGCAGCCACAGACCATCAGTGGTTGTGCTTTGGAATACGCAATTTTGTGTTTCTGGTGAGCTGTAATCTTTTCTTTTCCCGTATAATTATTTTTCATTGAATTATGCTATTAAAACTCATCTTTGGGTTTCTTGTAACGTCATTGCCGAGAACATTATTTTTGCATTTCACAGTGATTTCTTGAGGAGGAAGTAAGAAGTAATTGTTTTCTGGACTCACTGTCTGAAAAACTTGCACTTTACTGAAGCGATTGTTTTATTTACACTAAGTAACAATATGAGTTTTGTTAGCCTTTTGGATGGACTACAAAGCATAAAACCAACTTTGTTCCTCATCTCTGGCAAAGATGGAGGGTTGTTGGCTTGCATTGTGTGATGAGTCTTATACCTGGCTCTGTCTGCTCTTGCCTTTTGCCTTACATTTCAAAGACCTCACTTTTTTTTTTCTTTTTTTAAAAAATATTTTATCACGTGATTTTATATACATTTTAATAAAATTTCTTTTTTGTAAAAAAAGCAAAGCATAAATAAAATAGGGTAGCCATTTCTTCTAAGGTTATGTTGAATCTAACCCAAACTCTTATCAGAGAAAACTCTTCTTTAGATGTAGCCTAAAGCAGGAAGCAACAAACCTGTATACAGCCAAAGTATCATCTCAAGGGCCTGCATTCAAGTCTCACACATGTGGCTTGAAAGTGATCTCTTTCGCCCTTATTTCAAGGCCTAATCTTAGGTTACATACTGCTTAAAGAAGCTTCAGTATGCAATTTCAAAGCCTGTAGTAGATGTAAAATGAGAAAATTAGAAATAAGGAGAAAAGCTGCTACATGAGGACACTGACAGCAAGGAAAGGGAGAGAAAAACTCACAAAGTAAGTGGAAAAATAGACCAATGCAAATAACCCCACATAGTTTAACAGACCTCATCATATCTATTGTGTACATGTTTGTATGACATAGATTATATCTATTATATGTAACCCAGTGTTCATAGTGTTGACTTAGAAATTATCAACCAAATTCAAAGCTTTTAGGCTTTGAAAATTGTTTGAAAAGATTTTCACCCAAAATATTTAAATTATTAAAAAAAATTATTGTTGATTAAAGTTGTAATCCTCAATTAATTAGAAGTTTTGGCTATCCAGAGACCTTATATTCCAAAGACTTTAGAGAGCTGTTTGTTAGATGACATAAATTATTACCATTATCCTACATTTAAACTTCTAATTTACGTAAATAGTGAGCAAAATTGAGAGCCACACAAATATTCAATCTCTGAAGCTCTTATGGCAGCATTGATCAAATAGGTTAGAGAGCACATGGATACAGCTTTATTGCCTTCTAGTTTTACTGCAAACGTGCTATTTAATAGTATGCAAATGATTGGCTAGAGGTACAGACCGCCAGGGCCTTCATAGCAAACAGGTTTTGTGTTTACCCTAGCATACAAAAATGCTTCATCTACGATGTATGCTGTAACTGTGTGTATTGTCTACCCTAGCATGCAAAAATGCTTCATCTAAAATGTATGCTATAACTATGTGTATTATATTATCTATAATTATATTTCTCCTTGGTTTAATATTAGATATTTTCAGGTACAAGAAATGTATGCACATTATAGATTCAATGCATGCAGGTTATATGTGTAAATATTTATTGATAAGAGGCATTAAACCCCTGCCTTCTGTGCTGGATAAACTCCTGAACTTAGCCTCCAAAACACCACAGTAGCCTCCCTGGTAAGCACAGGGCTCTTTCTCTACCCTTTTGTGTCTCCCACGCTCCCACTTGTCTACAAGAGCTGAGTGTAGATCAAGAGCAATAAAGTTCATTTCCCCAAAATAAGGCGTAGCGTTCAGGTTTTGTGATACCTGATTGGTTTACATTGTTTACAGGTGGGGCCTCGAAGGGGTAAAAATCAGAAGTTTCTTATTCTGAGCGCAAGGGCAAGATCATTGAGCAGACATTGACCTCCCTTCAGACATTTCTTGGGAGAAACAGAATGAGAATTTCAGGGGCCAGTGCCTGCACCCTACTAGCTGTGGCAGCCTGGTGCTCATCTACTTCTCCAGCTTGGGAAGGCCTAGGTTAACCCCAGTCTTTGGAGGCATTGTTATTCCTCTTCTCTCCCTGCTTCCCCGTGTTTGTGTTCTGGGCCCGGTGTAACACTGAGGTTCAGAATTGCTTTCAAGAGAGGAGCCCATTTCTGTGTCTATGCAAGGCTGGACAATTTCTCCAAGTGGTTCAGCCTGTGGGGGTTAAGGGGGCAAAAGCATCTCAGCTAGTAATAAACACTGCTTTGCCTCTTGCTTTTTTATTTTTATTTTTGCAAAACTTCTCTGTAGGTGTGTATTTCTCTAGAGGATTTCAAAAATTCTCTGTAGGTGCGTATTTGTGTAGAGGAAGGAGTGGTGACTGGGCCAGGGTGAATGGATTATTTGATCTATATTATCTTGAATTTTATATCTTTTATTTTAAAATTTGGGTATATTTTGAAGTAGGAAATCAATGCACATGGCTAAATATCTAAAAAATGTAAAAGTATACATTGAAAAGTCTTCCTCCTAATCTCGTAATTGTCTCCATTTCAGTCCCCATGGCCACATCATGAGGCTACTGATGTCATTAGTTTCTTTTGCGTTCTTCTAGGGTTTCTGTTGGCATATGCAAGCAAAAATAAATGTATACCTTTATGTTTTCTCTTTTTACAGCAAGGGCAGTTTATTAAACACACTGTTTTAAACCTTATTTTTTCTCTAAATAATATTTCATATAAGTCAATATGTAGACTTTATGTATTTTTAAAATGAAGACATAGCATTCCATTGAACTTAGACAAAAATTTACTTAACTAGTCCAAGATTGAAGAATAAAATTATTTTGAATCTTTTGTTAATAGTTAATAGCTTTGATGAGTACACTTATGCATACATTATTTTACACATGTTCAAGTATGTTGTATAAACCCCAAAGTGGGAATGCTCTGTCAAATATTACAGGTATTTGCAACTTTGATAGATACTAATTGCCCTCGGTAGAGGTAGTAAAAGCTTACACTCCACAGCCTTACTGATGATATATATTATAAAAATTTTAGTTCTTGCCAATCTAAAGGTGAAAAATGTTATTTCATGGTAATTTAAATGCTTTTCTCGTTTTATAACTGAGGTTGACATCTATCAAAAAATTATTTGAATTTTTCTGAGAACTATTTATCTTTGAATCCTTTTCTGTTGTTTATCTTTTCCTTCTTCATTTCTAAAACTTCCTATACAGAGAGATTCACTCGTTATCTGTGATATGATTACAAATGTCTGCCCTCCAATTTGTTATATGTCTTTAGATCCAAATACCTTATTTTTTGCCATGTAGAAATTTTTAATTTGTATGTGATAAAATGTTAATACTTTATGGATTCTGGATTTTCAGAAATAAAAAGGTCATCCTCACTTCCAGGTTTTAAAGAAATTCTTTAATGTTATTTTATGTTTTTGTATAGTTTTATTTTTATTCACATTAAAATTTTTGTCGTATTTGGAATTTATTTTGGTATGTGATGTGGGAAATGAATCTAACTTTATTTTTTCATATATCTTCCTAGTTGTACAAACATCAACATTGTTGAAACATCTCATCTGTCCCCTTGATGTGAGATGGCATCCTAATTTCCTTTACTTAGAGGGGTGGTGTCTGGGGATGAGATCACCTGGGGTGTAATCATACGTCTTTGACTGGGAGTGGGGCTGAAAAGGAGTTCCCATGTTCCTGGTCATGTGATATGTGGTCATGTGATGTGGAGAAGATCTCCTGTGACATGGAGCTGGAGGAGGGAATAGGAACTAGCTCTGGCTCAGAGGACACAGACTTCCACTGTTTTATCAACATTTAGGAGATTTTCTTGAATAAATGCTTATTAATTTGCATCTGCCCTTAGGTCAATTTCCAGAGACTTTAAATGTGTTTTATAATTTTTACCAGTTAAACGGTTGTTTCACTGCAGGGAAAAGAGTATCCCAAGCTCCTCTCCTCTGGAAATCTGATCAAATTCTTTTTTAAGTCCTTCAGTAATGGTTAATTGTATATGTGTATATCATATTTACATTTATATTTATTGATATAACAGTTATGCTTGGTGTTTCATGCATATATGATAGCATCTTATGTGTTCATAAATTTTAAAAGTTGTTTTCTATGTGATCTGATTTATTTGCTTGAGAAAAACTGTTTTCTGGTAGCTTCATTTGGGGACTTGCTCAGTGGTAATTTTTTAAATGACAGCTTTATGCAGTATTTTTATGATCTCTTCTTTTACCCAGGAGTGATTACTTCTCTATTTTCCGCTGTGTTAAAACTAGGTGGTTTCTCTTTCTACTCCCTTCCAGGCCTCTCACTACTAGAATTCTGTCAATGAGAGTATCCGTGGCATGTTATTTAATGTTTGTTATTTTGCTATTACATACACTTCTATTTCTAACATTTGATTTACTGCTTTGAATGATCCACTTTGAGTCCTGGCTGTTATAGCTGAGTTGACCAAGTCCTCCTCCTCAGACCCCCACCTGTGTGTGTGCACATCGTGTCTCTCAGCTCTGGAGCTGCAGATGATGTCAGGGTCTCAGCAAACGAGACCCCTCAAAGTTGAAAACTGTACAAACATCATATGCAGCAGCCTTGATCTACCCTATGTCTTCCATTCTTTCCTCCTTCTTCTTCTACTTTTTGTTAGTTTCGATATTGGTTTATTTCCAGGGCATGTGGCATTTATATTCATTTTATTACCCTGGTTCTCATGTTTATTTTAGTTTTAGTCAATGCAATTCACAATTATAATATTTCACCATAGTTTTTCTTTAGTTATTTCTTTGTTGGCTAAAGTTTGTTCTCTGGGACTTTTCCCAAGTAGGAAAATATTCCCTGACTTTGTGTGTATTTAAAACTGCCTGAAGTATACTTTGAAATGTAGCCTGACTAGGTATAAAACCTTTGGTTTTCATTCCACTTTTTGAATATCTTGTAGGTAATGGGCCACTGTATGTTGGCATTAAATTTTGCTAGGAAAAAATATGAGACTAGCCTGTTACATTCTCTTTTTTAAGAGTGGCTTGATTAAAGGATCTTTTCCTTAATGTTTCTTTAAAATTTTCTAGGGTGTTCTTAGTGTTTCCTTTTCTGTGGAACCTAATTTTATTCTGGAAAAGTTTTGTTGAATCAGTTCTTAAAGGGATTCATGCTCTTTCAATGCTGTCTTTTTTTTTCTTTCCATACCTTCCTTTTTTGATATATTTTAGATTGTCTCTGCTTATCTTCTATAGCCACTGTTTTCCTTCTAATAATTTTTAGATTTTCCCTTTAATTTTACTGTATTTACTTTTACATTTTTATTTATATTTTCTATGTTCCTTACTGAGTTTTCTAAAGTCTGTTTTAATTTCTCTACTTCTTCTAGGTTTACCTTCATTTCTATGAAGATTTTGGTTTTTCTTCATGTTTGCTGGTTTTTGTCAGCACATTTTTTTATTCTAACATTTCACCACTTCTTTCTCTGAGTTCTTATATTTCTGCTTCATGGTCTTCCACTTTTGATCTGACAGCTCCATTAAGTTTTCATTTCATGGCAAAATATTTGGTTAACATTTTCATCTTGCTTTTGGGATTGATTTTTGTTGTGTGATCTTTCTCCATTGATAAGTTTGCATTTTTCCCCATAGTTTTTTCTTATAGTGTCTTTACATAAATCAATAATTATTAATTACTGAATTAATTGAAATATTTTGAACCAATAATTTGTGAAAAGTTTCTATGAAGAAGAAAGGAGGAGGCAAAGTTGTCTTGCAAACTTAGCAACCCAACAATCTTCTCCTTCACCACCATAGAATTAGATGGCTTCTGCAGATACAGCTAAGTCTTCTCCTTCACCACTGCAGAATTAGGAGGCTTCTGCAGATATGGCTAAATCTTCTCCTTCACCACCGTAGAATTAGGAGGCTTCTGCAGATACGGCTAAGTCTTCTCCTTCACCACCGTAGAAGTGGATGGATTCTGCAAATATGGCTAAATCTTCTCCTTCACCACCATAGAATTAGATGGCTTCTGCAGATACGGCTAAGTCTTCTCTTTCACCACCATAGAATTAGGTGGCTTCTGCAGATATGGCTAAGTCTTCTCCTTCACCACCATAGAATTGGATGGATTGTGCAAATATGGCTAAGTCTTCTCCTTCATCACCATAGAATTAGGTGGCTTCTGCAGATACGGCTAAGTCTTCTCCTTCACCTTCATAGGATTAGGTGGCTTCTGCAGATATGGCTAAGTCTTCTCCTTCACCACCATAGGATTAGATGGATTCTGCAGATACGGCTAAGTCTTCTCCTTCACCACCATAGAATTAGGTGGCTTCTGCAGATATGGCTAAGAGCTTAACAACCCAACAGTCTTCTCTTTCACCACCATAGGATTAAATGGCTTCTGCAGATATGGCTAAATCTTCTCCTTCACCACCATAGAATTAGGTGGCTTCTGCAGATATGGCTAAGTCTTCTCCTTCACCATCATAGGATTCAGTGGCTTCTGCAGATACAGCTAAGAGCTTAACAACCCAACAGTCTTCTCCTTCACTGCCATAGAATTCAGTGGCTTCTGCAGATACACCTAAGTCATCGGCTCTTTGTAGAGCATCACCTTCTCTGAGTGACACTGAGTCCAGAAAGGCTTCGATGACCTCGGTCCATAGAGGTTCTGAATCCATTATTACAAACAAAAAATACAACTTTTATATTTCAGAGTCCCTGGCCTTCAGCCCTTTCTGAAATCAGCCACCACTGTGCCTTTAAGCCATCACTGTGCTTTTCTTCCTTTGGTCTTCCATGGCTTGCTTGATTTCAGCTGTTTAGAGTCTCTATATGTACTTTTGTGTCTATGATCCATTTCTATTTACTCCTAGTTCGACTTAAAATGAAATTGTATTTTAAAATATATTCTTGCTGTTTTTAGTATTATTTTCAGGAAGAGTAGTGAGCAATGCTGTTTATTCAACTCTGGTCATACCATGTCCCCCTGATTGTATTCTCTTCATGCATCTCTAATAGAGCTCCTAGACTTTTCCAAGGCTTATATTGAAGTGACTTAATACATGTTTGTCAATGTTTCCTACATTTTCTACTCTTCATATGTCTCATATATGATGCTTCAGTAAGAGTCCCCAGTGTTTGGGGGACTCCTACTCTTTTGGAGTAGCCAAACTCTGAATGTATAATATTTCTTTTCCCCTGCTTCCATCAGTGGTAGTAGACACCCTGGAGGGTCTAATTGCAAGCATAACCACCCAACAGTTCTCTCCTTTAGTTTAGAGCCCTGTAGTCAGTGTTGGCCAGTAAGTTGTCATGGAGCACCCAGAGTGGACACTTCAACAGGGTCTGGTAGTCAGTGCTGGCCAGTAGGTTGTCATGGGGTACCCAGAGTGGACACTTTGATGTGGTCTGGGAGCAGAGCATTATGTCCACTCTTGAATGATAGCTGGGACACGTTGGACGGTGGAATCAACAAAATCACAGGCTTCATGGATGACCTGGGATTTTCCTGCATTCAGTCGGTAAAAAGTGTGAAGAGTATTAAGTCCCTCTGAGATTGAGAGGGAACGTAATTTTAAGAACAACTGGCATCAGATCGTTTATTCATTTTACTTGACAAGAATTTACAAACATCTTTAATATGTGCCACAACCATGGACTAATATAATATAGAATACAAATGCACAAAAGAGAACAGAAAAGTGGAAAATGTCAAGTAACACACAGAGAAAAAATATTACTGGCCGGGCGCAGTGGCTCATGCCTGTAATTGCAGCCCTTTGGGAGGCCGAGGTAGGTGGATCATCAGGTCAGGAGTTCGAGACCAGTCTGACCAACATGGTGAAACCCTGTCTCTACTAAAAATACAAAAAAATTAGCCGAGCATGGTGGCGGGCGCCTATAATCCCAGCTACTCAGGAGGCTGAGGCAGGAGAATCACTTGAACCTGGGAGGCAGAGGTTGCAGTGAGCCGACATTGCACCACTGTACTCCAGCCTGGGCAACAGAGAGAGACTCCATCTCAAAAAAAAAAAAAAAAAAAAAGTACTTGAGAGGATATGAAAAACTGTTCCCCAGAAGTGGCATAATTTGGAAGTCATAGTGTATGTTGGTGTCAAGGAAATAAGTGAGTTCTTTTTTTTAAAGAAAGGTGTTTTGTTTTGTTTTAAAGAGAACAAGGTTCATTAACAATATGCAAAACAGATGAAATGCAGTCAATAACACTATGAAAAATCACTTTCTATACAGAATGAGAAAACATCAATAACATTTTAGCCTTTATTTTACTGTTTAGTAGAGAATTATCAGTATAGTGTTTTCACTAGTTATCAGCATCTTAAGGGAAGTACTTATGTGTGTTGTACCTTTTGAAAACTGGAATCATAGATTGCTCTAAATTATTGTATTAAAAATTGAAGTAATGATAACTATTCAGCTGGAATGTCAGGAAAATGTTGAAAATGACCAAGAGTTTACCAGGGAAAGGCTGCAAGGTAGCACCTGGTCATACCTTTAAATGACAGACAAACACAGACACATACACACAAAAGCAACATTTAAGTAGAGGAAACTTGTTAGCGCTCCTGTGTTTAGAGGAAGTAAAATGAGTCAGATTAGTGCTTTCCATCGTGATTGCCTCATCTGTGCTTGGAGCCACTTCGGAGGATTCTGTTGGCTTTATCCTGGCACCGACTAGCACTGCACAGCGTAGAAGGCACAAGGACTGAAAAGGTCATGTCTTTCTGCTCAGAAAATTTGAATGGTTATAGAGTGCAGAGGGCCCATGCAAAATGCTCATTATCTGCTGTGTCTCTTGTTTTCAAAATTCTTTATCAGGTTACTGGCAATAAAATGCTGTTCCCTTTTGTTACCAGACAATGAGGCATTTATACCAGCAAGTCACCTGAGAACATAGCAGCCAACATTAATGAGTTGAAAGTACCACTGGGACAGTGAAGAATTGACAAGACTGCTGGCCTGCTGATCTTGTTTATCTTGCCTTTTTTTTTCTTTTTCAAGGTTTATTTGTGGAAAGTCTGTTTTCGTTGCTTATGTGCTCATCTGTGCTGCTTTAAAATGCCTTCGTGGTGGCAGAGAGTAATTAGCATATAGAGTCTGGAAACCAACTTTTAAATTTTATTAATGAGCTGAGTTTAGTTCCCCTTTGTCTTTTAACTGACTCCAGGAGCATTAATGAAAAGTATATAAATATGAATACAGGTGTAGTAATAAAAAAGAATTATCAGTCACCCTTAATTTAATTGGTGTCACCTTAGCCTTTAGAAGGGTAATAGGATAGTATTGCCACCTGCAATCATTCAAGACTATTTTACTCACTACAGTAATTAGCTCACTTTAAAAAATTAGGTGACCTTTCAAAAGTGAGTAAAATAGAATCTGGTGAGAACCGTTAAGACACGTTTGTGAATATAGCATTGGTAGAATATCATAGATATTTAGGGTTTCGAGCGACCTGTGGACATTTTGTGCAACTTCTGTTAATGAAAGAATCTCTTGAAACACTCTTTTCATGCATGGAGTTACTAGGCATCTAGCAACTGGAGGTTATATCAATGTGTCAGATACTCCACAGTCTCTCTTCTAATATTACGTGCAAAATACCCTGTAGACTAGGAAGCATGTTTGATCTTGGTTATAGGTGCAATTTATTCAACCAGCGTTCGTCTATGTGCATTGAAGTCCATTATGACTACTTTTGGCATGGAGACAAACACAAAACATGGCCTCTGAAAAGAGTGTATGCTGGGATTTGGGATAAGGCATATAAAGAATAACTTTACTAAAAAGCTGAATATTACATCATATGAGTTAAACACTCTTGCCAAGAATTATCAGTAACCATAACAGCTAATGAAAGTGGATGTCACTGCAAATCAAACTAGTGGGCATCTCTTGTTTATTAGCAAAATTTTCCACATTAAAGAAACCCTTAAAACGACATTTTTACTTGTAAGATACACAAGAGACATATTTGATTTAGGAGACATTCAGAGCAGTTTTCTGCCTTTGTTGCATATGTACATCAAAGTGCTTTAGTGATAGTTGCAATTTTGGTAGTTATCTGCCAAGTTAGAAATGAATCCAAACTAGTATATTTTGACCTTTCAATTGAATTGCCACAAAGCAAAATTCACTAGTATTCAGTGCCTCCCATCAAGCGGAAATCCAAAGCATGTTTTCCCATTAAGGAGACTCCTTCTCTTCTCACAGATAGCAAATTTCCAAATGAGGAGAGAGCTGGTTGAAGGACCATGATGATGAGCCAATGATAGGTGTTATTGACCTTTCCTGAAACAGCTTGACTTCTGAACATTTTTTGAACTTATACTTATACTTGAGATACAGTAGATTTGATATCACACATTATAATGGATGGTTTTCTGATAGGACCTGACCATTTACTAGCCTACGTCCTTCTAGTTTTCTACATAAACTCTCTACTGCAGCAACTAATGATAATTATTATTATAGTTGCTAACATTTGCTGATCTTATTGTTTTCTAGGCACTGTGCTGAGAACTTCATATCCATTTATTTCATTTTATCTTGAGAGGTGACAGCGTGCTGGCAGCCCTTGCAGCCCTGGCTCGCTCTCTGTGCCTCCTCAGCCTTGGCGCCCACTCTGGCCACGCTTGAGGAGCCCTTCTGCCCGCCACTGCACTGTGGGAGCCTCTTTCTGAGCTGGCCAAGGCCGGAGCCGGCTCCCTCAGCTTGCAGGGAGGTGTGGAGGGAGAGGTGCAGGCGGGAACTGGGGCTGTTCACGGTGCTTGAGGGCCAGCGCGAGTTCCAGGTGGGCGTGGGCTCCGCGGGCCCCGCACTCAGAGCCGCCAGCCTGCCCACAAGCCCCAGGCAGTCAGGGGCTTAGCACCTGGGCCACCAGCTGCTGTGCTCGACTTCTTGCTGGGCCTTAGCTGCCTCCGGCAGGGCAGGGCTTGGGACCTGCAGCCCACCATGCCTCAGCCTGCCTACCCCCCCACCCCCCCATGGGCTCCTGTGCCACCCGAGCCTCCCCGACAAGGGGTGCTCCCTGCTCCAGGGCTGTGCCTAGTCCCATCCACCGCCCAAGGGCTGAGGAGTGTGGTCGTATAGTGCGGAACTGGCAGGCAGCTCCACCTGCGGCCCTGGTGCAGGATCCACTGGGTGAAGCCAGCTGTGCTCCTGAGTCTGGTGGGAACTTGGAGAATCTTTATGTCTAGCTAAGTGATTGTAAATACACCAATCAGCACTCTGTATCTAGCTCAAGGTTTGTAAATACACGAATCAGCACCCTGCGTCTACCTCAGGGTTTGTGAATGCACCAATCAGCACTCTGTATCTAGTTAATCTGATGAGGACTTGGAGAACCTTTATGTCTAGCTAAGGGATTGTGAATGCAACAATTGGCACTCTGTATCTAGCTCAAGGTTTGTAAATGCACCAATCAGCACTCTGTGTCTAGCTCAGGGTTTGTAAATACACCAATCGACACTGTACCTAGCTAATCTAGTGGGGATGTGGAGAACTTTTGTGTCTAGCTCAGGGATTGTAAACGAACCAATCAGCACCCTGTCAAAACTGACCAATCAGCTCTTTGTGAAACAGACCAAACGGCTCTCTGTAAAATGGACCAATCAGCAGGATGTGGGTGGGGCCAGATAAGAGAATAAAAGCAGGCTACCTGAGCCAGCAGCTTCAATCCGCTGGGTTCCCCTTCCACACTGTGGAAGCTTTGTTCTTTTGCTCTTTGCAATAAAGCTTGCTACTGCTCACTCTTTGGGTCCACACTACCTTTATGAGCTGTAACACTCACCGTGAAGGTCTGCAGCTTCACTCCTGAAGCCAGCGATACCAGGAGCCCACCAGGAGGAACGAACAACTCTAGACACACTGCCCCAAGAGCTGTAACACTCACCGCGAAGGTCTGCAGCTTCATTCCTGAGCCAGCGAGACCGCAAACCCACCAGAAGGAAGAAACTCTGAACACATCCGAACATCAGAAGGAACAAACTCCAGACATGCCACCTTTAAGAACTGTAACACTCACCTTGAAGGTCTGTAGCTTCATTCTTGAAGTCAGTGAGACCAAGAGAACCCACCAATTCTGGACACAATCTTATACCACAGAACTGTAAGTTCTATTCTTCTTCCAATTTTACAAAACAGAAACAGACAAACAGAGGTAATTCTCTGAAAGATGTCTCTCTCAGTCCATTTCTGCTGCAATGTACCTTAGACTAGGTAATTTATAAAACAACAGACATGTATTGCTAGTAGTTTTGGAGGCCAGAGGTCGAAGCTCAAGGCAGCAGTAGACTCGGTGGCTGCTGAGGGCCCATTCATCATAGATGGAGTCTTCTGTATGTCCTCATATGGTAGCAGTAAACTCGGTGCCTGCTGAGGGCCCATTCATCATAGATGGAGTTTTCTCTATGTCCTCATATGGCAGAAGAAAGAAGCAAGCTCTCTCAGACCTTTTTATAAGGGTACTAAACCCATTCATGAAGGGTCCACCCTTATGACCTAGTCACCTCCTAGAGACCCCACCTCTTAATGTTATTGCATTGGGAATTAGGTTTCAATGTATGAATTTTGGAGGAATGCAAACATTCAGATCAGATCTGTTTGACCTCACAGCCAAAACTGGCAGTGGAATTTGCATGTTGCTCCTGGAACATATCTAGTAATTTTCCATCTCTATACATTTTCTATGCTGTTTCCTCTATACTGAATGATCCATACTATCCGTTTAACTTTGTATCTTTAAAGGCTTGTGTGTGTGCCCATCTATTTTGGTGAGGTTGTTACCAAAACGCCATGGGTTTGGTCTAGGTCCTGCTTGCTGCTCACTGCACAGAAAGCCAATCACTGAGATGGTGAGTGTTTCCGGGGAAGAAGCTTTCATCCGGTGCTGCAGCTGAGGAGATGGGAGCTCAGCCTCAAATCCATCGCCCTGACTGACTAAAAATGGGGTTTTATACAACAGGCAAGAAATGTAACAATGTGTAGGAAACACGAACTAGGGAGGAACAAGGAGTCATCTGGTGGCCTCATCTGGTGAGTTTCAGTTCTTTAATGCTTTTTTTTTTTTTTTTTTTGAGAGGCCTGAAGGTCCTTTCCTGAGGGAAGAACTCAGATGAAACAAATACAAGTTTCAAGCTTTAAGAGCGGAAGAGTCAATGTCTATGTTTATACGAAAGAACACGCTATAGGAGTATTGGGCCGGCTTCAGGGTCAGTAGGATCTATTCCAGAATTACAAACATCGTATATAAACCCCTAAGTCTAACCAGTGTTTTGAGTTTTTCACTTATCTTATGTGTAGCCACCATGCATGTAACATTAAGACATCAATTACATGTGTATGCTTTTGCCTCTTGTTAATTTTTGTTGCTGTTGTTTTTTCAATTTAATTCACAGGCTCCAGCACAAAATGTAAGATGGGATAGGAAAAGCTTTTTTCCTACCCAACAGAATGCTGAAAATGTAAATATTTTTTCTTTGGTTTACAGTAATAAGGAGTGTGATTCCTTTTTTTTTTCTACCTCTTCTACTTCTACGTTTTAAGAGCTCTGTAGCTTAGTGAGCTCCCAGGCTTATGAACACCCTGACACAGCTAGTCTTGAAATGTTGCCAGCATTGTAGGATTTGCATACTTAACATGCTACTTATACTGCCATAAAGTATGTAAGGTGGAAAGGATATTGTCTTTTAGTGTGGGTACATAGAGCATGGCACGAGTTGTTGCCAGCCTCACATCACATCTGTCTTCTGATTTTATACTTTATATCCAGGATCATACAGTCAAGTTTAGACATTTTAAAAAATCTTATTTCTATATTACTAAACTATTCATGGAGCCAGACTCTTCTAAGTTACTCTGGGAAAATGCCTTAGGCCTTCCAAGGACACAAAATTTTCATTCTTATAAAAAGCATTTGGCTAGGAATCAGAAGACCTACATTTTCATTCAAGAACTGGTACTAGTTTGTGTTGTGATTTTAGGCAGATCCATTATTGTCTCTAAGCCACAATGTCCTGAACTCCAAAACCACAGCATTGGCCTAGATGGTTTCTTAGGCCTCTCTTTGTGTCGGGAATTGGTGAGTTCTTGGTCTCACTGACTTCAAGAATGAAGCCATGGACCCTCGCAGTGAGCATTACAGTTCTTAAAGGCGGTGTGTCCAGAGTTTGCTCCTTCCTCTTGTCTGGAGTTGTTCATTCCTCCTGGTGGGTTCGTGGTCTGGCTGGCTCAGGAATGAAGCTGTAGACCTTCGCGGTGAGTGTTAGAGCTCACAAAGGCAGTGTGGACCCAAAGAGTGAGCAGAAACAAGATTTATTGCAAAGAGCAAAACAACAAAGCTTCCACAGTGCAGAAGGGGACCCTAGCAGGTTACCACTGCTGGCTCAGGCAGCCTGCTTTTATTCCCTTATCTGGCCCCACCTACACCTTGCTGATTGGTCCATTTTACAGAGAGCTGATTTGTCTGTTTTACAGAGAGCTGATTGGTCCGTTTTGACAGGGTGCTGATTGGTGCATTTACAATCCCTGAGCTAGACGCAAAAGTTCTCCAAGTCCCCACTAGGTTAGCTAGACACAAAGCACTGATTGGTGCATTTACAAACCTTGAGCTAGACACAGGTTGCTGATTGGTGCATCCACAATCCCTTAGGTAGACACAAAGATTCTCCAAGTCCCCACTAGACGCAGGAGCCCAGCTGGCTTCACCTAGTGGATCCCGCACCTGGCCTCAGGTGGATCTGCCTGCCAGTCCCGCGCCATGCGCCTGCACTCCTCAGCCCTTGGGTGGTTGATGGGACTGGGAGCTGTGGAGCAGGTTGCAGTGCTCCTCGGGGAGGCTCAGGCCTTGTAGGAGCCCATGGCAGGGGGGAAGCTCAGGCATGGGAGGCTGCAAGTGCCAAGCCTTGCCCCACAAGGAGGCAGCTGAGGCCTGGCAAGAATTTGAGCGCAGCGCCAGTGGGCCAGCACTGCTGGAGGACTCAGTGCACCCCCTGCAGCTGCTGGCCCAGGTGCCAAGCCCCTCACTCTCTGGGGCCAGCGGTGCTGGCCAGTCGCTCCGAGTGCGGGTGCAATGCCCACAGCAGACCCGGTTCCCACCCGTGCACAGCAGCCCCTGTTCCCTCTGACGCCTCTCCCTCCACACCTGTCCACAGCAGAGGGAGCTGGCTGTGGCCTCAGGCAGCCCAGAGAGGGGCCCCCACAGTGCAGCAGTAGGCTGAAGGGCTCCTCAAATGCGGCCAGAGTGGGCGCCGAGGCCAAGGAGGCACCAAGAGCCAGCCAGGGCTGCTAGGGCTGCCAGCACATTGTCACCTCTCATCTTTAATACAAATTTTGCTATATGCTCTAAGGCTACAATTTTGTCTTGTTACTCTGGTAATAATACACTTTCAGGCAGTAACTTGAAAGAAAATTCAATTTTCATAAAGTCTCCGGAAAACTGGAGAAAGAGAGAATTTTATTTCAGTATTGTTGTCCTGTGGATTGGAATATGTTCTAACTCACATCATAATTCTTGAAACATTATAAAATATAAAAGCTTAAACTAATATGTTTAATTGACTCCAAGAGCATTAATGAAAAGTATATAAATAGGAATACAGATGTAGTAATAAAAGAGAATTATCAGTCACCCTTAATTTAAGTGGTGTCTCCTTAGCTTTTAGAAGGGTAATAGGTAAAGACTGTTGTGCTCAGAACACCAGAAATCTATTCGAACTAGGTGAAAATTTGCTAGTGAAGGTATTTGTGAAAATAGAAATGCAGCTTATGTAAAACCTATTCACTTACATATGCCCACAAATACAGAAACATCTGAATGCTCAGTTTTAACCTATTCCTCAGTAGGTTAAAGTGCTCTGGGCTTACTTGTCTCTTCCTCTTGACTTGGAGAGAAGAGAAGCCTTTGCTTTTACTCGGCATGAAGGAACCTCAGGATAGTCACATCTCAACTCTTAGATGCCTGAGAGCTTTGTAATGCAAATCAGGCTGCTCCTTTTTTCTTACCAGCAACTTAATTTGGGACAGGATTGATTGACTAGAAAGTTTGCTAATCAGTTTGAAACAAAACTAGGCTGGGGGCCAATGGAAGTTTGCCAGAACCTCCCTTCCGAAGACAAGGTCGACAGCTGGTCTCACTTTGGAAATGCTTTTGCCCATTATCTTATCATTTGGTCCATTTTATATGGTCCACATCTCAAATTACAATGTTTATTTTGAAGGCACTCCAGAGAAAAGAAAGAAAAAAAGACACCACACATGACTTAGAGAACAGATTTTATAATACTTTGAAAATGAGGTACCTCGTTGTAAATTTAAAATCCGCCTCCTGATTGTTTTAGAGTTGATAAGTATATTGACGGTTGTGAATGACTGCTGAGCTGTGGCTTTTGGGTGTAGCGGATGTGACAACCTTTGTTGGTGAAGCAAAGAAAACAAGTTTGATTTGACCATGAGAACATATGAATTCCTGAACTGTTAAAAATAATAACTCTTGTTTGTGTCATTCTCCAAAGTTTTAAAATAAAATTAGATCATTGTGCCCAAACCAAAAAGTTCTGAAGTCATTGAAGTGACGGAATCATAGGATGCACTGCAGGGGCTGAAATTCCAAACCTTGTAGGGACAGGAAGGTAACGTGAATGTATGAATCGGACTAAATGTGGATAGCAGGGAAGAGTGGGTTCTATGGAAAACTAGAAAGAATATGCTTCTAAGGATGTTCAAATTTGGATTTAGAAAACAAATACCAAGCCTGCAAAACAAGAGACCTGGAATAAATTATCAGCTTTGAAAAAATCAGAGTTTGAAAAAATATATTAATTCTTATTTCAGAGACATCCATGTAATTTAGTGTCTTTCACAAGGCAGACAAAAAGAGCTTAGGAGAGAGAGACAAAGGAAAATAGAAACAAACAAAAGGTGTTAAGCTTCTAAAAAACAGGCACTGTGTTGGGCTTTGAACATATAGAATAGCATGAATTCTCACCATGACTACCTGCAGTAGCCAGTATTATTCCCACTTCATGGATGAAAGATTCAATCTTAGAGAGTTTACGTAACTTATAACAGCAGAAAAGCAAGATTTTAATTACAAATCCTATGTTCTCTTCTCTATACTAAATGTATGAACTCAAGCAAGTTATTTATCCTCTTTATTCTTCATGTTTTAATGGGCATAATAATGGTTTATTCACTAGAATATTTTAAGAATTAAAAAAGTTAATAATTGTAAAAATTCTCACAGAATTTTTTTTATGTTTGTTGAATATGAAAGTATGATAATTACTTTTGTTGAGCAACTATCAGCATAGCAGATGTTTAAACTGTTTCTGCAGAGGGATTTGGGCAAGACACCTTTTATTCTTATACCTGGGTTTTATTGTGAAGTTATATCCAGTTAAGCTTGCAAGAATTTGGAGTGCAGCCTGCAGTTGTATGATGGCTGAGGAATACAGGAACATTGTGGTTACTGTAAACATGAGAGTAATAACTGCAAACTAAGGAATAACAGTATATCAATCAGGATCCTCCAAAGAAACAGAAGTGTGTGTGTGTGTGTGTGTGTGTGTGTGTGTGTGTGTAGAGAGATTAATTGTAGGGAATTGGCTTCCACAATTATAGAGGCTGAGAAGTCCTGTGATCTCTAGTTGGCAAGCTGAAGCCTGGAGACCTTGCAGAGCTGATGGTATAGTTCCAGCCTGTCTGAAGGCCTGAGAACCTGGAGGGCTGATGGTGTGATTTACAGTTCAAAAGCCAGTGCGCTCAAGACCCAGAAGATCTAATGTTTCCATTTGAGTCAGAAGCCAGGAAAAGACTGGTGATGTTCCAGCTCAAGCAGCCGGGCAGAAGGAGTTCCCTTGTTCCACAAGAGGGCCAGACATTTTGTTTTATTCAGGCCTTCAGTTGGTTGGATAAGATTCACCTACATTAGGAGGACAATTGGCTTTACTCTATAAATTTAAATGTTAGTCTCCTCCTGAAACTCTCACAGCCCTCACAGACATACCAAGAATAATGTTTGGCTTAATATCTGGGCACCCTGTAGCCCAGTCAAGTTGACACATAAAAGTAATCATCACATATGGTAATATGTAATAGGATAAACTGTAATGAGTTAGGAAATGGTCTGATGTTAACAAAATAATAAAGAAAGCAAATGTGTTGAATGCCTATGGGAACTTGTAACGAGATAGTCATGCACATGGTGAAGAAATTTGTTAGCTGAAGAAGTTCAATACACTGGCTCCTCCAAGATAACTTTCCCACAGAAAACTTTGGGAGCTACTCAGGTATTGCATCCTCTGGGAGTAATTAACTATTCACTAACAGGAGGTTTGCGTGTAACCAGCAACAGCAGGTAAAATTTCAGGTGCTTCTATCAAAGAACTAGAGAGATAGCTCAGCCACTGCTAGATCCTGTGCAAAGATCCCTGGAGAATGCACCTTCCCTGAGGGATGATGTGACACTTACAATATACACTGATGTATATTGTATATGTTTTATTGAGTTGGAGCCAGATGGGGTCTATTTACTCCCAGTTGATTTTCAGGATCATCATTTTTATATATTCTCAACAAACCTGTCCCTCTCTCTCCTCATGGTAACCACCTGGCACAACTCTATCCCTTGTAAATCCAGCTCTCCACAGAGCTGAGTGTGGCTGGAGAAGCCCACAGTGACGCTGATTGCTCTTCCCTTACATTTGTGATCACTAACCGGGGCTGGCTGCCTGATTTGCAGGGCCCAGGGCAAAATGAAAGTGTGGGGCTGTTAATTCAGAAGACATTTTAAAAAAGCCTCATTAAATGCACTAAAATCTAAGGTGTTTTCATTTTAAAAATAATTTGTGACTTATAAACCATAAAACAGGCAACAGTGACACACGAGAAATAACATAAACTTACAAATTGCAAAAATTATGTGTGACTCCACAGTCACACACATTAAGCCACCAATGCAGCTGGCCCTGTCGCTAACCGCTAGTAGGCTCCTAGCACACCTGCCATTCCAATGCCTTCCCTCGCTCATTCATGTTTCTGGGAGGCTCCTTCAGATTCTCTCTCCTCTTAAGCCTCTAATGTTTTCTCTCCCATCCTCACTCTCAGTTAATGACTTTGGGGTATATGTCACTGAAAGAAAAACAAATTTAAGCCAAAACCAGAATAAGATGAGAGCTTCTGCAAACTGCTACTTCCTCATCACCCCCCACCTGGCTCTATGTCCAAACACTGTCTTCCTTTTTGTTACCCATAAGTTAAACTGGAGCACTAAATCCCAATGTCTCTCTCGAATTTCAGCAATTCTCCTTCTACCTCCCACAATGTCGACTTTTCTGTCTCTACTGGAGTGTTCCTATCAACATGCACAGTTGAATTTTCCCATCTGGCACTACCTGTCCTGATCTTATGTTCCTTTCAAACTACTGCACTATTTCTGCTTTCTTCAGAGTGAAATTCTTTGAAAGTGTTTTCATATTTACCATCTCCAATTTTTGTCTTCATTCTTCCTCTTAGATCCACTAGGTCTGACAGTTTCCTCTGTCCTTTCACAGAAATTGCTCATTTCAAAATGTGAATATCTTCCATGTTGTTACAGCCCATGATCGATTCTTAACCCTCTTCTCACTTAGCCATGAATAGCATTTACACAGCTGGTTGTTGCCTGACCCTCAAACACTTTCTCACTTGGCTCCATGACCCCACAGGCTTCTTGGCTTCCTTCCTTCATCTTTGGCCTCATTTCTCCCTCTGCTTTGCTGGTTCCTGCTGTTCATCCTGTCCTTTACACACTGCAACAACTTAGGGGCTAGTCCTCTGACATCTTCTCTACCCGCATGTACTCCCTTAGGGATTTCAAACAGTCTCATAGCTTTAAGCACCATCCATACACTGACAACTCCCAGATTCAAAGGTTTAGTCCAGACCTTACCCTTGAACTCCAAATGGGTATACCCACGTACCTAGGAGATAATCCTTACACTCCCTTCTTTCTCCACTATGCTTAATTTAATCTGTCAGAACGTCTGTGATTCTATCTTCCAAATAGATCCATAACCTGACCCCTCTTCACCACTCATCTTGCTACTCCTGGTCCAAGTCACCTCCACCTTGCACTTGGATTATGGCAACAGTCTCTTAACTGTTCTCCCTCTTCCATTGGCTCTTCTTAGTCTTCTATTCATTACATAGGGATCCTGTTAAAAGACAGGTCTGGTAATATCAGTCCTTTGTAAACATGTCCAATGGCTTCTCACCACAATCAGTAAAAACCAAAAACCCTCCATCTGGTGGCCCCCAGCCCCTTCCTCCTCCACCTCACATGTGCTTCCTTTGCTCACCCTCTCTTGACTGCTTGCTGCTCTTCAAACATGTTAGGTTATGCTCCTTCCTCTAGGCCTCTGTCTGCAACATCCTTTCTCCAACATCTTTGTGGGTGGCTCTCTCACTTTTACAGGTCTTGCTCATGGGCCTTCTGGCAAGCCCTTCCCTGATCACCATGCTTGCATGGCAGGCTGGCACTCTGTCTGCCCTGTTTAGTTTTCTTCATGAGAACAGAAAGTCCTGTTTGTCTTCTTTACTGCTTTATGACCAGGGCCTAGAAGCACTTGGCACAACTAGGCATTCAGTACAGATTTATTAATTGAATGACTAAATAGCAGTTGTGAATCAGAACACAATGGAATCTATATCTCCAAAACTTTGTGATGAATAAAACTGGCTAAAATATGAGAATTTTATGTAACTTAGTCACATATCATAAGATTTTCTAAGTAGAATTCATACTTGGTTGTATGTCCTAAGATCTTTTTAGGGAGGTTTCCTCTTTCTAAGGGGATTCAAAGATATCAGTGAAACCTGAAAATTGTCTTGGGTTAAGTAGTGCATTGTGGAGTACCAAATGGCATGAAAGAACAAAACTGCTGTCATTGTGACTGCCATAGTCAATGTCAATGTTGGATATGACTGCATGAGCTGACAGCCCCTGGAGCATGTGAAATATATGAAATGCACACTGGACATAACAGAGCATTTTTGCAGGGAGCTGGACCAACTCTTTTATATGACTAAGATGCTATTTGCAATTTATATAAAGGAAAAAAGCAAATATGCTCCATGCAGTGCCTAAAAGAGCCCTAGTGGCTTCCGGGTAGAAAGCCATCCCACTTCTCTTCAGCAGAGCATGAAATCAACCTACTACCTTTTATCAGGTTACTTACATAAAGGAATTGTGCCTATTAATAAAACATCATGCATCTTATTTCTCCAAGAGCAATGATAACCAAACTCTCCTTTCCCGTTCCCTCTTCCTTCCTTCTCTGGGGTCACTTTTTGCTGCCCTGTGTTCTGTTCAGCATGCATTGGCCATGAGGATCAGATTGTTAGTCCAGATGACTTTGAAGTAGTTTTTCTTATGGTAAGGTTTTCTCCTAAGTCTGTAGCATAGAATCCTTGTTTTTGGGTTGATCCATGCTTAACCTGAAGATGATAGAATGCAAATTCTGCTTTATATTTGTGTATATAAATATTGCATCAGTCACATGTCCATTTTGGTGGCAACATCGTCTGTGGTTTTCTTAGCTGCCCTGGGATTGAATTTGCTTAATCATGTTCCCTTTTCTTTCAGGTTGTGCTTGGCTTCTTGCTGCCCACACCTACTCCATGATTTCATGCTAATTTCTGCCCTTCTTCTCAGTTAGTGAAAGCTTCCCCGCACTCATTATCAGCACACTTGAATGTCCACTTAGTGTCAGACATACAATTTTTAAAGTGAGAATTTCGTCCAGGACTTTTACAAAGCCTCTCATGTGGCCACTGACTGCAGTTAAAAAACTAGCCTGTTAGAATGGTCACCTTGACATCATAGTCCAAAAGTGTCCCAATAATGGATGTGCCAAAAAATTCTGAAACCATCATAGGAGTTAAAAAATGAGAACACCAGCCCACAAAGAATGGTATCACCCAAACATTTGGACCAAGTCCACAGTTTTTATATTTTTGTGCCACATAGCATAGACAGCCTAATATATTTAAAGTAACACTTAAAATGTACTTTAGGGATTCAAATTTTAGCTGCTTGTTTCTATTTGCTAATACAGAACATAAATTTTGAAAAAATAAACTTTTAATTGAAAATTTTACAAAAAGTAAAATAAAAAACTGCTTATATTTCCATCCAAGGGAAAGAAGATACACATAGTAAATACTTTAAATGTATGTATATTCTTTCACCCACTTTTAGGATTTATCCTAAGTATAACTAGCTGTTTTATAAAGATGTTCATCATCATTATTTAGAGTAAGAAAAAATGAACCTAAATGTTGACAGATAAAATTCACGGAGTGAGCTATGGTGCATGCACACAGTGGGGAATTATGCAGGACTGAACACTATGTTTAAAAGCATTTTTAATGGCATGTCAAACACTTATTCTAATATGGAAAATACAGTGACTTCGTGGATATACAAAAACATCCTCATTTTTGTGTAATCGTGTATCATATATGATCCTAAGTACGTAATACTAAACATGAGAAAAAATGCTTGCTAAAAACAGACCAAAATGTAGAGGGCTGCCACTGTGTGGTGTGATCGGCTGACTTTTTGCCTTTTAATTTATATTTTGTTGGCACAGAACATTGTTCTCATGTGCCCGAAGAGATTTAAAGATGATCTTGAGATGATTAGCCTCCTCTCAGAGTCCTGCCGGGGTAGATAACAGGGAAGATTGGGGCAGGTCAGAGGTGACTCTGGGACGTTTGTGCTTGGTGCCCTGCTGCAAGGGACAGCAGCTCTGCAGCTCCAGCCCACTGTTTGTCACAGGTCCTTGGTGACTGTCTTACCAGTTATTTTCAAATTCAAGATAAAATGGAGATACAGACTTTCACATAAAACTTTCTACATTTAACTACCAGCAATTACATTTTTTGTCATAAAACAAAGGGTAGGTCAAACAAAACGTCTTAAGAGTAAATCTGTCTACAATGTGTTCAGGAAACGAACACAGGTCAGGTTTATGTGGAAGATATCCAGGGCGTAGCATATCTGCTGGAAGCATTTCAGTCATGAGCACAGCTGGGTATTGGCCGTGAACCTGGTGTGCATTGAATACACATCCCCGTGGCCCCTACAGTACATTCCCTGTGGATAGTTTATTAGGTTTCCTTTATTCCCTTCATCTATTCTTCCCTTTCCTTTCTTCCTTCCTCTTTTTTTGCCTCCCTCTCTCTCTTCCTGTCTTTATTAAATATGTGGGATGCAGATTTGATGAATATGTCAATCAAAGATCACCAAGAAGTCTTAAAACAGGTAAACCACAGAAAACAGTCAGGATCAGAATAAGAACAGTTTAGTGGTTCTCAAGCTTTTTGTTCTCAGAACTTCTTTATAATCTAAAATGTGTTGCGCCCCCTGAAAAGCTTTCACTTTTATGGGATAAAAATAAATATTTATAAAATATATAGTAAAAAATATAAATATATAAATAAATTTATGATTTGTTTATATAAATATGTATATAAAACCATATTTATCATATTAAGATTTGAAATGGACAAATATTTAAAATATTTATTAGTTAATTTTAAATAATTACCAACCTTTCAAATAAATAACATTTTAATGAAAATTAAAAAAAATTAAATTCCGCCTGGCGCAGTGGCTCATGCCTGTAATCCCAGCACTTTGAGAGGCCGAGGTGGGCGAATCATTTGAGTTCAGGAGTTCGTGACCAGCCCGACCAACATTGTGATACCCCATCTCTACTAAAAATCCAAAAAAATTAGCTGGGTGTGGTGGCATATGCCTGTAGTCCCAGCTACTCGGGAGGCTGAGGCAGGAGAATTGCTTGAACCTGGGAGGCAGAGGTTGCAGTGAGCCAAGATCGTGTCATTGCACTCCAGCCTGGGAGACAGAGCAAGACTCTGTCTCAAAAAAAAAAAAATTAAATTCCAATTTAATTTTTATTTTAATTTATTTAGTTCTAAAATTATATTTAATTTTGTAATTTATTTTAATTGTATATTAATCACATTTATTTTAAAACCAAATAAATGTGTTGAGAAGAGAGAAATTGTTTTACATTTTTGCAAATCTCCTTAATGTGTAGCTTAATAAAAGATAACTGTACTATTCTGTTTCTGCATTTAATCTGTTATGAAGTCACCTATCATGAATCTTCTGGAAAATTCCACGTATATTTGTGAGAGAATGAGGGTAAAAATGGCGAATAACATATTAGTATTATTATAAAAGTCATTTTGGCCTCCTGTTGCCACTGAAAAAGTCTCAGGATGTCCCAGGGGACTTTGGCCCACACTTTGAGAATCAATGTTCAGGCTCCTTTCTGAGCTGATTATGTAGCTGAGCACGTTGAACGTCATGTGATTGAGAACCTGCCCCTTCCAGCCTTCATCTCTTCCATTAGCTTCCCTAAACCATTCATTTTTTAGGGCATTATTTTCTATCAAATACAAACACCAGTGGAAGAGAGAACACATGAAGCCATTAGTAGTTTAATGCCTTAATGTGAATAAATTTACTTCATTTCAATTTGAGAGTCCATGGGGTCACAAAGGAGATGAAAGAGAAAGTACAAGAGCCAGACATAAGGTTGGAAAGAACCCTGTCCCCAGTGAAAGGCCAATTTTTTCTTTCACAGCATCATCTTGGAACAACCTGCTTTCTGGATTCTTAGCTCACAAGTTTGAAAAGGAGCCATTCCCTGATCTATTTTAATTGCTTATCTTCAAAAACTATCTGAACTAAGGTACCCTGTGGCTACTACCTTCCAATTTAGGACTCAGGTTTCCAGGAAAAGAAAAGAGTTACAACTACTAATAAAAGTCAGTCAAAGTAACTGCTCCTCTTTGAAAGTCTCAGCTCTTATTTTAGATATGGGGGTTCACATGCAGGTGTGTTACATGGGTGTATTACACCCAGCTAGTGAGTATTGTACCCCTGGGTAGTTTTTCAATGCATGCCCCTCCCTTCTTTGCCCCCCGCAGTCCACAGCGCCTGTTGTTCCCATGTGCACGTCCATGTGTGCTCAATGCATAGCTTGGAGCTCCCACCTATAACTGAGAACATGCAGTGTTTAAATCCCACTAATTTCTATGAAAAAGTATTTCTGTTGATAACCCTGCAGGAAGCTCTTTATTAATGTCTTCATCCTTTAAACCTACTTAGCCCTATGCTGCTTTAGTCACCTGTACTTTTTTAAAAAACTATTTTTTTCTCTCATTCTGACTTACTTATCCTTACATGCATTGCTATTTCTTCATTCCTAAGGAAGTACGCATTCGATTTAAGCATCTGTGCTAAGACATCCTTGGAAATTAAATTCTAGTCTTTTTTAATGGGGCAAAATGGAAATATAATCTCAGGTAATGCTTTCCAGTTCAGCTTACTGCTGGTTTTTGCAGATGGAATTATAAACATACTTAATCAGAGGGAAATTCCAATAAACTTTAGCCACAGTATATTCGTGCCTTTGCATGGGAAGAGTTGATCTCTCCTCAAGCTAGCTGCAGCCTGCGTCTTCTGAGGGAAGAGCTGTCTTCACTTGCGTGGGATGAATTTGAGAGATCACTGGCCTTGCCGTCTGAGAGTGCGGTCCCTGAGCTGGGAGGATTCTGCCGAGATTAGGTCATGCAATCAGCCTGAGGTGCCACCATGGGGGTGAGCTCAAATTATAGTTTTGGGACCATGCCTGAGTTTAGTCAGCAAAAGTAATTCACACCAGAGGGGGAATGTGCAAGAGGTCAATAACAGAATGAGAAATCAGGGGCAGGGAAAATGCAGGTTGTGAAAGACGATGAAGTGATGATTAGAGGCAGGCTAGGGTGGCCTACCAATGGTGAAGTCCTGGGAGTGAAGAAGACGTTTGCTTCATAAATAAAGAAAGACTTCTGTGCTGCAGGAGAATCAACTGTTGAGAGGGGTGAATGGATGCAGAGTAGTTTCCCTGTTACCACGTCCAAACAGATGTTTATTTGCTGGTAACTGCCATTTCAAAAATACCACCGGAATACTCATTATTTAAATGTTTTTGTTACACCACAACTTTGGAAAACATCTCTAAGCCAGGCATATAAGCCAAGGTTACATAGTATGTCAGGAAAGGTATAACCATTAAATTAATTAACTGTGTTTTGTCTATGATTTTTAAGAAAAAAATCTATATTTTCTGCGAGTAGTGAGCAATACTTATCAATTGGTTAGTCACTTGTGTCTGCGAGTTTCATCACCAGCATGATCGGAAAGGTATCTCCCCTCAGCTTCATTTGCAAGGAGGCCTGAGTCGCTCTCAGCCTCCCCCATTTCTGTGCTGCAGCTTCTGGGGAGCCCCTGACACCACAGACCCCAGAGCAGCCCCTGCCGACAGCGTGCCTGCTCCGGACAATCCCGAGCTAAGGATCTGTTAGTATTAACTGGGATTTTCTGTCTCGTATAATGCATGGAGCAGTGTTTCTTAAATTCATTCTTAAGGAATGAATTTGTGAAGAAAATGCACAGCTGCCCCAAACACTGTAGGCACTGAACGAGCACTCATGGCTTCTCTCTTTGCAGAAATCTCTGTGGACTCTCCTGTTCGTGGGAGGAGTGCCTTTTTCTAGGGTGCAGTGGCTTCCTCTCCATGCTCAGCTCGCACACTCCTGGCTCTGCCTCTGCCCTCCGGCCACCGGTCCCCCAGTCGTGCCACATCCCTGCTGCCTGAGGGGATGCTTGCACGGCTCCCTCTGCCGGGACTTTCCACCTATATGCTCGGCCTTGACCCCTCACTCACATACCCTTTTCTTCACAACTCTTTCCTGACTCTCAACACCATCCTACACTCACAGAGTACTGCATGCCTTTCTGACATAGCCGTGTGTCAGTGTGCTGTGGGAAGTGTTTTCATGTGTATATGACTATTTGCATGTTATAGCAGTGTGTCAGTGTGCTGTGTGACTTTGGTGTATGTGACTATTTGCATGTTACAGCAGTGTGTCAGTGTGCTGTGTGAAGGGTTTTCATGTATATGACTATTTGCGTGTTATAGCAGTGTGTCAGTGTGCTGCGTGACGTGTTTTCATGTGTATATGAGTATTTGTGTGTTATAGCCATGTGTCAGTGTGCTGTGTGTTTTGTTTATGTGACTATTTGCGTGTTATAGCAGTGTGTCAGTGTGCTGTGTGAAGTGTTTTCGTGTATATGACTATTTGCGTGTTATAGCCGTGTGTCAGTGTGCTGTGTGAAGTACTTTGGTGTATGTGACTATTTGCATGTTACAGCAGTGTGTCAGTGTGCTGTGTGAAGTGTTTTCGTGTATATGACTATTTGCATGTTATAGCAGCGTGTCAGTGTGTTGTGAAGGGTTTTCATGTCTGTGACTATCTACATGTTACAGCAGCGTGTCAGTGTGCTGTCTGAAGTGTTTTCATGTGTATATGACTATTTGCGTGTTATAGCAGTGTGTCAGTGTGCTGTGTGAAGGACTTTGGTGTATGTGACTATTTGCATGTTACAGCAGTGTGTCAGTGTGCTGTGTGAAGTGTTTTCATGTGTGTGACTATTTCCGTGTTATAGCAGTGTGTCCGTATGCTGTGTGAAGTGTTTTCGTGTATATGACTATTTGCGTGTTACAGCAGTGTCAGTGTGCTGTGTGAAGTGTTTTCATGTGTATGACTATTTGCATGTTATAGCCGTGTGTCGGTGTGCTGTGTGAAGTGTTTTCATGTGTATGACTATTTGCATGCTATAGCAGTGTGTCAGTGTGCTGTGTGACGTGTTTTCATGTGTATATGACTATTTGCATGTTATAGCAGTGTGTCAGTGTGCTGAGGGAGGTGTTTTAGTGTATATGACTATTTGCATGTCTTCTGCACACTAGATGGAGTGCAGAGTGTGTTGCCTGTTTTTCTCCACCGCTCCATCCTCAGTGCCTGCTACAGTGTTGGACACACAGTAGGGGTTCAGTAAATGCTAATGAACAGTTGATTAAATGAGCAAAAACCTTTATTGAATACCTACCATGTTCCAGACATGGCTAACTGATGAGAATTTACCAATTACATGCTTGCTGCCTTCAGGGAGCTCAACCTCACAAGACAGACCGTCATGTAGAGACAACTGCTACACAACATGGGAAGAACTGCTAGAGATGTAAAGATGTAAAGACCCAAAATGAAGAAGCCAGAACACATGAACACAAAACCAGCCAACCAACAAACACAAGCAGCATGGAGCATAGAGTCTGGGGACCAACTGCATGGTGCTGAGGAATGCAGGTGGAGGCAGAGTGGAAATCACCTGAGTTTCCATCAGGCAGAGTTGCACTTGAATTTGAGTTCTGGCACTTGCTGAGCCTCTCTGATTCTGTCTTCTGTAAAATAGGAGTAATAATATTTATTTATATCTACCGTACAGGCAATTGTGAGATTTACTTAAGACATACTGTCTTAGTCCATTTTTCTGTTGCTTATAACAGAATACCTGAAACTAGGTGACTTATTTTTAAAAAGCTTATTTCTTAGAGTTACGAAGGCTGAGAAGTCCAAGGATGGGGGTCTGCAGCTGGTGAGGGCCTTCTTCCTGACGGGAAATCAGAAGAGCCCTAAGGTGGTTCAGAGCACCACATGGCAAGGGGCCGAGGATGCTAGCGTGTTAGCTCAGATCTCTCTTCTTCTTATAAGGCCACTAGTTCCTCTCCCATGATAACCCGTTTAGCCATTAACCCATTAGTTCTTTAATCCATGAGTAGATTGATTCATAAGGGGATAACCCCTGTGATCCAATCACCACTTAAAGGACGCCCCTCTCAATACTCCCATATCGGGGATTGTTGCAACACAAATTAAGATGGCCTATTAGATATCCTTAATCTTACATCTTAAGGTGTTCTGTGATGTTGCAGTTCAACCCCCTCTCATTCCTCTCTACTCTTTTAGCAGTTACAAACAAACAAACTCACCAAAGAAAACACCAGACAAACATACATCCAATAGTATTGTGTCCGGAATTGGTGGGTTCTTGGTCTCACTGACTTCAAGAATGAAGCCACGGACCCTTGCGGTGAGTGTTACAGTTCCTAAAGATGGTGTGTCCAGAGTTTGTTCCTTCAGATGTTCAGATGGGTCCAGAGTTTCTTCCTTCTGGTGGGTTTGTGGTCTCACTGGCTTCAGGAGTGAAGCTGCAGACCTTCACAGTGTTACAGCTCATAAAGGTAGCATGGACCCAAAGAGTGGGCAGCAGCCGCCAAAGACGGTGCAGACCCAAAGACTGAGCAGCAGCAAGATTTATTGCAAAAGGCAAAAGAACGGAGCTTCCACAGTCTGGAAGGCCCTAGCCGGTTGCCACTGCTAGCTCAGGCAGCCTGCTTTTATTCCCTTATCTGGCCCAACCCACATCCTACTCATTGGCTCATTTTAGAGAGAGCTGATTGGTCCATTTTACAGAAACCTGATTGGGCTGTTTTACAGAGAGCTGATTGGTCCATTTTGACAGAGCACTGATTGGTGCATTTACAAACCTTTCGCTAGACACAGAGCGCTGATTGGTGCATTTACAATCCTTTAGCTAGACAGGAAAGTTCTCCAAGTCCCCACCAGATTAGCTAGACACAGAGCGCTGATCGATGCAGTTACAAACCTCTAGCTAAACAGAAAAGTTCTCCAAGTCCCCACCCGACACAGAAACCCAGCCGGCTTCAGCTCTCAATGGCACTTGCCCTGAGACTTTGCGGCACCTAGCCTGGGTGCTCCGGCAGCCTAGTAGGCACCGGCCGGCCACACCGAGTGTGGGCCCCTGAGCCTGCACCCACCCGGAACCAGCACTGGCCCGCGAGCATGCACAGCCCCGCTCCCGCCTGCGCCTCTACCTGCACACCTGGTGGGGAGCAGAGGGAGCCGCCGGGCCTCCGCCAGCCCCAGAGAAGGGCCCCCACAGCACAGCGGCGGGCTGAAGGGCTCCTGGAGCACTGCCAGAGCGGTTGCTGAGAGCCAGTGAGGGCTGCTAGCACGTTGTCACCTCTCAGTATTAACAATACAAATACTTTTTTGTCTTATTTGTCCTTTGACTTATTTATAACCAACCGAATGTAGAGAAAGTGATGCTGATGTTGAGTGACTCTGGAGGCTAGACCAGAAAATGTTGAAGAGTATCAGAATATACAACCCTAATATATGTTACTTTTGCATAAATTTTATTTTTAAAATTTTTAATTTTTATTTTAAGCTGAAGGCAATTGAGAAAAAGAAGATGCGAGAAGAGCTGTTTACCCTTCCTTTATCTGCTTAAAAGCAAGGAATAAATTTCCATTATAAAGGTGTCCCCTTGTTCTCATACCAAGAAGAGGAGACAGCATCAAGATTACTCTACATAAAGAAACCCAACTAAATAACCCTTATCTATAATAGTTTCTCCCATATATTTACCTTCCTACAATTTAATGCCCCTAGAAGCCCAAGCCCCTTTTCTTTGGTTGCTTCCCCACAATTTATCGTACTTTGTTAAAATGGTAGGTAAGCTCCTAAGTGTAACCACTTCTTTGGATTTTTTTAGTTCTTTCTCTGCAGTTCCCATGCATATAAAAATATTAACAACAAATAAAATTTGTATGCTCTTCATTCGTTGGTCCATCTTTTGTCAGTTTAATTCACAAATTAAGCTGCAGAACCTAAGAGGATGGAGGAAAAGTTTTCCTTTCTTACAAGA
Organism: Homo sapiens; assembly: GCF_000001405.40. Taxonomy (NCBI): domain Eukaryota; kingdom Metazoa; phylum Chordata; class Mammalia; order Primates; family Hominidae; genus Homo; species Homo sapiens. The sequence goes on from NC_000021.9 coordinate 9,679,995, forward strand.
TCATGCAGCATCTGCTTCACTTACTGAGGAGCCCCGAGCCACCATGTATAAAATCTGAATACCCGAAGACCCCCGTACTGTGAGGAAGCCCGACCACATGGAGAGGCCACATGAAGGTTCTCAAATCAGAACCCCAGCTGAGGTCCCAGCCTACAACCAGTATCAACCACCAGACATGTGAGTAATGATGTTTCCAGTTGATTCCAACCAACAGCCTTTGGGTCACCTCCAGCCTTTGAATCTTTGCATCTGAAATGCCACGCATGACAGAGCAGATACAAGCATTTCTGCTGTGTCCTGTCCAAGTCTCTGACTGATAGAATCTGGGCTTGTTCTAGGCACCTGAGTCTTGAGGTTGTTTGTTACACAGCCTTAGTAACTTGAACAACGGTTATGCAACACTTGAGCTAGACCTTGAAAGATGAATGGGGATTTTTGTCTAGCAAAACTGTTTGGAAAAGGCTTAATATTTTAGGAGAAAAGTTAAAAGGTAAGTGTGGTTAACACATGGGTTGTGGGAGAGAATCAGGAGATGAGATGAAAAAAGTTGATGTAAGAAAGTGTGCTGTATGGTTTGGTGAAAATTATAATATATTTGTTCATCAGCATAGGCAATTTTCTTCCAGACCACTGGCTTTGAAATGATGTATTTTTAAAATTGCAAAGTTTATACCATAGAATTTCTGGAGCCTTCTGAAATTTCAATTGGAGATAAAACAGGACTTCAAAATGTAACTTCTCTTAAATTATGAGCTATGGTTTAACTGATGAGTAATTTTTAGTTTTATTGTTGGTTAAAAACACACTGTCATTCCCATGAGTGCTCGCATGCAGTTTTAGCATGTGTGTGTATGTCTCTTTTATTTTTTGTTTTGTTTTGTTTTGTTTTGTTTTGTTTTGTTTGCGGTGAGCAGGTTGGTATCAGAGTTATGAATGAGAAGCATTCTTATCAGAATATACTGGATACTAATACATTTTGCATGTAATTTTCTACAGAGGTAATGATTTTAATCAACTTTCAAGATGAAGCACCACATTTGTCAAGGCAGAAGACCCAAATGTGCAATTTTTTCTTAGGGGAAAACTGGCTATAATGAATGTGCTAAAATATGTTAGTTATCTACTAACCTCAATACGCAAGAAAGCACTAGATCATCAGTTTGCCTGGTAAGGGAAAAAACAGCGGCTGCAGCCTGCCCAGCTAAAGAAGAAAGTGGAATCAGCAGAACAAGTGGCCTGTGAAGATGCCAGCTTGTGAGAAATGCCTGGCTGACTGTGAACAGGGATATTATTAAATGGATGCATATGATACATAGCGTAATTATACCACTTATGGCAGAAAAACATCACCATTTTATCAAATGCTCCACTGTGTACATCAAAGATCATGGTATCATCTATCATCTATCTCTGGGATGCTGTGTGAGCTTTGTGGTTCTGGAAGAGCTTCTAGTCAAGTTTTGATTAATTATTGATGGTTTTATTTGATTATAGAAGTAGAGCTTGAATATGTGTGTGCGTTTTCCATTTTTCTTGTAAGAACTGACAATATTGATTAAATTTCCCTTTTAGGAGTGGGAAGCAAGAAGCAAAGTAATTGTCACCACTTCTTGGAGAAGAATGGCTTATAGTGCTTTGAACATATCGTCTCAAAATAACCTCTTTGGAAGATTAGTGGAAAGAAGCAAAACTGTGAAGACCTTGGTTCACAGTAGCTGTTGATGTTTCTTTTTTTCATTTTGGTATTGATTATAATCGCTTCTTCATAAAGCTCAGATGCAGGGTTTATTTCCAGTTCTTTCACCGTGCTTCTTACCTCAGAGTCAAACCATTGCTATACTCTCCACATAGTTGGTTTCCAGTGTTTAAATTGCATGCATGTGGGGCTCAGATTTGTGACATTGCTTTACATATATTACTGTAAAAAAAAAAAATAACCCCAAATCTAGAGTATATAAGGCTTTGTGCTAAGCAAGCATGGAAAAGAGTTACTTATGGCTTATATCCATGTGTGGACTATGATTGATAGAATTTCCCTTGCAATTGCCAAAGAGAAGTCTACATGGTCTTTGAAGAAACAAATTACCTATGACCCCATGTATTTGCATTTGTGCTCTTCCTAACTATACAGTACAGTCTGAATTTAGCCCCCCAACATAGGGGGATGTTTTAGTGGACAAGCACTTAATTCATTTTAAGGTTTTGAGGATTTATCTTATAAGCACTTACTAAGCACTGGTTATGTCTCAAGGCCAGGGCTGCACCCTGGAGACTCAGGGAAGCACAATACTTGATTTCATGGATCTCATAATCTAGTGCTATGGAAACATTAAAATATTAAAACCACAGTGGAGAAGAGCAGTGGATAGGTCTTAGGGAAGAAGGCTTGTATGAAAGGTGATGCCTGAAATCATACTTAGTCATCTTTATATATGATAATTTTTATGGAAGAATGAAATCTTCAGGATTCAATGATATTTTCATTTTAGCAAACTGGCCATCTCTTTTCTTTGAGCTTATAAACATGGTTGAATGTGTAAAGTAGCGAGACAAGAAAAAAATACCTTTGAGTGACCTTGCTTTATTATGTGAAAAATGACAAACTGGTAGGCAGGAAAGATACATGGCTTACCATGTATCTTTCAATTTTTAGGATGTACTAAAAATTTCAATGCAGTTACCACATAGAAGCAAGAGCTAGAGAAGTTCTGAGAGAATTTTTAATCTTTAGGTCAGACAGCAAGGATGTGAGGCGGTAAAGTTAAATTACACTGAGTTACACTGATATTCACTAGTCTGATAGATACAGAGAGACACAATTACCTTCACTCACACAGAGTTTCCTAGGGCTGCAGGAACAAAGCGCCATAAGCTCGGTGGCTCAAAACATTCAGAAATGGTTCTCTCACAGACTCACGGCCACGGAAGCTCCAAGTCTGAACTCAAGGTGTTGGCAGGGCTGTGTTCCCTCTGGAGGCCCTACGGGAGGGCCCTTCCTCGTCTCCAGCTTCTGGTGGCTTCAAGTGTCCCGTAGTTTGTGACAGCCACACTCCAATCTCTGCCTCTGTCTTCACATGGCCTTCTCTGTGCATCTGTGTGTGTCAAATCTTTGTCTGTCTTTGTCTTATAAGGACACTTATTGGATTTAGGGACCACATGGATAATCCAAGATAACCTCATTTCAAAACCCTTAATTTTATAATATTGGCAAGACTTTTTTTGTTTGTTTGTTTGTTTGTTTTGCAAATAAGGCCAGAGTCACAGGTTCCAGATGGACATATCATTTGAGGGGAGACAATTCAACTCACTATATACACAAACACATGTGTGTATCTATATAGCTGTATAATTGACACCATGAAATCATTAATGAAGACACTGCCCTTTTTTTGAGACAGAGTCTCGCTCTGTCGCCCAGGCTGGAGTGCAGTGGTGCGATCTCAGCTCACTGCAACCTCCACCTCCCGGATTCAAGCAATTCTCCTGCCTCAGCGTCCCAAGTAGCTGGGATTACAAGCGCCCGCCACCACGCCTGGCTAATTTTTGTATTTTTAGTAGAGACGGGGTTTCACCATGTTGGCCAGGCTGGTCTCGATCTCTTGACCTGGTGATCCACCTGCCTTGGCCTCCCAAAGTGCTGGGATTACAGATGTAAGCTACCCCTCCCATATAAAACACTGCCCTTTCTATAGTTAAACTGGTCAAGTACTGGACAGTTTACTACAAAAGAAACAATAAATAGATAAAAAATGAAACCTAGGTTCAAAAGCATGAATAATGAATCTTGATTTTAATGATGGTTTCATCAGTGTATGCATATGTCCAAACATCAAATTGTACATTAAATATGTGCAGTTTTTTATATTGATTTTACCTCAACAAAGCTGTTATAAATACAAATAATAAAAAGTGCAAATAAATTGACAAGATACAAATATATTTAACTATCAAAATGATGGAGATTAAAAAACTGTGCTGCTGGCCAGGTGCGGTGGCTCACGCCTGTAATCCCAGCACTTTGGGAGGCCAAATTGGGTGGATCACCTGAGGTCAGGAGTTCGAGACCAGCCTGGCCAACATGGTGAAACCCCATCTCTACTAAAAATACAAAAATTAGCTGGGCATGATGGTGCACACCTGTGATCCCAGCTACTTGGGAGGCTGAGGCAGGAGAATTGCTTGAACCTGGGAGGCAGAAGTTGCAGTGAGCTGAGATCAGGCTGCTGTACTCCAGCCTGGGCAACAGAATGAGGCTCCATCTCAAAAAAACTACAGACAAACAAAAAACAGTGCTGTTGAGTGTGCATTGAGACAGGCATTTTCCAGCACTGCCTTTCTGGAAGCAGGGAGGAGAGGCACAGAAATTTCAGCAAGGGTAAAGTCTTCATCCTGCAACCATGTTTCTAGGAGTCTAGATAATTCGATATACAGGTAAAGTCATAGCATTTATTTAATCATGTTAATTAGTTATGTTATGTAACATATAATAAGATAATATTGTATGTTAATATATAATATAAATATATTATGCTAATACATTAATATATACACACTTAGTCCTTCTATCTGTTACTAAAGAGAGCTCACATGACATCAGCAAGGAAACACAGTCCTTCTATCTGTTACTAAAGCGAGCTCACGTGACATCAACAAGGAAACACAGTTAGTCCTTCTATCTGTTACTAAAGCAAGCTCACCTGACATCAACAAGAAAATACACACTTAGTCCTTTGTATCTGTTACTCAAGCGAGCTCATGACATCAACAAGGAAACATACACTTACTCCTTCTGTTACTAAAGGGAGCTCATGTGACATCAACAAGGAAACACACAGTTAGTCCTTCTATCTGTTGCTAAAGGGAGCTCATGTGACATCAACAAGGAAACGCACTGTTAGTCCTTTGTATCTGTGAGTTGTGCATCTGCCGATTCAAGCAGCCAGGAGTCAAAAATATTTGCAAAAAAAGCCCTTTAAACTGTATTGAACATGTACAAAGTTTTTCTTTTTATTATTCTCTAAATGACACAGTGTAACAACGATTTGCATAGCATTTACATTGTAGTAGGTGTTACCAGTAATCTAGAGATGATTTAAAGTATAGGGAGAATGTGCATAGGCTACGCTGAATACTACACCATTGCATATCAGGGACTTGAGCGTCTAGGGATTCTGGTATCTGGGGGAGGTCCTGGAACCAATTTCTCATGAATACCGACAGATGACTGTATGTTGTATCTTGATGCAATGAATAAACAAAGCAGATAACAGTAACTGACATGGGGTAGAAGGTGAGGGGAAATGAAGGGGTTGCTATTTACATGTTTATATGAGATGAACAGGGCAGACCCCACAGAGGGGATATTTAACAGAAACTGAACGTAGGAGAAGCAGTCCTGAGAACTGTAGACCAAGAGAGCTCGTGGTGGCCCTGGGAAGGGGCTTGTCAGATCTCGTGGCCCCTGGGGGCTGGTGACTGTTAGCGGCTGGCCAACAGCCAGCTGCCGCCCTGAAATCTGCCACTGTCAGCCGGTAACCCAGCATGGCGGAGTATAAAGTCAGGCCTGCTGCAAGGAGATGAAGGACCCCTCTGCTGGTCAGCCTGGGCTGGAGGGTTCTACTACCAGCCTTGCCAAAAGTTTCTCAGAATTGCACTGCATTTTAAGACTTTGCCTGCCCAGACCCCTGCAGCCCCTTCTCATTTTCCTCCACATGCACTTCTCCCAAATAATCTCTTGAGTGGCAAATACTATTCTGGTGTTTGCTGCTCCAAGAACCCAGATGTACACAGTGTTCCAGCAGAGGCTGCACAAATACAGTGGCCCCGAGGAGCTTGGCATTTTTGAGGAGCATCAAGGAGGCCAGTGTGGCATTCATGGAAAGGACAGAGGGAGAGTGGGAGATGAGGTCAGAAATGTACTTGAAGTCCTTGCCGAAGAAAAATAGTTGACTTGCTTATTATAAAACCCTTTTAGTTAAGGAAGAAATAAAAACTGTTAACCAATGGCATCTGTATCCATTACAGAATTTAAAAGAAGGGCATCATACAGCCAGTACCTTACAATCTTCCCATTAGCAGCATTCAACACATCTGTCTAGGTAGTAAACCTAAGTGGCCCAGCTCTGGGCCATTAAATTTTGATGTAACCCATTAAGGAAACTTACGGACTTAGTTCAAAGGGCTGTTGCCATTGTGTCTGTGAGAGCGGTGCTGCAGAGTGCATTTTATGCAAATCTCATAGATTTTAATGAGTGCTCCTGCTTAATAAGCTAGTTAGACCATTTGGGCATTTACTTGAGAGTGACCACAAATGCCTTTTTCTGAAACCATTTCACAGTGCTAACATTTAACTGAAATAGCACTTAACACAGAGCCAGGCACACAGCGAGCACTAAGAGTGTTACGTTACTGATGACAGGGATGAAGAACAGGAGTCTTACCAGACTCCTGTGTGTCTGTCTCGATGCTCCTGAATGACCCAGACAAAAAGGGACTAGAAACTTTCTTTTCAGGAGTTTGTGGCTTAGATCCTTGTTTCACCACAAAGCATGAGCTTGACACAGCCTGGACTTGACAGCACTTTCCACAGGGCACTTAAAAATACTTTTACCTCCTCTCTTTTACCTCCATAAACCATGACAGGTCTTTGCTCAGCCTCTGATAAGCAAAAGATTAGAAAATCCCTTTAAACTTCAGAAACAGAGCAATGCTCAGTCAGGCAATAAAAGCTGCAGAAATTGGTCTTGAATATTATCACTGTGTATCAATTGAAGTCAGATGAAGAGCTCCACATTCATCCAAAGTTCTTTTCATACTAATTAGATGCTCTTCAAAGGTGTAATTACCATTTAAAAATGACTTTGGAGTGCAGGATACACAATAGATTTTTAATGTCTTTTAATTTCTTTCGATGTTTCTCATATTTCATTAGTACGTTCTTATTTTACCAAAGAGTCACAGGACTTTCAAGGACTTTCCCTCTCCCACAGTTAAAATGCTAAACAGAAGCTAAGCTCATGTGAAAAACTTGTCTCAATAACCAGAGAAAGACTATACTAATTACAATTTGGATTGCGTGGATTATCAATTTGTCCGATACTCCGTTTGCCTCCACCTTGAGGAGAGAACTATTTCCAGCCCCAGAGTCAAGCTGCCTCATTGCACGGAAGAGGGAGTAAAATAAGAAGCCTGGTGAAGTGCTTATTGTCACAATTTGTGGTACAGCTGACACTTAGACTACATCTGCCCTTGAAGCTCAACCTCTTTGCCGTACTCCTGTGGTGTTTCTTGGCATCTGGTATCATTTCAAAAGGGTAAGAATGGCATAGAGAAGGTTTCTCATTGCTAAGCATGGAGTAGGAATATTTTAGTGAAATGTGTAAGTTTTGGGGCAGAAGTAAAAACACCCCATCTGCTCTTCCACACTTCGAGAGAGCGGCACACAAAGCAGCAACTTGGCTCTGGGCGGCAGCTGGCTGAGGTCTCATGGTCTAGAGGACAGCCCCTGGCTTTCACATCGTCCATGTCTTGCCATTTCTCTTTGGATAAGGCACAAATGTCTGAAGATATCCTCCAGGCCCGAGGACCTGCTCCTATTCTATCCAGTCTCATCTTTCATGAGCCACTGTGCTTCAGCCACTGCTTTTCCTTCCACCCCTTTGTCTTTCCTTTTTCCCAGGTATAAGGCCTTTGCACTTTCTAAACCCTCTAACCTGGAACACTGTTTCTTCTATTTATCTCAATAACTCCAACCCCTTCTTTGTACCATATTTCAAGCACTGCTCCCCAGGAAAGCTCTCCCTGCCCTCTGCCCAGCCCGGGGCCTGTGATTATGGGTCTTTGCAGCACCAAGGGCCTCCCCTTCACTGTACACATGGGTTGCATGTTTCTACTTGTGCATGCAAATATTTGATTCAGGTCTACATCCTCCAGCCCCCTTACAGAATATACTGCTAAGGGCAGGTATGGGGTCTGGTTTTGCCCACCCCTGTGTCTCCATAACATAGCACAGTGCCTGACACAGAGAAAGGAGAAGGTGCTCCATGAACATTTCCTGACCCAATCCCTGACCAAATTCTCTAGAAGGGTTGCTGTGCTCTCATTGCACAGACATGCTGCAGGAGCACTCTGCTGTTCTCCAGAATTCTGGCTCTCCATCTCAAAATGATTCTGTGAGTGGCTGCATAATGCATCCTGACCAAAGAGTCAGGAGCCCTGCAATCCTTCAACACTTCTGCAATTAATGAGCTTTCAGACACAGGGCAAACCATTTAACGTCTGTCTCTATGTCTTCTTATATGTAAAATTAGATTTTTAATATCAGCTTTATTTACCTTACCGAGTTATTCTTCTATAACAAGAACATTAAGAGCCTGGCTTGTATTCGTTTGAGCGAGAGATTGTTGGTGTGAAAAGCATTGGTTATAGGCAGTTTCTTACTTCTACACACAGTGGATTCCTACACATGTGTTTCAAAGTTGAATAACAAAGAATAATGAGGGAGACATTTCCAGAGAACTAAAAATACATTCTAAAATTCCTAGTAGTGGTTAATTATGTGCTGCCTCCCTCAGACCCATGAGGCAGGTGAGGCCTTCAAATGCACGTAGCACAGGGGGCCACCAGCCATCCTGGGGATGGGAAAGATGACCCGAGCACCTCCTCTTCCCGGCCTGACCACTCCTCTGCCCACTGCTGCAGCGGCCACAGCATTTCCACGTCTTTAGGAAGATTTGGGTGGCTGGAAACCGACATCCAGATATCGGGAAAAGCAGCTCTATCTTCTTGCCATCTGTGGTAAATTGTAAATGTGACCCCAAATGTTTACTGTTTCCTTTTTCTCCAGCCTTTGCCATGTAATTTTATAGAGGTCACCAAGTTTGACTTTGGGCTTAGCCCTGTGAATTAGTCTAGGTTCTCCAGAAAAACAGAAACAATAGGATAGGTGTGTATACATATAAAATAATATTGTTCATAATATTATTTTTATTTATTTATTTTTTTGAGACAGATCCTTGCTCTGTTGCCAGGCTGGCATGCAGTGGCATGATCTCTGTTCACAGCAACCTCCGCCTGCCGGGTTCAAGTGATTCTCCTGCCTCAGCCTCCCGAGTAGCTGCGACTACAGGCGCCCGCCACCACGCCCCGTTAATTTTTGTATTTTTAGTACAGACGGGGTTTCACCATGTTTGCCAGGATGGTCTCGATCTCCTGACCTTGTAATCCGCCCGCCTTGGTCTCCCAAAATGCTGGGATTACAGGTGTGAGCCACTGCACCCGGCCTATAATACTATTTTATAAATATATACCATATGAAATTGGCTCACGTGATTATGAAAACAGAAGTCTCAAGATAGATATGCATTTGCAAACTGCAGACCTAGGAAAGCTGATGGGCTAATTCTAGTCCAAATGCTGGTGGGCTTCCAAGGGAAAATCTGATGTTTCAGTTCAGGTCCACAGGCAGAAACACGAAACACAAAACCCAATGCCTGGGTTCACAGCAGTCCAAGCAGAAAGAGTTCCCTCTGACTTGCTCCATTCAGGCCTCCAGCTGATTGGCTGAGGCCCAGCCACATCGGGTGGGGCGGGGGGGACAACCTGCTATGCTCAGTCTGCCAATGTAAATGCTAATCTCATTTGCAATCACCCTCCCAGACACACCCAGAATAATGTTGAAACAAATTTCTGGGCACCCTGTGGCCCAGTCAAGTTGACACATACAATTAACCATCCCACCATGAGATTTGCTGTGGCCAGTGGGATGTTCACAGATGAGATGCCAGCAGAGCCTTGAAAGACTCTAGACCCGTCAGGCCACCCAGGTACTCACTTGGGAATGCACGCTGATGGAGGTGCTTTCGTGGCCACTGTGGCAGGCAAAGGGAGTGTGGTGTCCCCTGTGCTGGTCCTTTGCAGGAAGTGACACATGCCGCTTCCACTCATGATTCCTGCCCGACTTGCGTGAACAGACTGTCTGCACAAGGTGGGGTGTTCCAACCAACTTCTACAGATCTTGTAATTGATGATTTGACATGCACTAATCACAGGGCCAAACTAATGGCCAAAGGTGTCTACATCACCCTTCAGTCCCACTTTTGAGGTAGCATAAAAGTCATATCACAAACCCTCCAGCCACAAACAAATCTGTGACTTGTTTCCTGCCGAATAAGGGCTGTCCCTACTTTGTGACTTCTCCCCTCTGGGTTCATGGAGGCTTCGATCCATGCTTCCTGTACTCCTGCCTCCTGCCCAATCCTGGCGCTGCCTGGGCAGCCCTGTGTGGCATGCCAATGCTCCTTTTTCTTAGGAACTGTAAGAAACAAGCTCTTATTTCAAAGGCAGTTGTTCCTGTCTGTGTCTATCACTTTACCATACCTGAATTAAACAAATCCTGAACTCAAATCATAAAACATGGGGAATGCAAGCATATTATATGAGCAGAAGGAGTGGAATATCTGTGGACAGTCCTGATGGCTCAGACCCTTAGTTCCCACAGTGTTCTGAGAATGCCCGCTGATCTCTGCTGACACTGACTTCCGTGCATGGTATTTGCCTGCCGTCCCTGGCACGATAGGAGGTTATGGTTGTTGAGTGTAGTCATTCCTTAACCACTTTGCTATCCTGCCTTATTATTGTCAATAAATACTATAACATATGCTAAATTTTAGCATTCTGTGAAATGAGAGAGGGTGTATGATATTGTTTCTAAGGCAGAAACCGAGACAGCAAGATCTTACTGCACCATTCTGTGGCTTCCCAGCACCAAGTCATTCTGATGACCCAGGTCTCACACTGGCACCTTCAGAAAACCATGGTGCCAGGAAGTTAAAATCTTATTTGAATCCAAATAAAAGACATATTCAGACTCCTAGTGACTCATGACCTGAAGTCTAAGGTTTATTCGGAATTGGCGGAGATAGCACTGGTAAATATATATACTTTTTTAAAATGAAGGGTCCAAAAATACGACATTTCCCTAAGCATTAAGTCAGACTGAGAAATTTGTACCAGTGATTTGGAGCCTGGAGGTAATGAGGCAAAAACTTAATGAGCTTATTCCGGGACCCCCACCTGAGGCAAGACCTCAAAGCCTTAAGGATACAAATTTCCAGTGGCGGCTTGTTGACAATAACAGAAAAGGCGGAATCATGAGCAAGCCGGCTGTCTGCCCACCGAAGAGAGTGCTCGCAAATGCTTGGCAACACTCCCCACCTGTGTGACTCCCTCTTTCAGCCTGGAGGGCTTTCCACGTTTCCAGTGTGCATCCTCTTGACATTAAAGACATTATCCCAGGGCGCTTACCCTGAGCAAAGCTTCCTCTTCTCAGCTCCTACAGTTTGGCTGATGCTGCTCAAGAGTCCCCCACAGTCCTGGCATCTGGTTTACTTCTGGGAGGCATCTGCCCTGCTGAAAGACAGGAGGCGGCGGAAAGAACAGATAGAACAGGATCCCCGGGGCTCTGATTCTTAAGGGAAAGCAACATGACCTTGGCTGGTGGATCGGCTAACAAGAGGCTTAAATAGAGGCCCTGTTGCTCCCTACAAGAAGTTTGGACACACTGTGATGAGGCATTTGAAAGAAAACCTTCCGAGTACAGTGGGAATCTGTATCATAAACAAAAGAAGCCTTTGGTATGCCCTGTGTGCCCCCTGCACAGTGCACTCAGTACATAACTACAGACTGTTCTGCAAAAAAATGAAACAACTGGAATTTTTAATATCATGTCTGAGATTTCCTGTGAGAACATGGTGTACACGTTCTACTAAGTTCAAGGTGCGATTTTCCCCTAATTGTTTTCAATAGTTCCTTCCACTGTTAGCATCTTTCAGAAAAATATCAGCACATTGCTTTCCCTAGAGGGAATAGAAGAGAATAAAATCCCATGATTTAATCTTTAAAAAGTTGAGAAACAAAAGTCAAAAACATCCAAATTTAATGCTGCCTTTTCTAGCTTATGCATGTTACGTTAATATCTAAATGATGTCCAGAAGTATTTACTTGTGTCATATTTACAGAACTGGCTGACAGACTTTAAGAAACTTGTTTTGGCTTTTGTTATTAATGTTCTCAGGAACACTTGACATGAAAGTTCTGGTTTTCTATAAAACAGAGTTTTGACATTTTTGGAGAAACTTAAAATAGGTCTACTAGGTTCTGGTGAATTCAGAATATTCAGAGGACATAAAGCATGACTGATGAGGAGCATAGGATTTTGTGCCTCAGAGCACTTACCATTGATTAAAGGCCTTTAGGTTGGATTCTGACCTGGAGATAGTGTCCACTGACTTCACGGCAGTCTCTCTTCTGCAAATAGGGGTACTGCTTTTCCTCATCCTTATGGAAATGATATAGTGGGATGTGAAAACATGTGGTTTCCCCCTTGAAGTTCTAAACATTCCAAAAGTGTCATTTACTCACTAGATCCTTAATAGATCTTCCTTCTAATATGGATTTTTTAAAAAAAATTTAGATCACTCTTGCTTTCATGATTTGAGAAGGTGTTACTTAGAGAAATAAGGCAAAAGGAAAACTTTAAGATTGACATTTGTCTAGGGTGCCTCCAACATTTCTAGAACATTAGATAGATTATCACTCGATCTCTTGTTTTGAAAGCAAATTGGTTTCTAGAAGACCCACTTTGATGATGAGACCTGTGGAGGTTTTCATCACAGATGTTTATTTACATGGAGAAGAACCCCTGAACATGGTGACCAGATGAAAGGCAGCTCAGGGCTGAGCTCTCGGGACTCAGCTCTGCCATCAGCCACCAGCCACATTTTCCTCTGTGTTTATGAAAATGATGCACCCTTACACTCAATGCTACAGTTCTTGAGTCAGCATTGTGCAAGTTGATTATCCAAATTGGTCCATTCTTGTCATACCCAACTAAATCAGAGAAGAGGGGTCTGAGTAAAAGGCACTCAGGGTACATAACGTCACTCTAGAAATGCTGTTGTCTGCAAGTCCCGTGGCTGAAACTGCCTGTTGTAACCAGAGACCACTTTCATCTGTAGCAGGTGAGATAACAACTGCAAATCAAGGACTAGTTTTGCCCACCACAGTCACCCACCAATCAGACCTTACCAGCCCCCAAAACTTTGCTAATATCAAAGAACTTTCTCACAGGACCACAAAGGAACAGTCCTCTTTTTCCACCTTCGGACCACCCTGTCTGCCTCTATATTGTGAATTGCAATTCTTTCTTCCTAAATATTAAATTTAGAGATTCAGCTCTACATTTTTAATTTGCTTTAGAGAAGGTCAAGCAGACACTTGCCAAACCCTGTGGTTTCTTTGTCACTGTGTGGCTGGGTTCGTTCCTCTTCATTTTGTCCTCACTCACAGCTTCCTTTGTCTGAAGCTTCCTTCTCACTGACCCGCTTACCTCAGGTGGCTTCTCTTCTGTTGTATCTTAAGAGGTAGCTGCTGCAAGTCTTTCTTAATTCACTGGGGAATAATGGCAGCCTCTCCAGGCCTTCTGTGTCAAGACCTCAGTCCTGGTTTGCTGCAAAGCTCCTCACCCAGCCTTGCCAGATAGTCTTGTTTTGCTTTCTTCTTCTAGTCTTCAAATCCCACTCTGATTTTGAGATTCTTTTGTTAAAGCCCAGCAGCAAGGATGGTGGAGCGTGCATTGGGTGTTTGGGTGGCAGGACAGCTGGTTTCTAGTCTTGGGTTGGAAAATACCAAGTGATTTGGCTTTGGGGAAATGACTCCCCTTTTTGGTGTGAGGGATTATTTCTAGTAAATTGTAATGAAGAGATTTCATATCAGTCAACAGAAGTGGTTCTGAGCATGATCACTAAGTGGGAGCGGGAGTCACAGGTCCTCAAGGCTTATCTCCTCCAGGGCAGTTTTATCTCTGCCCCAGGAAGGAAGTACGTGGTAATATATTTCCTGTTCTGGCTGCTGGTTGGAAGTTGTGAGGGTGATTGCCAAATGAATTCTCTATATGTAATCCAGATATCAACTGGCATTTCCTGCTCCTGTGATCTAGATAAGAGAGGCCTAGCAAGCAGGCCACTTGCCGTAGATGCCGAGTTTATGGTCCGCATCACTTTTTTATGTAGGCTGAACCTGGCCCACATGACGTCTGCCCAGATATAAAATTCCACCTCTTCCTTGATTTCCACCTAAAATGTCACTCACCTGAGGCAAGGATCCATGGAGATTTGAAGGAGACATGTGAGAGTACGCTTCAGAAAGGCACGTGCTCCTAGTAAATGTTAAATACTGAGATTCTTAAATGTTTCCTCATGCCCAAGTCTGTATGTTCTACATCCTTGAGAGGGAACCTAATAAAAGGAGTTATTTTTCTTGACAAATGGAGTTTATAAAAAGGACTTTGAGATCTTTCAAAATATGATCTAATATAAGAATCATTTATTTTTGGAAACACATTTGTTTATTCATTCACAGTTACATTCATTCATTCTAGGCTTTTTTGGTTTGGCCTCTACAGAAGAAATTATAAAACTGGTTCAGTACTGCCCCCCATCAGATACACTAATTCCCCAAATAACAGAAGCCAATGATTTCTGCATGTGAATTGTCCAGCTTTTAAAGTCAGCCATTTGGCCATCTGTGGCCATTTGGTGATGTGTTACTTGTGTATGGACTGCCAGTGTTACTAGTGTGGTCTCGATGGAAGGTAGCTCTTCAAGGAAGTAGTAAAAGCCAAACTGCACAAAGCAAATCCTGTAGCTGACAACAATGTGCCCAGGCTTTTCCAGATTTGCTCTAGTTATTCCAATAAGCACTATTCAAACTTATAAACAGATGAAAGGAGAAAAGAAAGGAGCCTTTAAAGACAAAAAGAGGGCTTCTTTCTGCCAGTGAAACATTTCTCAGGTAAGATCACATCATCTGCAATATGGCTTGCAAATGTGTGTTTAAGATAATTTTTGGAACAGCCTAGACCAACCAGTTAAAGTGACTAGGGGTTAAACTCCAGGAGGCACAACAGAATATATATGTCTATATATATATATACATATCTTCACACCAATACACACAAAAACCTTTTATCTCTTTATTTGTTATTTCACAAACCCTAATAACTCTAAGCTGCATAATATCTCTCTTAATGATATAGGCGTTAAGAAGAAACTGCTTAGGCAGATAGTGAGGGTATGGGAATCCTCATAGGTTTTGCTTTTTAATGAAAAGCAGCCCCAAAATCATTGTCTAACAAAGATCAGCCTGTAAGATGGAGCTGCAGACATAGAAAAGCCAGCGGCAAGCTTGCATGGGTGAAGGGCAGCAGGAAAAAGCTACGGGGACTAGGCATGTTCAAAACGGAGGCTCCATCTCCCCTTTCCTTTGCCAACCACGTGTACAGGAAGGAGCAGACAAGATGGCACCAGTCAAGTGGAAAGTCCATTTGCATAGTAAGATTCGGATGGGGTGGCCAGCCTTCTCCGCATGCCGTGTAAACCTATGTAAGCTCTAGGGAAATCAGACACCGCCTCCTCAAGCCTGCCTAAAAAATCCTGCACACTCCTTGCCGGCTGGTCTTCCCTTTGGGAAACTCTCTCTCTCTCTCTCACTAGAGGGAGACTATTCTCCTTTCTCTTTCTTTTGCCTATTAAACATCTGCTCCTAAACTCTTCCTGTGTGTTTGTGTTCTAAATCTTCCTGGCACAAGACCATGAACCCTGGGTATTTACACCAGATAACTTTCCATATGATTTGTTGAGCCTTATATGCTAGGCACTGAGTTAGGTACTGACTACAAAGAGTTGAATTTGTTGTAGTTTTCTAAAAACCTCATATAATTTCCTTTGAGCTTGACCCTTCCTGTTGAAGTCCAGCTGACATTTTGGTGAGTGTTTCTCTGTGGACTGATTCACCCCGTAGATAACTAGGCAGGAGGCCTGGACAGAGCTTGGGAAGGCTCTGCCTGCAGTGGGTGTGCAATGGGAGGAAGGTTTTCCCCATGAGCCTCTTCACTTAGGGTCCATTTGAACGGGACGTTTATCTCCCAGCCCATCTTCAGGGGGAATCTGCCGTTGGTGAGTGGAAACAAAGGGCAGGAGTTGGGGTCTCACCACTGTATTGTCCATACCACCACCATCTCTGGAGCCAAATTCCCAATCTGCTTAAGGCTTCGTCTCATATTGCACGTCCCCCACACACTGATCTTCCAGGTCTGTGAAGCATTGAAACACTTTTCCATTTCAGGGCTGTTTGTGCTGTTTCCTCAGCTTCAATTTTTCCCCTTCCTGAAGTTTCAGGGAAGCCCTCTCCGTTTAGACCTGACCATCAGAGAGGCATTTCCTGCCCCTCTCCGTCAGTCCCATTTTTGTTTTTACATAGTGCGTTCATCAGTTTTTATTTATTATTTGTCTATTCAGCACTTTTTTTTTCTGTTTGTCCTGTTTTACTTTTCCATTAGAATATAAGCAATGAGAGGACAGGGCTGGGTCAGGCTTGTTTGCTATTATATTTGCAATACTTATCTTGTAGGCAATTAATGAATGTAAATAAATTACCTTCAATGCTATGAATTATAATAGTTGCATTTGCTTCTTCACACAAGTGTCCCACGATTACCATAAGCTTGTATGTGTGTTTAGGTTCTTTTTTTCATAGCATTTCCCATAAGATGATTATCTGAGTCAATGCATTGCTTAGGGTTCACCGGAGAAACATGTGTGTGTGTGCGCATGTGTGTACATGTCTGTGTAGGAGGGTGAGACAGACAGAGATTTCATTGAAGGAATTAGTTCACATGATTATGGAGACTGCAGGACCAGAATCTGTAGGATAGACCAGCAGGCTGCAGACCCAGGAAAGGGCCCACGTTGCACTTCTGAAGGCCGCCGGCTGGCAGCATTCCCTCAGGATTGCGGGAGGTCAGTTTTTGTTCTATTCAGGCCTTCAACTGATTGGATGAGGCCCACCCACATTACAGAAAGCAATCAGCTTTACTCAAAGTCCCCTGACTGAAGTATTAATCATATTCCAACACACCCTCACAGAAATGGAATATATAACAATATGTGACTAGAACAGTGTTTGACCACCTATCTGGGTGCGATGGCCTGGGCAAGTGGTCACATAAAGTGAGCCAGAATAGACAACCTGAAACTTTAATACCAACAAGCTTGTCCTGAGGCCAGGACACATCTTCATCCAGGTGGGGTGAGGGGCTTGCCATGTTCCCACAAGACCTGTGATTTTCAGCAATCCTTAAGTCTCTGAGGTTCAGATGCCTTGTATATATAACAGGCAGATTAGTCTAAATCCAGAGATTGCAAACTGTAGCCCCCAGGCCAGATCCAGCCCCTCCTGCTTATATGTGGCAACACAGGCTGAGAATGGTTTTTATGGATGAACATTTGGGATTAATTTGGTTCTAGGGAACTAACTTTGAACTTCCAATAAGCAAAATGTTATCTCCTCCTCAAAGGATTCCATTTATCTCTTTTGTGGGCCTGTATTATCAAAACAAACAAAAACTAAATGATTATGTTATAGTTTGAATTTTGTCAAGAAAAATGTTGTGGAAATTTATTTTATCTCTTCTTTTATTAGTATTGACATAATATCTTTGATTTTTGTCTCTTGGCTCAGGAAGCCTAAAACATTTACAATCTGATCCTTTATAGAAAAAGTTTGCCAACCCTTGGTCCAAATGCCTCATGTTTTCAAGTCATGACATTCTGTGTGCCTAGGTTCTCGTGGAATGTAACACGCTACAGGGATCAGCCGTTTGGTGAGTCTGTGGTAAACCTTTTATTGAAAGAGCAGTGTCTTAGATGAAATGAGCTTTGAACGATTTGGGGAAGTAGAGCGATGGCGGGTGGGGAAAGACTTTCTGCTGCAGACAAAGGTTCCCTACATGTCTGCCCTGATCCTGCACCTTTGTGCCCTCTGAACAATGAAGACAAGCCAGGCAAACCCCAGTGATGCTTTAACCTGCAGCTCGGGACAGCCTCCACTCTGTCTCAGACTCGCCCGGCTGTGTTCCGGCTTCTGCCTGGGGTTCAGCCACGGGCTCACCTGTCCTTGCAGCAGAACCTCTGTCTTTGGAGTTGGTGCTGGTCTTTGAGTCATTTCTTTGGCTGTGACTCAGTCAAGCCTGATTGGATTCAGACCAGCATGAAGGGTCCTACTGCTCCTAATTCTCCCTCCCAGCTGGGCCTGCTTCAAATCCTCCAGCATTCAGCCCAGCAAACCATGATCTAGCCCAACACTCCCTCTGGGCATGTGCCTCTCCAAGATGCCGCAGGCAGAGGAAGCTGAAAGGCTGAGTGAGCCTCCCATTTGAACGTCTGCTTTTTCTAGGGCAAGCTGTTCTTTTCCATACCTTGTTTGTAAGACAGAGAAGGGGTCTGCCTGAATTGTACCGGGCACTGTGTTAGCGCTCCATGCAGATGGGCCAGGTTGCTTTCACTCTTCTGAGATTAATAGTTGCACTTCATAATCACAGAGCCATTTCACAGTTTGATACCAAGCACCCATACAGACAATATTTGGAGTCAGTGAAGAGAGTTTTTGCAAATGTCTTAGAAGATAAATTAGCGACAGTGTGAGAGATCAGTTTGCACTGTGCTTCAGTTTTCCATTGCAGGCTCTTACTAACCTGATCCCATTACAGCTTTGAATTAGGAAATAAGCCTGAGGCACAAATAGCTGTGAAAGCTTTGTTTGGTTGAGGGTTTTGGAATTCGAATGCTTAACAAAAGTTTGCAAAATCCTGTGAAATTTCTTTCTTTTCTTTTCTTTTTTTTTTTTGCATTTCATTTACCTTGTCTTATTTGTTCTTTCTGTTCTCTCTAGTATTATTTTCAAATGCAATTAAGACCACCTAGTTCTGTCATTGGCTGGAATTCCCAGGAATCAGTGACCCTTTGATAGAGGTATGTGTGCCCTGCCCAGGGGACCCAGTGGGCAGCATGAGGCTCCCCTCTCCCCTTTCTCAACCAGCCTGGAGTATGTTGGAAATAAAACAGAGAGCTAAAGAATGTGGAGAAACTGCCGGCCTGAACCCAACTAGAGTGGAAAACATCCAAGGAAGGCCGGTGGCGCTGGGAAGTGAGCTGAGTCTCTTGGGTTCTAAAAAGCTGGAAGGATTGGAGCAGGAACCCAGCCCCACACTTTCCAGCTTGTTTTGTCGACAGGAATGTTTTGCTGGAGGAAAGGCCTGAGGAGAAGTTTGATTTTCTGTAACTCAAGTAGATTTGGAACATTGCTCTTCCTTTCCATTGCAAACAGTTTTTTCTTCCAATGCTGATATTCGTTGAGATGTTTAACTCCTGTGTATTTAAAAAAGAAGGGTATAAATACATTCAGATACTAAAAACATTATTTGCAGTTAATTTAAATATATATTAGAGTAATAAAAATTCGGAAAGTGATTGTAACGCTTACTTCACGTGTGGATTTAACTATGTGAATTGATCAGAAGCTGAGCTTAAATGGCAATCACTTCCTGAGCTTTGGTTGGGTGTCTCTTACTCCCTAGAGCACGGTTGGTTCCTTGCTTTCAGTTCAGATTGATTTGTGCAAAAGTGAACTCCTTGGCTTCCCCGTCAAGTGAGCCCCCACACAACTACTTTATTTTTTCGGCGATACCATCGTTCTTTCAGTTACCTGGACTCAGAAACTGGAGCTGCTTGTCATTTCTTTCTGTGCTCTGTCTTCCACGTCTTTACATTTCCAAATCATGTGAATGTATCCCTAGTGCCCCACTGGTGTTTCCATCTCCATGACCCCACCCTCCACCCTTATTCCACTGGTGTTTCCATCTCCATGACCCCACCCTTTACCTCTTACTCCAAATGGTGTTGGATGTTCCGTGACCCCAAGATCGGTGTGTTATCCGAGTGGTGTTTCGATCTCCACGACCCGAACCTGCCAGCCTGGTACCAATGGGTTTCCAGTGCCATGGCCCCGACCCCACCCTGTACCTCGTAGTGAAGTGGTGTTTCGATCAGCATGACCCCACCCTATACCTCTTATTCCCCTGGTGTTACCATGTCCATAACCCCACCCTCCACCCTTATTCCACTGGTGTTTCCATCTCCGTGACCCCACCCTCCACCCTTATTCCTCACTGATTCAGTAATCATGACTTCACGCTGAAGTCATGACTTCCATGACTGCACGCTTTGGTGTTGCTTTTGGTGCTTCTCTCACATATTTTAAACATTGATCCACAGAGCTTTCTTACACATTACACATTATTTTCCTCATTTTATAGATGAATCAACTGAGACACCAAGGAACTGATGGACTTGTCCAATTCACACAGATAGTTAAGGATTGAGGCCAAGACCTCTAGCCTGGAGGTACCTAGCACCTGGAGAGCAGCCTGCCTGGCTTGCTGTTGCCAGTAGTTTCTCCTCTTCAATGGGTCATGCAGAACCTTGGCCTCGTTCACTGCTCATAGCCAGGAGCTATGGACAAAGGCATTCTATTACCTACAGGGATAAGTCCGTTTGTTCCCAGACCAAACTGAGAGTCGGGCTGCTTATTCTCGTGGCCCAATAATGAGATGCAGATAAACTGGGAAAGAAGAGAGCTTATTTCTGTAACCGGGTACAGGGAGAAGGCCTGGAAAATACTGCCAGACTAACCAAAAATTACAAGGTTTACAGAGCTTATATACCTTTTAAGCTATATGTCTGTGTGTACTTGTGCATTCGTGTAAAGACATAAGTGATTAACTTACTCTAATCTGTAACTAAGATCTGAGTTTTGAAGCCCTTCCTCTGCAGCCTCAGTAAATTGACTTAATCTAGACGGGTCTAGGTACCGGGGGTGATTACATTTATCCTGTCTCCTGCTAAATCATGGAGGTTTGGGGAGTTCCTTTAGACCCCCAATAAAACATTTTTGTGGAGGTCTGGGGAGTTTCTTCAGCCCCCCAATAACAAGTTGTTTAATCCTAAACAGGTCCTGTTAAGAATTCCTTCATTATTTTGTCGCACTTCAAGACCTGGGAGAGGCCTGGGCAAAACTCCTGGTGGGCTTTGGTTACATTCCAGCCTTTGTATAAGGACACTGGCTCTCTCAGCTTTCAGTATGTAGCTCAACACTCAGTCAGTGCTGAGACAGTTGTTATGGAGGCCTGCCTGTTCAGCTGTTAGTGACACCTGGCCTGCCACAAAAATCTCCTTGGTTGGCATGAAATAGCCTCTCCAATCTGTCTAATTGACTTATCTGGTCTTCTATCACTCTTTTCAGCTCCTCAGAAACTCTGCTCCCGGCAGATGAGACTAATTTTTGTCCTTCAGCTCCACCTGCACCAATCACCTCCAAATTTCTGCTCATACAGTACCCTCTGCGTAGATGCCTTTCTTCTTCATGCTCGAGTCCCTTATTTTCATGGAGCCTTTCCTGTCTGCTCACACAGATTGTGTGCTCCTGTGTGACAAGAGTGGTCGATTCCGATTGATTTGTCCAGAATTGAACTCCTTGTTTTCCTCATCGCGTGGCCCCCACTTGTTGGAAACCTGAAAAGACTACATTTCCCAGACTCCCTTATGGGTGATGTTGGGAGCCTATGACCGTGTTCTGACCAGTGCTGTGTAGATGGAACGCTGGCCACTTCCAGAGTTGACCATAAGACACTACTCTCTTCTTTCCTCCTGTGGGAATCCAGGAACCCACATGTTCCAGGTGGCAGAGTTATAGTATGGAAGCAGCTCCTATCTCTGAGTTACCACTCGGAGGAGACCAACCAAGTAGGGCCACTGAAGGGACAATGACTTCGAATGAGAAAGACGTAAGTTTTATTTTAAGCCACTGAGATTTTGGGTTGCTTGTTATAGTGGCCAGCAAACATTGCTCTGACTAATTTGGCCTGCCTGCCTGGTTTGATATATCTCTCCACCTGGATTTTAGAGTTAATGATTGGCATGCCATTTATTTTTTACCTTTCTCCCTTCCCTATTTCTTTTCTCATTTTCTCCTTTATTTTCTTCATTCCCCATTTAATTTTTTGTTTTCTCGTTTTTTCTCCCCAGCATCTTTGAGGGCCCTATTTAATCTTAATTGAGAGATCACCAGGGAGACAAATTCTACTAATTGCAAAAATTGAATAAAAAATGGTCTGAGCTTTCAAGAAAGTGCCTGTTTAGTAAGAATTTTATAGTCTAGTAGTTGCTAACAATTTAAGCTGTTTGTCCCTCCATTACTCAGTTGTCCGGGCAAAACAAATGGTCAGAGACCAGTCACTGAATGCGGATTAGGGCTTTCCAGGTTCTCAGGACTTCACTGGTCTTGCATGATGTTGTAGGAATGGTGAGGTGGGGCCAAAATTTACTTTCTGATCAAACAGCCCATGTGTTCATTGGTTAGGTAATAAATATGATTAAGCCTCTACAGCCCTATAGGCTGCAGCACAGAGGAATTACAGGTAATCTTGATTTAGAGAGTGTGTTTGGGTAAGTGTTCCAGCTTATTTGCATAGCAAAGGGCTCTGCTGGGGCCACTGACTTTGTTCTCTGTGAACTCCCAATTCTCTGGGAAGCAGATAATATAGATTCCTCTGCTCTTATCAATTTCCAGTTGCATTCTTCCAAAGCACCAGGAGATTTGTGTTTGGCCATGATTTCAGTTGGCATACTTTGGCCCTGGGGTGATTTCTCATCATTATGATGTCAGCCTCCATTTTCATGCCAATGATACAGTTATACCTGTTTTTGGTTTTTGACATCCCTTCCCTTTCTTTGTCTGGCAGGCATTAAATCATTAATGTTTCAAAATCACATACAGCTGAAACTTTGTAAAACAGCATTTCTAGTAATGAGCTCCTTAAAATTGCAGAGACAATCCAGTCCTCTCTTTTTCTTGGCCTCCGCTGACCTCCAATTTCACTTCAAACGAGGATGCAGGGGGTTATCTTTGATTGATAATTATTTTTCCTGATCTAAGATGTATGAAAACCTGTCTTTTATCATGCAAACCTTGCTAGAATGCAGGTATTTCTCTCCATTACTAATGCAGGAAGATTTTCGTCATGATTTATGTCTTTCAGATTAAATTACTGGGAAACATGGCCCTTCCTGAAGGCTGGCTATCTCTACAGCAAAAATCGCTCCTTTGCTTTGACAGTCATGATACATCATTGCACCTCTGGCTAATTAGCAGCTTCTTCCCTGGTCTTATTTTTCCACTATGGGGATGTTTGCAAAACTTTTTTTCATGTCAAGCTTCCATTTTACCTTACCAAGCACTTCACCTAACTGCTGAAGTTTATCATTCACCAGGGAGACACTGCTGGAAACCCCCAGGAATCCCAGAGCGACTGTCACTGTATGATTTAGGAGACAGTCACGGAAAATGAGAAGAAGAACGTAAGCAGCTAACCATCATGACACGCACAGAACTCACATACATACTCGGTGGCAGACACAGCGGTGCCCTCGGATTAGCTCGTTTAATTCTTGCTACAACTTCGTGAGCTACAATCGGTTGAGAAATCTGGTTAAGAATTTAGAGATTAAATAACTTGCTAAAGGCCATAGAGCTAAAAAGCAGCAGATATGGGTTCAAATACAGGCATGTCTGACTTTGGTCACTGTAAGGGAGTAGCTGATTCTGTTCTAACCCCAATGCCAACACCAACAGAAATGCTCACTTAAACCATGGAAAGATCATTAGACATAACTAACAACGGGGGAAGTGCAGATGTATTTTGTGATGTGCAACCACAGATTTCAGAAGCCACTCCTATTAATATCTTATTTGTCATGAGTATAAAACTTCTAAGAATATAAGCACATTATTATATTGATTGTCACACAGAGCACAATGCAGAATTTAGTGGGGATGAATGTAATTAATCTATGAGGCTACGCCATGCCATGCCTGTGACTGGTGGTGGGGGGTCAGGAGTCTGAACAAACTGTGTGCTAAAAATGGGGAGAGAGAGAAGGAAGGAAAGAGAGAAAGAGAGAGAGAGGTGGGTACTTGTAATGTACAGAGTACAGGTCTGGCCTTCCCCTCACCCCTCAGGGCCCCTTAAGTGAAGGGGAATGGGGAAGTGAGAATGAATGTCTTCAAGAACCCACCAGGTAGCAAATGGGAGGAATGAAGGGCCAGGGCCAGGGCCAGGGCCTCCCCCACTGCATGGGAAACCACACTTGTCATGGGAGGAGCTTCTCCTTTATGGATACTTTGAGACTCTGCATTATTTTCTAATTCAGGATAATAAATCCAGCTCCCTCATGACTTTCCCTCATATTATCTGCCTTTCGTAATCCCTTGTGTCATGTTACATGTCACTTCTCTTCCTAATCTCCATGCTCCAGAACCCCCCAGGAATTGTCATTCGTGAATCCTTGGTTAATTAAGTCTTTTAATGTCTTTATTTTTATATCTCTTTTCTATTTCATAGGAATAGAACATAAGATATTATATATATGTAATATATATAAAATTATGCTCACACACATGCACACACATGTTGTACTAAATGTAAGAAGCACTTTGACCTCTGCAATTGAAAAGTACTTTTTGAGGTGACAGAATTTTCTGTTAGGCTTTGCTGAGCCTATTCACACGTCTGAGGTGACCTATTTTTCTGACTGTGTCTCAACACTGGCACTGATATGTTTTTCCAAGGATTTTTCATTGATATTTAAAAACTATTGTTACACTCCCTTTCTGCTTTAGTAAACAGATGATAATACAAACTTTCCTTACTATTTCAAGTCCACCATTACAACTTACTCTCCTATACTTTAAATGTAGGTTTTTGGCTGATTCTACCATATTGTGTTCCCTTAAGTAAGTTCTGGATTAATTTTTTTTCATTTGCTTTTTTCTCATAAATGTACAATGAGAATGAGCAGCTGCAGGGCTTCCCGGGCATCAAAGCATCTCAGCCATCAAAAGTCACCATATTCTCCAAGAGTGACGTCTTCTCAGTCAAAGTCACCATATTCTCGAAGAGTGACATCGTCTTTCAGTCACCTCCTTGTGCTTCACCCCACCACACTCCTGCCTTCTTTAGCACCTGTGTTTGGACGGCCCTCATGGCCTCCATATTCTCCAAGAGTGACGTCGCCTTCTCAGTCAAAGTCACCATATTCTCCAACAGCGACGTCGTCTTCTCAGTCACATCCTTGTGCTTCACCCCGCCACGTTCCCGCCTTCGTTAGCATCTGTTCACCCCGCCACATTCCCGCCTTCGTCAGCATCTGTTCACCCCGCCACGCTCCCGCCTATGTTAGCATCTCTTCACCCCGCCGCGCTCCTGCCTTCCTAAGCATCTGTTCACCCCGCCGCGCTCCCGCCTTCGTCAGCATCTGTTCACCCCGCCACGCTCCCGCCTTCGTTAGCGTCTCTTCACCCCGCCGCGCTCCCGCCTTCCTGAGCGTCTGTTCACCCCGCCGCTCTCCCGCCTTCGTCAGCGTCTGTTCACCCCGCCGCGCTCCCGCCTTCGTCAGCGTCTGTTCACCCCGCCGCGCTCCCGCCTTCGTCAGCGTCTGTTCACCCCGCCGCGCTCCCGCCTTCGTCAGCGTCTGTTCACCCCGCCGCGCTCCCGCCTTCGTCAGCGTCTGTTCACCCCGCCGCGCTCCCGCCTTCGTCAGCGTCTGTTCACCCCGCCGCGCTCCCGCCTTCGTCAGCGTCTGTTCACCCCGCCGCGCTCCCGCCTTCCTTAGCGTCTGTTCACCCCGCCGCGCTCCCGCCTTCCTTAGCGTCTGTTCACCCCGCCCCGCTCCCGCCTTCGTCAGCGTCTGTTCACCCCGCCCCGCTCCCGCCTTCGTCAGCGTCTCTTCACCCCGCCGCGCTCCCGCCTTCGTCAGCGTCTCTTCACCCCGCCGCGCTCCCGCCTTCGTCAGCGTCTCTTCACCCCGCCGCGCTCCCGCCTTCGTCAGCGTCTCTTCACCCCGCCGCGCTCCCGCCTTCGTCAGCGTCTCTTCACCCCGCCGCGCTCCCGCCTTCGTCAGCGTCTCTTCACCCCGCCGCGCTCCCGCCTTCGTCAGCGTCTGTTCACCCCGCCGCGCTCCCGCCTTCGTCAGCGTCTGTTCACCCCGCCGCGCTCCCGCCTTCCTTAGCGTCTGTTCACCCCGCCGCGCTCCCGCCTTCCTCAGCGTCTGTTCACCCCGCGGCGCTCCCGCCTTCCTTAGCATCTGTTCACCCCACCGCGCTCCTGCCTTCGTTAGCATGTGGCTTGTCTGGACGGCCCTCAGCCTCCTTCCATTTCAGCATTGTCATCATCACAGTGCTGTGCTACTTGCCTTATTTTTCTCCTTGACGTCTCCCTTGGCTGATTTTTCTTCTCTCTGAATCATTTAAACACATTTCGTCCCCCCTATTTGATCCTATTGTGTCTCTTCCTCTACTTGAAAAATTCTCCCTAAAATGGGTCCTCAGGACTTCTCTCTTGAGTCTATATATTGTCTGTGATTTTTGCACTTTATGTATATGCACCTCTGATAAAGAATTTCCTTTGAAGTCTAATCAGCAGCGTCTCCTTATGCAGTGCACCCTCTTTCTTCATCTGGGGATGGAGTGCTCCTCCACAGTAAGCTATGGTGTCTGGCTATCCAGCAGCTGGCTTCAAGCATGGGACTCTGAGGGGACTCCTCTTTGGTCTTCCCATTATTTCACATATTTACACAGTGCAGAGGGATTCTTCCTGGTCCACGGGTCAGAGAGGAGAATTCTAGTGTACTGCATCTAGTCCTTTCACTCGTATCCAGGTTCACCTGGGCTGCTAACCCACTTCCTAATTGACATAAATGGATCCTGGCTGTGCTCATGGCTAGCTGCGCCTTTCACCTGTGAAATTTCGTTACGGGAGTTTGTGAAGTAGCCATTTCTCGGAGGCAAAGACAGAATTGTCCCAGAAATACAGAACACTTGTTATTAGACGGGCTTTTACAATTTAATTCTTGGAATGTTGCTCTCCATTGAAGAATAGTTAATCATTGGTAGAAACATGTCAGTCGCACACTGCAGCTTATATACAGTCATGTGTAGCTTAATGACCAGGATTTGCTCTGAGAAGTGTGTCTTTAGGTGATTTCATCATTGTGCAAACATCATAGAGTGTCCTTGCCTAAACCAGGATGGTAGAGCCTCTCACACACCTAATCTGTATGATAAAGTCTATTGCTCCTAAGCTACAAGCAGCAGGGTACTGTACTGAATACTGTAGGCAGTTGTAACACAATGGTAAGTATTTGTGTATCTAAACATAGAAAAGGTACAATAAAAATACAGTACTATAATCTTATGAGACCACTGTTGTACATGTGGTCTGTCATCGACTGAGACGTCATGGGGCACATGACCATATTACATGTTTTAGAATCAAGATTAGACTCTAAGCTTTCCAACAACCCTATTGTCCTGTTACTTGTTTCAGGGCTCAAAAACATTGTTGAGGCTGTGGCATGTTTTGTGCTATATAATCTGCTCATATTCCCTGAGATTTCTCTTGTGAAAAACTGTCCATGGCTTTGTTCTTGGACATGCTGAGCCACAATGTGGAACTTTCCCATAATTTACTATGCCAGTCACTGCAGCCCTTCTGAGAGGCTGGAGAGAACTCTGTTTCTTTTTCTGTTGTTTTTTTTTTCTATTGATATTTTGTTAAAAATGTAGGTAGACTTTCCCATCTTAAACTGATAGCAAAAAGAAGAGGCAAATAACAGAAGGAACTATCAACCACTGTTGTTGTTTCCATTCATGCTTATTCTTTATGAAATGTTTCTGTGCATGGAGGGAAAAAGGCTCTGAGAATACAGCTAGAACCCACCGTGCCCACGGAGACACTGGCTGTTTCCTGGCATTCTCTTTGGTGGTGGGAAGCATCTTTTCCCAGACTCACCTATGGTGACACAGACTCAAGTTTGAAAGCATCAGCACTGTTTCTGTCCCAACACCTGCCTTTTTCGGGAATCACACATATTGTTAGTGTTGAGATAACACATTTTGAACCTTTATTTTTATTTTCTGTGTGCCTTTATTGCCCAGAAAGTGTGTGTGTGAGTGTCTGTCTGTCTGTCTGTCTACGGTGAGGGGAGGTGGGAAGAGGGAGAGGGCAAGGAAGGAGAAGGAAGCAAAGACACTTAAGAAACATCACTTGCTTTGAAGTTAGTGCAAAACTAATATTTTGGGTAAAAAGCTTTTCCTTTGCCAGAGCAAATATTTGATTGCTTCAATTCTTCTAAAATATTCTGTTTTCTTCTTGTTTCAGCATCTAGTAAATTTTGGGCAGTCCTATTTAGCAAAAGAGAATGAATCCAATCAGCATGTCTCAGAAGGTACAGCAATAGGGTTGGAGGAAAAATAATGTATGAGAAAAGTGAACTGCAGTGTGCTTTTAACTCATTTATAACAGTTAATCAAACTAAATATCTGACTGGCAAATTAACCACTTTGAAGATATTTTGTCATGAGAGTGATGGTGGCGAAAGGTACAGGTGATACCTTGTATGTGCCAGTCAGCCATTTATCTTACTGGCCAGCCAGAAAATGGCTTTCATTAGTTATATAGCTTTATGGAACTAAACTCATTTCTTTGAGGTGTGATGGCACAATAAAGAGAATATTCCCATGCGACTGAGGCCAATCTTCTGTTTTGCCCAATAGGCCACTTTCCGAGTGATAGCATTTTCAAAATTTGAGGTTTGTAGGGCCAGTCGCTGAGGCCGATGACTGCAGGCAGGTCCCTTTTCCTTTGTTTGGGTCAGTGGCCCTGAGGTGAGCTGTGCTGCTCTGGTTCTTGTTTGGTTTATACACGATGGCATCCTCTGTTCAGGTCTAAGGTTTCATGTCTTCACCAGTAGAAACAGGATACCTTCTCAATTTTTAAATTAGAACTGCAAGTTTAATTCTTTATCAAACCATCTAAATATGATAACCCCAACCAGTAATTAAAATTCCCCCAGTTTAAAAATTGTATTCATCCCTGAGAGGTCTGAGAAACAAAATTTAAAACAAAAATAAACAATTTAAAATTTAAAAGGGAGCTCTCAGATTCTGTCTGTCTAAGCTTCTCATTTTAAAGGTGAAAACAATACAGTTATCACGTACAGCTCTAAAGGTTCTGTTGTCAGTGTTTTATATGTGTATGATGTGGGGTGTGTGGTGTGTGTGTGTGTGTGTGTGTGTGTGTGTATGAACTGATTCTTGTAAGCTGATGAGGTCGTTATGATTATTTATTTATTTATTTATTTATTTATTTATTTATTTATTTGAGACGGAGTCTCGCTCTGTCGCCCAGGCTGGAGTGCAGTGGTGCGATCTCGGCTCAATGCAAGCTCCGCCTCCCGGGTTCATGCCATTCTCCTGCCTCAGCCTCCCGAGTAGCTGGGATTACAGGCGCCGGACACCAGGCCCAGCTAATTTTTTGTATTTTTAATAGAGACGGGGTTTCACCGTGTTAGCCAAGATGGTCTCGATCTCCTGACCTCATGATCCGCCCGTCTCGGCCTCCCGAAGTGCTGGGATTACAGGCGTGAGCCACCGCGCCCGGCCGAGGTCGTTATGATTATTATTATCCCTGCTTTACAGGTAAGAAACGTAGGCCTCTAGGGGTTCATTTACCTTCCGTGGTCAAAGATCTAGCAGTGGCAGCAGCAGACGCAAGCGCAACCAGGTGTCCTCTGGAGGACTGAGGTCTCCACCACCTTGGAGGAAATCAAGACGCAGAGGAAGGAAGGCTCTTGCCAAGGCCATACAGCTGCTGGTGGCAGCAATTGCACTGAATATTGAAAATACATAAAGAGCAAAATTTAAATAAATAGCTTCATACGGGACAGACCATAATTGATCTTACTTTTCTCTTATTTATCAAGGTTTAGTTTGTTTTCCAATTTTGCTGTTAGAGAAAAATGTCCAGACATCTTTTAAACAAGTCTTGGCCTAAATTTGTTTAGATAAGATTTCTAAAAGGAATAATAATAATAATAATTATATATATATATATATATAGAGAGAGAGAGAGAGAGATGAATCCTCACTCTGTTGGCCAGGCTGGAGGGCAGTGGTGTGATCTCGGCTCACTGCAACCTCGGCCTCCCGGGTTCAAACGATTATCCCACCTCAGCCTCCCAAGTAGCTGGATTACAGGCATGCACCCCATGCCCGAGCCACCATGCCCAGGCAGGAATAGTAATTTATGTCCAAAGTTATACAGAGTCTTACCAAGAATGATTTTACTAAAATTCACTTTTACTAGCACAAGAATGAGCATTTCACTGTACACAATCCGTATTAAATACATTTATTAAAAATAACTGAACAAGCAATAATTTGAGAGGCATTTCAAAATTTGCTGTAATCTGTGTTTAAGTGGTTGTGAGATTAATTTTTGTTTTTCCAAGAATTTTTAATTCAATACCTTTATTCGTTTTTCTTTTCTTTCAAGTTTTTAAAAAATAAATCTTATCTATTAAAATATTAACTCTGTGACAGTCACATTCTTTGATTTTCATTCTCTCCAAATACTCTTCTATTCACCCATTCCCTGACTAGGGGTAGAGAGGTCACTTGTATGTGATGTCAGCACCTCTGCTGTCCTTCCTAATGTCTTGCTCCTTGGACTTGTGGACTCACATGGATCTTGGATTATCGGAATGACAGGCCAAGAAGGTAGGATGTGGGACGTTATCTTGGACAGCTTCCAGTAGTTCCACTTGTTTACACACTCTTTCTTTTTGTTCCTTATGCTGCTATTATATTTTTGAAAAACTTGTACTTCATACTGTAAGTAAGTATTTGGATGTCAAGTCTATTGCCCAGTAGGGAGAAACAATGACCTATCGGATATATGTGAATATATACATATATGTATACATATATGTATTTATATTGATAAAGGAAATATCTGTGTGTATATGCATTTGTGTATATATACATACAAATAAATATAAAATAAAAATGAATATATATCTTATGCAAACATATATTTTATAATCTATCGATATATTAATCTAAAATTATTATCAATTATATATCATAATATATACTGTATAAGTTAGGTATATTAATTATAAATGATTACTATTTAATAAAATTATCTAGATGATATGGTTTGGCTCTGTCCCCACCCAAATCTAATGTTGAATTTTAGTTCCCATAATCCCCATGTGTGGTGGGAGGGACCTGGTGGGAGGTAACTGAATCATGGGGCAGTTACCCTTATGCTGCTGTTCTCAAGATAGTGAGTAAATTCTCCTGAAACCTGATGGTTGTATAAGGGGCTTTCCCCTCTTTGCTAGGCACTTCTCTCTCCTACCCCTTTGTGAAGAAGGACGTGCTTGCTTCCCCTTCAGCCATGATTGTAAGTTTCCTGAGGCCTTCCCAGCCATGTGAGTCAATTAAGACAAAAACTTTCCTTATAAATTACCCAGTCTTGAGTATGTTTTCAAAGCAGCATGAGAATGGACTAATACACTAGAATATAAAAATATGAATAAATTTAATAACAATATACAACAATAATCATGTATACATACATATCTAAGTGTAAACATAAATATACAGTATTATTTGGGAAAACCTCTCAAACCGTGTTTCTTCTGCTCTGATACCACACATCAACAATCAACATAGAAGATTCTGGGATCCCAAATGTGTGAGGATTTTTTCCCACTGGCAAGCAAACAATCAATTCTGCAGCAGACACCAGGTGAGTGTCCTTCAATTCTATTCCAACATTATCTACCTGGAGACAGCATCAGATTCCACATGTTGGGGGCTCAGTCCCCAAGACTGCCCTCCACCCTGACACTAGTCTCCAGTCTGGGCTTCTGGAACTTCTGATTAATGGGCTTCAATTTGGGGTTCCCATGACTCCCTCTTTGGCTCAATTAATTTGCTGGAATGGCTCACAGAACCAGGGAAACACTTACTTGCATTTATCAGATTATTATAAAGGATATTGCAAAGGACACAGATGAAGAGATGCGTAAGTTGAGGTATGGGGGAAGAAGCAAGGAGCTTCCATGCTTTTTCTGGGCATCACCCTCTAGGAACCTCCCTGTGTCCAGGTATGTGGAAATGCCCCCAACCTTGTCCTTTTGGGGTTTTATGGAGGCTTCATGACATAGGCATGACTGATTAAACCATTGGCCATTGGTGCTCAACTTGACCTTCAACCCCTCTCCCCTCCCAGGAGGTTGATGGGTGGGTCTGGAAGTCCCAACCCTCTAATCCTTCCTTGGTCTTTTTGGTGACCAGCCCTACCTTGAAGCTATTAGTCAACATTAGCATGCAAAAAGACAGCACTTAGAGATTCTAAGGACGTTAGGAGTTGTATCTCAGGCAGGGGGAAAACAGAAGGAAGGCCAAATATATATTTCACAGCATCACAAGTGCATATGATATAGGAGTTGAAAAGAAATTACTTAGTCAGTTAGTGAGGGTACAGAAGTCCTCAGTAAAGTTTTCCTTTTAATCAAAAGTGGCCCCCAAATCATTATTTTTCTAACAAAGAGCAGCCTGTAAAATCAAGCTACAGACATAAACAAGCAAGCTGAAAGCTTGCATGGGTGAATGCCAGCAATTGTGCCCATAGTTATGTACTACCTGGGCTAGGCATGTTCAAAATGGTGGCTCCATTTTCTCTTTTTGCCAGCCACTCTATTGTAAGGAGCAGACAAGATGGTGAAGGTCAAGTGGAAAGTCCATTTGCATAATAAGATTAGGGTGGGACTACCAGCCTTTCCCGCCTGCTATGTAAACGTCCCACCTGGTCAAGCCAATCCATGAGCCCTAGGGAAAGCAGACACCACCTCCTCAAGCCTGCCTATAAACTCTGCTGTGGTCTGACACTGTCCCCCTTTCTGACACCTCTCTCTCACAAGGAGCTGCTCTCCTCTCTCCTTTCTTCTGCCTATTAAACTTTCCACTCCTTAACCCACCCACATGTGTTCATGTCCTTAATTTTCTCAGCACAAGAGGATGAGCCCCTGGTACTTACCACTGACAATGATGCTGCTTCACATATAATGTAAATATATATTTAATAACCTACATATTTCTACATATATTGATGTGTACACACACACACACACACACACACACACACTCAAATGTGGGCCATTACAGATGTTAATTTCTAAAAGAATGGTGCAGACAAATGCCGCGATTGAGGAGAGAGTGCTTTGAGCTTGGGGCTGGACAGGCTTAGCCTGGCACGAGCACTTGCAGCCTTGCACTGAGGAATGGGAAGTCCCCACAGACTGAAAATCTTCAGGGAGGACATCCTTAATAAGTTCAGCCAACTTTTTTCTGAGCATATCTTTCCCACCAAAAATCACTTTCCAAAGGTTCGTGTCAGGTAACGAACACAGCACGTTCTCGAGAGAATAAGCTAGTTTGAATTAGAGGGTTAATTTAGGTGAACAGTGGCAAAATTGTGGCAATAGTGAGTTGCGTTTTGAAGTGTTGTAATTTTTGACTTGTTAAATAGGTTTTAACCTTTGGCAGGAGTAAAGAGCCATTGGAGGTTTCTCTGGAGGAGACTGACCTGCACAAATTATTTTTGTAATAAAGAATTACATTAGAAATAGAAGTTAGATGGACTGAGACAAAAACTTGAGACAGGGAAGCTAAAGGAGAGTGGGTGGCATTATCCTGGGTGAACCGCAAGGAGGGTGTCGGGGTGGCTGTGTGAGGCATCCCTAGAGGAGGGCTGGGAGCTGACTGCATGCTGGGATTCAGATGGGAAGAGTCAGATGACTCCATGTTTTATAAACATGTAGTTGACAGAAATAGCACAGTCAAGAAGGAACTTTGGCTTTGAGGAAAATACATGATCTATTTTGTGTAGGCAAAGCAGAGAATCAGGTGAAAAGCTATCACCTTCTTTTAACTTGTTAACAACTCTTATAAAATCTGCCAGGGACAGGGACATAAATGATGGTAATACACATAATTATTATGGGGTTTCAGGAATCTGTGTTTCTCTTTTCCCTATTAATTCTGAAATATGGCGAGGCTGTGTTCAGATTTCAAAGAAGCACTAATTCTCTCAGGTCATTCTTTACAATCTGCGGCCATATTTTTCCACTAGAGCAAACCATTTCCTTTTTACCGGCTTTTTCCCTCCCTCCCTCACTCCCTTTCTCCCTTTCTTTTTTTCTCTCTTTCTTTTCATCTTTCTCTTTCTCCTTTCTTTTCTTTTGGTCTTTTTTCTCTTTCTTTCTCTTTCCCTTCTTTCCTTCCTTCTTCCTTGATTCCTTCCTTCCTTCCTTCCTCCCTTCCTTCTTTTTTCTCTTTCTTCTTTAGAATACATTCAACTCTGGTTTACACGCCCTAAGAGTTAATAGTATTTAAAAGTTGATACCCTTATTTAGTCAAAATAACAGTTGGGACTGGTTTAGTTTCTAACACAGGTTTCCCTCTTGTCTCCATTGGCAATATTGGTTGACAAATTGTCATAGTGCCTAAACTAATGAAATAGCTCTTTATGATTTTGGAGGAGACACCCTACAGAATTTGTATCAAATGAATTGTAACTCCTAAAGGTTTACTGTGCTTTTTGGAGGTGCTATATAAATGCCAGAGCCTCAGGGCAAGATCACTTATCATCTAAGGTGGGCTAGGGAGATCCTTCAGCTATTCCTGCTTCAGGAGAAAGGAAGCTGGCTTGAATAACCCACACACCAAGGTTCATAGTTGATTATTATGTCATATCTGAAGATAGAATGTTTTGGTTTTATTTGCTAGAGTAAATAATCAAGCAACAAAAGTGTGAAGGGGACTCCCTTTAATTGCTTCCACCCTCTACCATAGACCTCTTAATAAGACAAGAACATAAAAAAGTAAACAATATTTTAATTTCAAATTTCTGGTTAACAAAAAAATATTGGAAATTCTTACTATTGGGAAGAGAATTTCTACTTCCATGTCCTGGAAACATAACAAAGGCAAAAAAAGAATATTTGGGACAATGTTTAAGTTTTACATTTTTCCAACTTAATAATGAAGCGGTGACATTGTCTGGTGTAAATACCTGGGGTTCATTGTCTCATGCCAAGAAAATTTAGGGCACAGACACTCATGGAGGAGTTTAGGAGTAGAGGTTTAATAGGCAGAAAAAAGAGAAAGGAGAATAGCTCTCTCTCTGGTGAGAGAGACAAGGGCTTCTGAAAGGGAAAGACTGGCCAATGGCAGAGTGCGCCAAGTTTTATAGACAGGTTTGAGAAGGTAGTGTCCGACTTATGTAGGACCCACAGATTGGTTATATCAGGTGTGAGGTTTACATAGCATGAGGAGAAGGCTGGCCGCCCCACCCTAACATTATTATGCAATTGGGCTTTCCACTTGACCGGTGCCATCTTGTCTGCTCCTTCCTGTACACGTGGTTGGCAAAGGGAAAGGGAGATGGAGCTGCCATTTTGAACATGCCTAGTCCCCGTAGGTTTTTCCTGCTGACCTTCACCCGTGCAAGCTTGCAGCTGGCTTGTCTATGTCTGCAGCTCCATCTTACAGGCTGCTCTTCTTAGAAAGTGACTTTGGGTCTCCTTTTCACTAAAAAAGAAAACCTTTACCGAGCACTTTTGTACCCTCACTATCTGCTCAAGTAATTTCTTTTTAACTCCTATATCAACAACAGGACTAAACAATGAATTGTAACATTTTAAAGTCAGGGTTGATTAAGGTATAATTTACATATGGTGACGGGCTTCTTGATATACTACCCCAAAATACGTTACCTTGGCACTTGGGGAAATGGCAGATGCAGAAAGGTCACTCTCACCTTTCCTTGCTCGTCTCCCATGAAACAGGTCATAAAATAACTCTCTGACCTTCCTCTAAAGTAGAAAATAAAACCTTCACTTCAGGGCTGCCCTCCCTATGTCCTAGGAAAGGAACATCTCTATCCTTCAAGACACAGAGCTGTCAAGTAGAATCTGAAGAAACAGGCCTTGCTCAAGTTACCCCAATTTATTACTATTATATCAAGGCTTTTGGCCTCCAATCATATTTCTCTACTATACACTTCTTCACCAAATTTAGCATAAAAATACACAGGTTTTGCTGTTTTGTTAGGCCTTCACTTGTGAAGTCTTCACGTTATGTGTAACTTGTGTTAAATAAATATGTATGCCTTTCTCTTGTTAATCTTGTGTTTTCGACTCTCAGTTATGAACCTAACAATGAAAGAGGAAAACAAATCCTTATCGTACTTCACGATCGCCGCAGTCATGATGCAGAATGTGTCCGTCATCCCCAATTTTCCCTGCCTCATGGCAGGCGGTCGTCTTTCCTGAGACCCAGCCCTGCAGCCACTCGTCTGCTTTCTGTTCCTAGTGTTGCCTTCTCTAGAATGGCATCTAAATGGAAACACAGTCTGTGCCTCGTTTCTTTCATGTAGACTAATATTTTTGATATTCATTCGTTCTTGATCGTATCAGTAGTTGTTTCCTTTTCATTGCTTCGTAGAGTTCAGGTGTATAAATGTACCAGAATTTATTCACCAGTTGATGGAAATTTTGATTTTTTTTTCTTTTCCTCCAGTTTTTGGCTAGTGTGAATAAACCCACTGTAATATTTGCATGCAAGTATTTATGGGTACATATGTTTTCATTTCTCTTGGGCAACTATCCAGGAGTGTGATTGCTAAGTCTTACAGGAAATATACGTTAAACCGTATAAGAAACTGACAAACTGTTTCCAAAGTGGTTATACCATCTTGCATTCCTACAAGCAATTTATGAGAATTCCAGTTACTCCTCATCCTCATCAGCATTTGGTATTTTCCACGTATTATAAATTTAATTAGTATTCTATGCATTGTTTCAAATATTATATATAACCTTGTGGGTTCTGTCCAGCTGCAGAGAATTATTATTATGGCCAATCCAAATCCTCTAGCTCAATTTTCATTATAGTTTGGAGGACAGGTTAGTGTTATGGAAATCATTATTTGCTTCTGCTTAGAGCAAAGGAATTAATTACAGCTCCTATTAGAAATTTTTTCTTCCTTTTATTAAACCAATATTGATTGATTGCCTATCATATGACAAATAC
The DNA here is from genome assembly GCF_000001405.40 of Homo sapiens. Classification (NCBI taxonomy): domain Eukaryota; kingdom Metazoa; phylum Chordata; class Mammalia; order Primates; family Hominidae; genus Homo; species Homo sapiens. The sequence continues at coordinate 9,716,952 of NC_000021.9, forward strand.
AAATAACATGTGATTCCTGCCTTCTGGGAATTCATGTTCCTGTGAGGGAGGTGGACCAATAAATACAATTGCAATATAATGTGGTTCATGCTAAATCTCAGAGGGGGAATGGCTACTCAGTTCAGCATGAGGCCTTTAGGTGTTATTAGTATTTCTCATATCTAAAAGCAGAACTGACTCTGGAATGGCAGGAAAATTGTTGAAGTTCATGTGGCTGAGAGGTTTTCATTCCCCCCTGACACCAAAGATGTGGTATCTTTTTCAGCATGGATTCTCCAATTCTCCAACATCAACTGAGTGTTCAACGATTCGATTCCATTCTGACACTTGGTTCCACAAGACTGTCTCCATTTCAGATGCCAGGCTACCCACATTTTTGCCTGGCTGACTACAAATCTGGAGGCTCCCTTGACATCTCCTAAATCTGGAGGTTCCCTTGACATCTCCTTGTGCAGGTTTCAAAACTCACTAGAATGACTCACATAACTCAGAGAAAGCATTACTTACTATGATTGGTTTACTATGATGAATGTAGCTCAGGAATAGCCACATGCGACAGATGCACAGGGTAAGGGATCAGGGGAATGTGTGTGCATGGGGCTCCCACATGCTCCCTGGATGTGCCGCCCTTCTAGCATCCTGATGGGCTCCTCAGCCTGGAGCTTCTCCAAACCCCATTGTTTATGGGTTTTAATGGAGGTTTCATTACATAGCATAATTGATCAAATTATTAACCATTGGTGATTGAACTCAATCTCCAGCCCCTCTTCCCTTTTCAGAGGTAGGGGAAGTCCAGCTGAAAGTTCCAACCTTCTAACCGCTTGGTTGGTTCCTCTGGCAACCAGCCCCTATCCTGAATCCATCTAGGGGCCCAGCAAGAGTCACCTCCTTAACATAGACTCAGTATTGTTGAAAAGGGCTTATTATGAGTAACAAAAGATACTCCTATCACTCCAGAAATGCCAAGGGTTTTAGGAACTCTATGCCAGGAACCAGTGTCAATGATCAAATATATTTTCTACTATACCATAGGAAGTCTAGCTTATCATCGAAAAAAATCATTCATGACATTTGTTAAAACAATAAGGCCGAATTCATTCAGGGGGATTATCTTGATAGGTAAAGAGACCACTGCCATGGGGTTTTACAGTAGGGTGAGAAATTGGACTCAGCTCTAAATCTATCAGAGACAAGTGAGGTTTTACAGCCAAGGGTGGGAGTCAGTAGGTGCCAAATTATGAAGAAAAAACCTCAGGAGTACAGGGGATTCTGTCTGAACTTATTCAGAATCCTGCAGGCACTAGAGTGCTGAGATATCACCTGGGGATGGTGGGGGAGTGAGGACATTGCTCAGAACACACGTTGAGTGCAGGAGGTTCTGTGGGGAGTGAGGAAATTGATCAGAACACTTGTTGAGGGCGGGAAGTTCTGGCTAAACTGACTTAGCAGGTTTCTGGCTCTTGGCTCTTGAGGACAAGGCCCAAGGATGAGACCTTGTTGAAAAAGTAGCTCAGAGGAGCCTGACTAGAGTTTGGTCAAGAAGAGAATCTTTGTTGCTATTTGACCCAAGGTTTATAGTCATTTGTCCCGAGCTCATTTCTTCATGGTAGTCTGTGTAGCTACTGAAAATGAGTTGGTTTCTAGTTTGGCCACCAATTCTCTTAACTCAAGCACAGCACTGGTAACATTTAGAAAGGGCTGGCACATATATCCTTTCATCCGACTGTGGCACCGACTGGCATCTCCAGGCTTCTGCGTGTACTTAAATCTTTGTTATACATTTATTATAGGACGTTCCATGGTTTATATGTTTTTATACTAAAATCTATATGCTTATCTGTGTGACTTCCTTTTGGGCAGAGACTGAATCACATTAATCTTTATGTCTTCCACTTTTAGTAAAGGGACCACCTTAATATGTGTTAAATGCAAAAATGAAATGCATCAATTTCCTGATCTCTAAAGCAGAACTAATAATTTATATGACCAGGAATCAAAATAATGTAAATGATTTGGGAGGCTTTAGTGCACAGAGAACAAGTCTGCATAACCACAGCAAAGCAAAATGTTTAATAGCCTTGTTCTGATAATTTAGGTAAGATATATGTGTTTTGATTCAGATAATCACCTGAATTTTCCAGTTTGTTTGAATGAGAAACTTATTGAAAAGAGAGACAATGATCACAGGAATAATATTAAAAAATGTAGGGAGAGTCGCGGGGCATTTTTGTTCACTTTACAAAACAGTTTGTAATTTGAGGGCAAATCTCTTAGATCTGTGGATGGAAACATTGTCTTCAACATAAACTTTTTTTTTTTTGAGATGGAGTCTTGCTCTGTCGCCCAGGCTGGAGTGCAGCGGCACAATTTTGGCTCAGTGCAACCTCCCCCTCCTAGGTTCAAGAGATTCTGCTGCCTCAGCCTCCTGAGTAGCTGGGATTACAGGCACACACCACCATGCCCAGCTAATTTTTTTATTTTTAGTAGAGACAGGGTTTCACCATGTTGACCGGGCTGGTCTCGATCTCTTGACCTTGTGATCTGCCCGCCTGGGCCTCCAAAAGTGCTAGGATTACAGGCGTGAGCCACCACGCCTGGCCAACATAAACATTTTTAACATTTATGTTTGTGTTTAATATCCAGAAAATAATATTTGTCAGAGTTATTGGCCAATGGGTTCTACTCGGTGACAACGGAACCATTCCGTTTCATGTGATTCATTATAGAGTTCCTCCAACATAGCAGGTTCTACTCGGTGACAACGGAATCATTCTGTTTCATGTGATTCATTTATAGAGTTTCTCTAACATAGCAGGTTCTACTCAGTGACAACGGAACCATTCTGTGTCATGTGATTCACTTATAGAGTTCCTGTAACATAGCAGGTTCTACTCGGTGACAACGGAACCATTCTGTTTCATGTGATTCATTATAGAGTTCCTCTAACATAGCAGGTTCTACTCGGTGACAAGGGAACTATTCTGTTTCATGTGATTCATTATAGAGTTCCTCCAACATAGCAGGTTCTACTCTGTGACAATAGAATCATTCTGTTTCCTGTGATTCATTATAGAGTTCCTCCAACATAGCAGGTTCTACTCTGTGACAATAGAATCATTCTGTTTCCTGTGATTCATTTGTAGAGTTCCTCCAACATAGCAGGTGTGCTTACCACAACACTCTCTCTTCCCTGCATCTGTGCACCTGCAGGAGTTTTGAGTACAATAGAGCAGGGGCAGTTAACGTGGCATTTCTTCCTCCCATTTTTCATGAGGGTTTTGAATTTTATTAGAAGTTCGTCAGGCACTATTTTCTGATTTTTTTAATGTAAAAGCCTTCTTTTAGATGTTTTGTTTGCTTACCTGTGCTTCCTTGCTTGATTGCCGTTCTTACACATCAGGATCTTGAATGGGTTTTCAGAGATTTACTTTGAGATCTGTTTCTCAAGCTCATTGACAGTTAGTTACTCTTGATGTCTCCCACTTTGTTAAATTTAGATGAAAATTCTCCTTGATTTGTTTTATTTTGTATTCAGTCACCCTTTGACTGAATACAAAACATTTTGAAACAAACATTTATTGTTTTCTAGGTTAAATGTTTTCTTTATTATTTTTCCTCATGGACAGGGTGCTTTGTTTCCCACTGCTTACATTGAGGGTTGAAATTCAGAACAGAAACAGTAAATCTTTCCAGTTCCACAGGAACGAGAATGGCAACGACATATATGAGGCCACGGTGGAGAAATAATGGGAAACATTTGAAACTTTAAGAATAAGACAACTGTAAGGGTTTATCACTTGTCATATTCTGTTTGGTATTGACAAGATACAACCAAAGGGATCCTCATCTGCTATGGTATATGGGAAGTTTATACACATTAGAGGAATGAGCAGGAGCAGAATGGAGTAAAGAAAGAATTTAGGGCGTTTAGGTGTTCGGAGAAAGCAGCAGTTTTTTTTGGGGGGGGGTGGGAGGAGAAATGGCTGTTGCTTTAGGGAAGAAAAGCATGGGTTACTGCCCTCCTTGCTCCTGTGGGGTCTGGAAAAATATCAGAGAATAAACACCTTCCCATCTATTTTTTTTCTGTCATTTTCTAAAGGTGACTTTATTCCATGGTAAAGAGTAAACTTATAGAATAAATCATGTCTAAGTGTTTAAGTGAAACATCTTTGTTTACTTCTCAGTTAAAATACAAAAAGAAGAAACCCGGTGTTCAAAAACAATTTCAGAACTCAAATTTACATTTCCCCTGGAACAATGAAGCTGCCATCATCCTGAAAAGTATTTTCCTGGAACAATGAAGCTGCCATCATCCTGAAAAGTATTTTCACAGGAAAAAAAGGAAGGTGGGACTAAATTTCTGGAACACAAATCAAGAGTTTATGTAACAACTAAGAAAACTGGAATATCCACTATAAACCCATCCAAAAAGGACCAACATACCAGGCTAAATATAGGAAAAAATTTCATTTAAAATTTAGAGGTGTTAGGATCAGGCCAATAAATAAGAACACTAATATGTCCTTCATAAAAAGGAAAGATGTCCATACATGACGTAATGTCTTCCACAGGAAAACAGTTGCCTTTATTAAGAGAAGTGACTTTTCAAGGCTTCTGGCGATCTTTCTTTTTTTTTCTTTTTCTTTCTTTCTTTCTTTTCTTTCTTCTTTCTTTCTCGCTCTCTCTTTGTCTTTCTTTCTCTCTCTTTCTTTCTCTTTCTTCCTTCCTTCCTTTCTTTCTTTCTTTCTTTCTTTCTTTCTTTCTTTCTTTCTTTCTTTCTTTCTTTCTTTCTTTCTTTCTCTTTTCTTTTTTTTTCAGATGGAGTCTTACTCAGTCACCAGGCTGGAGTGCAGTGGTGCGATCTCAGCTCACTGCAACCTCTGCCTCCCACGTTCAAGTGATTCTCCTGCCTCAGCCTCCCAACTAGTTGGGATTACAGGTGCCCACCACCATACCTGGCTAATTTTTGTATTTTTAGTAGAGATGGGGTTTCACCATGTTTGTCAGGCTGGTCTCAAACTCTTGACCTCAGGTGATCCACTGCCTTGGCCTCCCATCATTCTGGGATTACAGGCTGACGTCAGCCACTGCACCCAGCCCTAGTGATTTTTTTTTATGTGACTCGTAGTTTTGAAAAGTGCTGAAATAAAGTAAAATTTTTACTTAGCACAGAGAGGGGTTGATTTTCTTTTTCTCTCAATGGTGAGTCGAGTTTCTTTGAATAGTTTTGCCTTTACCTGATTCCACTGGTTTCCATGTATTTATAATTTTTTTTGGAGTCTGGCCTTGAGAAAATTTTCAAGGTAACTAATATTCACGAAGCACATATTGATCACACTGCCAAGCATTGTGTTTGGGATGGAGAGTCACAGATGAGAAGAAATGGCCTTTGGGGAACATGGAGTCTCATGGGAGCAGGAGAGGTGAAAGCAGTTGCAGCCGATGAAATTCGGGGCTTGACACCACAAAGTACGACACCTTGGCATTTGAGAAAACCACAGACGCAGGAAGGACCCTCTGACCTTCTCCCATCCCTCTCCCCTGAAGCAGGTGATAAAAACTAGAAAAGAGGCAGGGCACAGTGGCTCATGCCTGTAATCTCAGCACTTTGGGAGGCTGAGGCAGACGGATCACCTGACGACAGGAGTTCGAGACCAGCCTGTCCAACGTGGTGAAACCCCATCTCTACTAAAAATACAAAAATTAGCGGGACGTGGTGGTGGGTGCCTGTAATCCCAGGCATGGGAGGCTGAGGCAGGAGAATCCCTTGAACTCAGGAGACAGAGGTTGTAGTGAGCCGAGATCATGCCACTGCACTCCAACCTGGGCGATGGAGTGAGACTCCTTCTCAAAAACAACAACAACAACAACAACAAAACTAGAAAATAATTTTCTGACCTTCCCCAGAATTAGGTCATAAGATCCTCATGTGAGAGGTGCCCACCTCATATCTGGAAGTAATGAATGTCCTTGTTCTGAGGACATGAGGACAGAGAAGAATCTGAGAAAACAGGCCTCATTCAAAAAGTGTTGCCTTGGTTTGTTACCATTAGGCCCTTCCTCCTTTTTCCGATGATACTTCTCTACAGCTATCCACGAAGTCACACCCAGCATCAAGATGCACAGATCACTCTGTTTCTTTGGGTCTTCATTTTCCAAGGCTCTCATGTCACATGAGACTTACTTTAGTAAATCTGTACGCTTTCCACTTGTTAATCTGTCTTTTGTTACTTGGGCTTCAGCCGTGAACCCAGTAATGGCTGAGAAAGGAAATATTTCCTCCAGTGTCCAGGCCACTGTGATATGCGCAATGAGGGGGTCTGAGTAGAGACCCAACTGAATCCCATCTCTTCATAGAGACACAAAACCTTTATTTAGAGCAAATAAAATATCCCTAAATCTCCACTGTAACCTGAAAAGACAAAAGCTATTATGATATGGACAAAACTAAGCTCAGCAAGAAAATGCTGTTGGTGTGTCTACTTTTTCTTTGGTTTACTTTCTCATTGGAAAATGCAATATGGTTAAACACTTTTCCCCACATAATCTTTTTCTGATGTAATATTTTGTCTTCAGCCCCATGAGACTTCAAGATCTTAACATAAAGTTGAAAACCTTGAGAGAGTTACTTGTATTCCTGTGGGGTCAATAGAAAGCCTTTCCTATGGGCCTTTCTGAGGGCAAACATCTAACATCTGTGGGTTTCCAGGACCTCATGATGTAGTCTAAAGTCTTCCCTTTTTTCTTTTTTTCTTTGAGACAGAGTCTCGCTCTGTCACCAGGCTGGCATGCAGTGATGCAATCTCGGCTCACTGCAAGCTCTGCCACCCGAGTTCAAGCGATTCTCCTGTGTCAGCCTCCCAAGTAGCTGGGACTACAGGCATGCGCCAAACACGCCAGGCTAATTTTTGTATTTTTAGTAGAGACGGGGTTTCATCATGTTGGCCAGGGTGGTCTCAATCTTTGGGCCTCATGATCCACCCGCCTCGGCCTCCCAAAGTGCTGGGATGACAGTGTGAGCCACTGCGCCCAGCCTAAAGTCTTTTCTACCTTCATAAAGGTTGACGAAAAGCTCAGATTTTTCCACAAATGAGCTATTTGAAAGCCACAAACACAGACTAACACCTATTACAGTTGTTTGGTCAGTAAATAAAAATTACTAATAATGTGGGAATTATTATCTTTTTGACTGTGGGAGTAAGTGCTTCTCTGGTACAGGTTTCCTGTTATCTTTATGTGGGCAAAAGAAAGACATAGACACACACACACACACACACACACACACACACACACACCCCAGTTGACTGGGATTCTGAAAACCAAATTCTCATTGTTATTCTGACAGCCTCTTTTCACTTTCAGTGTTTTTGTTGAGATGAGGCTTGAATGTAGTGTAGGGAGGATTTCAATTGTGCAACTGTCTTTGGCTTTATACAAATTTTTAACCAATAGGAAACTTCTCAAGGACAAATAAAAAAGCAAAGAGAAAAAGGTGCTGTTAGACCTTCAACAGTAAGTCAGTTTCACAATACTATTTTTAAATTTCCTATTAAAATATCACTCTATTTCTTAGTATATCACTTTGGCATATCTGCTTCTTTCTCTGTATTAATAAATAGCGCATACAGTTTGCCTTTGGTACTTTGTACAATGTTGTTTATCTCAGTGTAAATTGGTAGCGTGTCCACAAAGGCGATTGGAGTGTGAGGCGTGAGTCCTTAGGAGCCTGTCTGCCATCTAAGCCCTGTTAGCATTTTCCTTTACTAATGTTGGGGTGGGGGGACCTCAGAAGGGGCACAGCAAGCATATGAAAGTTTTGTTACAGAGATGCCAGTATTTGTCCTTAGAACAGGTCCAGTTGACAAAGGCACTGCAGGATATGAAAGATTCTCATTACAATGTCACGGCAACATGACTGAAATTATTAACTCTCCACGTGGGATGATGGATGGTATAGGGTGGAGATGTCCTTGGCAGAACATGTTGCTTAATTATCTTCTTTTAGTACCAGCTTACTGTCACGTTCCTATGATCGAGTACTATTCCAAATGAATTCATAAAGAGAGAATATTTAAAGATCTTATCCAATAAAAGAGCAGATTAAATGTCAGATCTTCATTAGTGGTTCTTTAATCAAGTTCTTTTTGTGGTTTTATGACAAATGCTTTCATTTTTGGCACTTGAACCTAAGACCCCCAGGTCTAAAAGGAACTTTTCTCATTTGAAATAAAGGGGGATTTAATGATTTTCAAAAGTAGAATTTATGGTCTGGTGGATAAGACTTATAAGTAGAATCTGGAGAGCCTTTAATTTTAGTGTTGGAATGAATGACACCTCGGATCTTTTACAGGGCTGTAAAGCCCTGTGACTTAGTTTCCCTATAGGTTAGAAACAGAATGCCATAAAATATACGAATACTTGTAATGCTGTAGATTGGTAACATTTATCAGGCGACATCAGGATTCTTAATAGTCTGCAGTGGGCTCATGTCATTCTTAAAAAAATATAGTCGCTACCTTTAAGCAAGTTACCCATGTAATTGATTTAATTAGTTAATATTTGAGAAATATTTTAGAGATGGAATGGATAATGGGATATCATTATATCCAGGCCTGCACCAAAACAGACTTTAGTAGCATTCTGGTTTTCCAGATTAGAAGAACATTTTATGAACAGGAAAAACCGACCACAAGGAGCTTCAAGAATGCCCATCCCAGGCGGTTTCCAGGGAATCCTGAAGTAAAGTATCAGATCCAGAAACAGCATAGCTCTGCTGTGAAGGAGTTGATTCAGCAGAGCAACGAAACTAGCCTGTTTCTGATAATACGGAACTTAGAAATAACTTTTATTTTATTTATTCCAAATAATTTATAATTTATTATTTCCAAGTGTATTTATGGTCCTGGTTATCAGATGCAAAAATAAAAATGGATAAACAAAATTTAGCTACCTGAAACCAAGTCTATGTGTTCATATATTAGAAAATCGTATGCATCCAAAGCCAAAGTCAGGTGTTTGTCTCATCTGAAGAGTTTTTGTGTGAGAGATTATAGCCTTTAGACCCTTACGCCGGGTTCAGATATGAAGGAAATGGTCTCATAGATGACTTCTTTTTGGTCTATTAATTTGTAGACCAATTGGAACTCTTTGTAAGCAGGATACTTATGGTACAGTAATCAGTGCTGCTATTGAGGATGACTTGAGACGAAACAATATTGTGGTGGAACTCTGGATCATGAAGTCCAATGATTTACACTCAACTGAGTATATTAATTAAATTGTAACTAATGATTCTTGTTACACAGGTGTGGGTGCTTTCAAAGATCAAATAAAATAAAATAAGTGTTAATACTCAAAAAGATAATAAAATATAAAATATTAAAACAAATATCATATAAGACCCTAAAATAGAAAACAGTAATCAATTGGGGCCTGTTTATATTTGCATTAAGTCATTAAACTAAATCTATTTCCTTTTTAGATAGGATACGGTTCTCACAGATCAGATATAGCAAATATGGTCCCTGTGAAAGCCTCATAGTCTTTCTTTATGAACTAGCTGTAGAAATATGGGCTGGCATATAACACATTTACAGAGGTTTTAGTTCACTGGAACAGCTGTATGCGGGATGTGTTGATGAATTAATATTAGCTTTGGGGAGAATCTAGTAGTATAACAAAGGGCTATGTGATTGTTCATGTTCCATTTAATGTATATATTTTTATCAATGCCTTCACTATAGAACACTTGAACACAGGAAGGGGAACATCACACACTGGGGCCTGTCATGGGGTGGGGGGAGGGGGGAGGGATAGCATTAGGAGATATACCTAATGTAAATGATGAGTTAATGGGTGCAGCACACCAATATGGCACATGTATACATATGTAATAAACCTGCACGTTGTACACATGTGCCCTAGAACTTAAAGTATAATAAAAAAAGAGAAACTACTCAATACATATTGAAAAAGAAAATGAACAATTTATATAAAATATGAGCAGTATGCTTATTGGATAATGACAGCTGAAGAGGTAGATATTCAGAATGAGATTTTTAGGTTAGAATAGAGGGGGAGATCAACCAGGTACAACTTTACAGGGATAGAAGCAAAGTCATGTCTACAGTGGAAAGAAATATTGATGTAAATATCAGGCAGTAGCTTGACAGCAGTACCTGTAAGGAAGGCTAGGGGATGGAGGTAGTATGTGACTCAGCTTCTACAACTATTAACTTGCAGGGACTACAGATTACTTACATTCTAATCTTTGGGAATTAGCCTGGTATCTGGGCATGAAGAGCACTCATCAAAGGTTTGTTGAATGTGGGAGATTGTATTTTCCAACCAAGTGTGATCACAACGTCTTCCACAAGCTCTTCTATCACGTGACCCTATCAAGCAATGGAGTCTACCTCTCATCCTCCTTTAACAGGGGCAAGCATAATGACTGCTTTGAGCAATGAAATACAGCCAAAATAATACTGTGGCCCTTAAATGCTCTCAAAGCTTCTGTTTCCTCCTCTTTAGAAGTCAGCTGCCATGTTAGAAGTGTGACTACTTTGGGATTCTCAAGCTATTAAAAGTCCAAGCCACTGATCATGAGGTCAGGGGTTCGAGACCAGCCTGGCCAACATGGTGAAACCCCGTCTCTACAAAAATACAAACATAAGCCAGGCATGATGGCAGCTGGCTGTAATCCCAGCTACTTGCGAGGCTGAAGCAGGAGAATCACTGGAACACGGGAGGCAGAGGTTGCAGCGAGCCGAGATCACGTCATTGCACTCCAGCCTGGGCGACAGAGCAAGACTCTGTCAAAAAAAAAAAAAAAGTCCAAGCCAAGTGGCAATTTCCTAGGAGACTGAGAGCACATGTGGAGGCAGTGGGGGGAAGAATGGCTGAGGTGAGTGAAGAGGCCACCCCACGTGAGCTTTCAGATGGTTCTAGTCCCACTGCTGTCTAACTTGCAACCACTTGGGAGATTCCAATCAACAACTGTGATAAGGCTAGTCAAACCACAAAACGATGAAATACACTAATAAGCTGCTGGCTTAAGTCATTCATTTTGGGAGTATATTTCAATGTAGAAATAGATAAACGAAACACTGAATGGCTGAGAGATTCTAGATGTAATTAGATTCTAGATGAGTATTGATGTAGATGGCATCCATTTGCAATCTCTATTTCTAGGAAACAGAAGAAAAATGGGAAAGAAAATATGCTCATTTCATTAAACCGTAGAGTGCTTTTTAGTCCATTTTTCCTGCTATATATAATGGAATACCACAGACTGGGTAATTTATAATGAACAGAAATTTATTGACTCACATTTCTGGAGGCTGGAAAATCCACAATTGAGGGGCCGGCATCTGACAAAGGCCTTCTTGCTGTGCTATGACATGAAGACACCACATGGAGAAAGAGCAAAGAGAGGGAAGAGGGGGGGAATGGAGGGGGAAGGGGAGTGTGAGGGGGAGAGGAAGACGGAGAGGGAGAGGGAGACCTGCTTCTGCATAACAGCACTAGCTCATTCACGAAGGCAGAGCCCTCATGATCTAAGCACCTCTTAAAGGTCCCACCTCCCAATATCATCACAATGACAGTGAAATTTCAACATGAGTTTTGGAGGGACAAACATTGGAAGGGTAGCAGCTTTTACACAGAAGACTGAGTAAAATTAGTTCGCTTTACCCCACAGGCAGAACTGAGAGCATGAATGAAATTTTCTGGGAAGCCCCTGCCCTTTAGAAGAGATATTGTAACCTTGTAGTGACTGGTGTTATCACTCCTGAAACCAGCTGCTTTGCCAGTCTGTGAATTACACAGTCAAGATACTTGCACCTAGTGAAAGCTTAAAGGGCCATCCACCTGGAATGAAGCAGGAAGGAGTCATGTTTAGGGGAGGGTTGTTGGCGGGTGGAGGTATGGAAAGGTTGATGCAAGGTATAAAAATAACACTGGTTAACTCTAGAAAGAGTGTGTTTACATTCTAGTTTCAAAGGGCATTGATCTTACCTCACAATGTTAGCATATTAACTATAGAGAGATTATAATGACATCTCGTGGAAACTACATTTCTGTTGATTAACTTATGTGAAGCCTAAAACTTACTTTGTGCATTAAATAATTAAGCCAATTACCTAACAAATTTAGACTTTTCTGTACTTTCATTTATTTTTTAACAGAAAATGTAGTGTAGACTAATTGTTTACAAATGTCACACATGGAATCACCCAGGAAGCTTCTTTAAAAAATCCTAATGTCCAGGCTATTCTGTGTAATAATAAAGTCAAAAACTTTAAAAATTTATAGTAAAAATAAAAATCCAGAAAGGGTGTTGTTAAAAATAATCCACAAGCCTGTAGAGAAGGTCTTGAAGGCAACAATTATGACCACATTAGAGAAATGCATTCATGAAAACAAGACCCACAGCCATTTTAACTCTGGTAGTTTCTCTGTTCTAAAGACTGTGTGATTTAGAGGGACTAGAGTTTGTTTGTAACAAGAAACAAGTGGAGGCCACAGCTACAGGCAAATGCATTGGACTAAATGGCCAGGTGTTTATTCATTTTACCTCTATGTGGTATTTTCTATATCTGCTAGTGAAGATTATTGGCGTTACCACTTGAGAGACTCTGAGGGTCAATGTTTTAGTGTTTTTGATTTCTTTGCAGCACTGAATGTAGGCATTGTTATATTCATGGAACATGTAGAAACACGTGCTTCATTAACTAAGTGGAGACTCAGTCTACTGAATATTTTTTAGTTGTTGTTCATGATAGTTTAAAATATAATGGCTTCTAATGACTTTTAGCGTTAGCTATACTATTCAATCCTTTGTTCCCCACACTAAAGCACTTTCAAAGATTGCTTTATATTGCATTTAAAAGCTTGGTTACCTAAGTTGTTAACAAAATATTTCTGTAAGTTAACATTTTTGTTGTTGATGCTGAGATAATAATGCCCATGCATGCCTAAACCGTGGTTTCTTTAGCTGAGAGCAAGTCCAATAGCTTTTATAATACTTCAAGACCTATACACACTTTCGTAGTTATAAATGAACATGATAGAAAAGTTATTTATTTGAGACAAGTCTAATAGTTGAAGATTTTTAAAAAATAGTAGTGTTTTAAGGGTAATATTGCCTTGGCATTGATTCTCTGTTCAATATTTTGAACAGTAAAATATGATAATTCATGTTACAAATTAAGAGAAGCTAAACCCACTATAAATGACAAGGTAATTTAAAAATGACTTATTTCAGTAATAAAACAGGTTTCGTCTATCTCTTCTATAGTTTAGTCTTATCTGAGAACTCATCTATTTTCCTTTACTGCACTGACTGGATGAGCTATTGATGAAGAAATTGGGAAACTTTTTTGAAATCACCAACTTTTATATGTCTTATGTCAAGAGTCGGCTTCCATTGTCTTCCAAGAATTATGGTACACTTCAAAAGTCAGAGCTAGATAGATTCTTTTGTGAATGGAGGAACTATCCCAAGATTAGCTTGTGACTGTGATGTTTACATGCTTCTTGATTCCATTGAATGCCATCATTAGCTTAAATACTGTTTGTTGGAGCCAATGAATAAACTTAAATGACTCTAGTATTAGTAGAATATAGAAAGGAATAATAGATATTGGCCTAAATAGCTTCAGAAGAATGAATCCTTTGCCCGGAGACAACAGATAAGTAGTCTGCACTGCTTCCTGAGTGGGCGCCGTGTGTTCATCAATGCTTTCCTGAAGTTTATTTGAAAACTCTACATCTTTAATTGGTTGCTTTGTTAATACACTAATAATACCCATTGTATTAGCACCCATACATGTCATTAGTTTATTAAAGTAACATCATTACCATGAAATAACCTGATTTATATTTTTTCAAAACAGTCTTTTTAAAGACATGGAACTAATATTGAATGCATTTCCTGAAAGCACTATGAAGACACTAACGGGTAGCACTTTATAAGTTTTAACATTTCTGGAACAGGGTAGAATTCGCTGATATTTACTCTGTGCTTCCCATTCAGTGTTCCTGTTATACATTTCTATCATTTGATTCTTTTAACATTTTATTGCACTTAACTGATAACATGCCCTGCCCCAGTGCCGAAAGTCCAGCCTGCCTGTCTACATGTAAATGGATAACATTTGTGTTTGTTGGAATGAATAAAAAAAGATTAATTGGTTATGCAATCACATTAAAGTATCTATGGTAAGTTTGAACTTAACCAAGAGGCTGGACAGAAACTATAGGGCCAAAATTTGGTATGACATATAGAAAACTTGTGAATTTTTGTTTGTAATAAGACCCTAGGCATCAACAACACTATGAATCTGTTGAATCAAGTTTAGCCTAACTGCCTCCTTACATATTTTCTGTTCAGCCTAAAGGTTTCTCTGTACATAGTGAACTATAATCTAAAGGGAGGTGTAAACAGATTGTAACCTACTTTTGTGCCAATTGCTGAGTTTTGGTCAATCAAAGGGGGCCAGCTGTTCAAACCACATTCAAATAAGGCAAACACTGAGCTGTAACCAATCCAGCTGTTTCTGTAGCTGGTTTCCATTTTCGGTATATCACTTTCCTTTCTCTGTCCATAAATCTGCTACGACGTGGCTGTGCTGGAGTCTCTCTCAGCCTTCTCTGATTTGGGAGGCTGCCCGATTGGCGAATTGCTCTTTGCTCAGTTAAATTCTGTTGAATTTAATTTGGCTAAGGTTTTTATTTTAACACATTATAGAGGTGCAGATAAACAATGATAAGATGTCAAAACCCTTCTGGGGAGCACTGGAAGCCTCTTGCTATGATTCTATGATATAATTCAAACACCATATTTTGCTGACAACTTCCTGAGTGATATTGGAAATACAGACATACTGCATTTCTGGCCAAACAACCATGACATACACTGTAGATTTGGAATGAACGCTATTAAGATAACCCATCCCTCTCTCTAGACAGGCAGGCAGCCAGCCATGTGTGTCCTCTCTTCTTCTTTATCACCAAGAATGACTGGGAGCTAGAGCAGCAATGTTGATGGGCATTGATCTGTTTCAGAAACATCTCAAGGACTGAGAAATGACTTCGGGTGTTCCCTTTTCAAAAGATGCTATCTCATTTCCTTACTAAAGAGATGAGAAAAAGGGTGGAAATTTAGAGATGCAAGGTAAGAACTCAAATAATGTGAATTAAGTCTGAAGGAGATTTTTTTCCCCTCCTATGAGGTATTTACTAGCTGATAATCCTGCAGTGAAAGAATATCCAACCAGTGAGAGTTAGGAAAAAATATGGATTGTTGATTTGGAAGGAGACTAAAAAACTATCCCTGCCATAATTTTTTTTCATTTTACACCCCCTTAAAATAACTAAGAAAAATATTGCTTTTATAAAACACTGCAGTGAACACAGCCCTGGAATTCTGGTATTATAACAACTTTCAGGTGGAGGCATAAAGTGATATTCCAAAATGTTAAAAATCATCAATACGAGTAAAAATCTGACTTTGAATATTGAACTGCAGTGTTATTACTTCCTCTTGGTGGTGTGTTTCCAATTTTAGGGACTGTGGGGGAAAGACAAGCTGCGCACATACATGCATTCTCCCAATATCAGCCCCATTCATTTGGATGGATCTAATGATTTTACTTTCAAACTTAATGCCCCTGAGATTCCCTAATAATCTCACATTCTATCAGAAATGCCCCCACCATCAAAACGATGTCTTATGAATTCATTTCTTTGATTTGTAGAGTGGCAGGGTACCTAAAGTTAACATTTGTCACAGTGTTGCATAACACCTTCATTAGGCCAATTACAGAGAGTGGCTTGAGTGGGCAACCTGTGGGCAGTCATGGTCCCGTGTATCTTCCCACCGGCACTGCTGGGACCAGAGTGTGGGTGACAGAACAAAAGGATTCCATCCAAATGTGTTAGCAGGCCCCTTCAGGTAGGCTGTGGCAGGAGAGAAGAGGAAGGATGGTTCAACAGATTATTAAGAGAATGTTTCAACATTAAAAATATGGGGCAATTATATGAACACTACATGCTACTAAAAGTAAAATATAAAATAGAAATGTTCTGAGGAAGAAAAACACATTCAAATGCAAATGAAGAGAACCAAAATGAGAAAATAATGAGCCAAATAGCAAAAGTTAAAACTTGGGTATGTTTGTCTTTCAATAAATCTCTTCTCCATTTGAAAAACAACTAAATGTCTCTATTCCATTATATTAGATTTAAAAATTCTTAGAGTTTAAGGAGTAGTTTTTTTAATAAAGTCATATACACATCCAAGCATAATAATTTACTATTCACTACAGTGATTTCAGCATAGTGTGTTATATTCAGTATATATGTAAATGCCTCAAGAACATGATCGTAATGCTGATTAAACTCCTCAGTAAAATATTCTCTCAATACAAACTTTGCTTTTCTATCGTTCGGATTTTGTTTAGGAAGAAAATTTCAACAAGCCTGCCACATAGACAGACTTCGAAGACAAAGACTTTTTTGAAATAGAAAGTTACAGAGTTTCTCTTTTAAAAGTTCCTTGTGTTTATACATCTTTGGGTGTTGCTCTTCCTTCATTATCAGAGAGAGCAGTGCCTCAAGTCTAGTGTCAGAGGCATCTGTCTGCAGCCGAAGCACTTTGTCAAAGTCAGGAGGGCTTAATAAGGCTCGATTTTCACTGAATGCATTTGTTAGGCTGTTGAATGTTAAATCGCAAGCTGAATCATTGTGCAATTGCTTTCTTTTCTGTCTTTTTTTTCTTTTTCTGGCCAAGTCAGAAATGGCTCTGCAGAGACAAGCTCTGAGTTATCCATTAGTGGATTAATGAATGACAATTTGTACTAAAACTAATCTCTTTTTTCCTTTCAAATGAAGCTCATCTTCCTCAATGTGTTTTTTCCACGAGGTGCATGAAATTATCAACATGTTACCAAGAAGATGAATTCTGTGTGTGACCCATCAGCATCGTCGATACGTAGCAGTGTTATGGCAGAGCTCCAGCATAAAGCCACAGCATGACACCAGGGTTGGAGAGGACCTAATACCTGCAGTCTTGGGCAGCCAGGGGATTTGTTGCTCTACACCAATTTGCTCAAATATAGAACACATACATTTACCGTTTCCCATAGATATATCAGCAGCTCCTTTCCCAGGGATGGTTGAAAACCTTTGGCTCTGTTTTGCTGTGTCTGCTTTCTAAACCTTCTACCCTTCTTTAACTTGCTGACTATCCATTTGGATGCTGGCTGACTGATTTCTCGATGAACCTCCTCTTCAAATTGGGCTTTCAGAAATTGAATATACTCTCTGTGGTGGGTAGTATATTGTCCACAGGCATCTGCAAGTGAGGTAGAAGGCAGCATATTGAATATACTCTCTGTGATGGGTAGTATATTGTCCACAGGCATCTGCAAGGGAGGGAGAAGGTAGCATATTAGATATACTCTCTGTGGTGGGTAGTATTGTCCACAGGTATCCACAAGTGTGGGAGAAAGCAGCATGCTGAATATACTCTCTGTGGTGGGTAGTATATTGTCCACAGGCATCCACAAGTGAGGGAGAAGGTAGCATATTGAATATACTCTCTGTGGTTGGTAGTATTGTCCATGGGCATCCACAAGTGAGAGAGAAAGCAGCATATTGAATATACTCTCTGTGGTGGGTAGTATTGTCCACGGGCATCCACAAGTGAGGGAGAAGGTAGCACATTGAATATGTTCCCTGTGGTGGGTAGTATATTGTCCATGGGCATCCACAAGTGAGGGAGAAGGCAGCATATTGAATATACTCTCTGTGGTGGGTAGTATTGTCCACAGGCATCCTCAAGTGAGGGAGAAGGTAGCATATTGAATATACTCTCTGTGGTGGGTAGTATTGTCCACGGGCATCCACAAGTGAGGGAGAAGGTAGCACATTGAATATGTTCCCTGTGGTGGGTAGTATATTGTCCATGGGCATCCACAAGTGAGGGAGAAGGCAGCATATTGAATATACTCTCTGTGGTGGGTAGTATTGTCCACAGGCATCCTCAAGTGAGGGAGAAGGTAGCATATTGAATATACTCTCTGTGGTGGGTAGTATTGTCCACGGGCATCCACAAGTGAGGGAGAAGGTAGCACATTGAATATGTTCCCTGTGGTGGGTAGTATATTGTCCATGGGCATCCACAAGTGAGGGAGAAGGCAGCATATTGAATATACTCTCTGTGGTGGGTAGTATTGTCCACAGGCATCCTCAAGTGAGGGAGAAGGTAGCATATTGAATATACTCTCTGTGGTGGGTAGTATTGTCCATGGGCATCCACAAGTGAGGGAGAAGGTAGCATATTGAATATACTCTCTGTGGTGGGTAGCATTGTCCATGGACATCCACAAGTGAGGGAGAAGGTAGTGAGAGGTGACAGCGTGCTGGCAGCCCTCACTCGCTCTTGGTGCCTCCTCAGCCTTGGCGCCCACTCTAGCCACACTTGAGGAGCCCTTCAGCCCGCTGCTGCATTATGGGAGCCCCTTTCTGGGCTGGCCGAGGCCAGAGCCAGAGCCGGCTCCCTCAGCTTGCAGGAAGTGTGGAGGGAGAGGCACGGGAGGGAACTGGGGCTGCACACTGTGCTTGTGGGCCAGCGCGAATTCTGGGTTGGCATGGGCTAGGCAGGCCCCACACTCGGAGTGGCCAGCTGGCACCACCAGCCCCAGGCAGTGAGGGGCTTAGCACCCAGGCCAGCAGCTGTGGAGGGTGCGTCCAGTCCCCCAGCAGTGCTGGCCCACCAGCATTGCACTCGAATTCTCGTTGGGCCTCAGCTGCCTCCCCATGGGGCAAGGCTCGGGACCAGCAGCCCGCCATGCCTGAGCCTCCCCCCTGCCGTGCGCTCCTGTGCAGCCCGAGCCTCCCTGACAAGCGCTGCCCCCTGCTCCACAGCGCCCAGTCTCATCAACCACCCAAGGGCTGAGGAATGCGGGGGCATGGTGCGGGACTGGCGGGCAGCTCCACCTGCGGCCCCAGTGCGGGATCCACTGGGTGAAACCAGCTGGGCTCCTGAGTGTAGTGGGGACTTGGAAAACTTTTATGTCTAGCTGAGGGATTGTAAATGCACCAATCAGCACTCTGTATCTAGCTCAAGGTTTGTAAACACACCAATCAGCGCTCTGTGTCTAGCTCAAGGTTTGTAAATGCACCAATCAGCACTCTATATCTAGCTAATCTGGTGGGGATTTGGAGAACCTTTATGTCTAGCTAAGGGATTGTAAATGCACCAATCAGCACTCTGTGTCTAGCTCAAGGTTTGTGAACACACCAATCAACGCCCTGTGTCTAGCTCAAGGTTTGTGAATGCACCAATCAGTGCTCTGTGTCTAGCTAATCTAGTGGGGACTCGGAGAACTTTTGTGTCTAGCTCAGGGATTGCAAATGCACCAATCAGCACCCTGTCAAAATGGGCCAATCAGCTCTCTGTAAAACAGATCAATCAGCTGTCTGTAAAATGGACCAATCAGCAAGATGTGGGTGGGGCCAGATAAAGGAATAAAAGCAGGCTGCCCAAGCCAGCAGTGGCAACCTGCTGGGGTCTGCTTCCACACTGTGGAAGCTTTGTTCTTTCGCTCTTTGCAATAACTCTTGCTGCTGCTCACTGTTTGGGGGCACACTGCCTTTATGAGCTGTAACACTCACTGCGAAGGTCTCCAGCTTCTCTCCTGAGGCCAGTGAGATCAAGAACCCACCAGGAGGAATGAGCAACTGCAGACGCACCACCTTAAGAGCTGTAACACTCACCGTGAAGGTCTGCAGCTTCACTCCTGAAGCCAGTGAGACCATGAACCCACCAGAAGGAAGAAACTCAGAACACATCCGAGCATCAGAAGGAACAAACTCTGGACACGCCGCCTTTAAGAACTGTAACTCTCACCGCAGGGGTCCACGGCTTCATTCTTGAAGTCAGTGAGACCAAGAACCCACCAATTCTGGACACAGTAGCATATTGAATATACTCTCTGTGGTGGGTAGTATTGTCCATGGGCATCCATATGAGGGAGAAGGTAGCATATTGAATATACTCTCTGTGGTGGGTAGTATATTCTCCACAGGCATCCGCAAGTGAGGGAGAAGGTAGCATATTGAATATACTTTCTGTGGTTGGTAGTGTTGTCCATAGGCATCCACAAGTGAGGGAGAAGGCAGCATATTGAATATACTCTCTGATGGGTAATATTGTCCATGGGCATCCAAAAGTGAGGGAGAAAGCAGCATATTGAATATCCTCTCTGTGGTGGGTAGTATTGTCCATGGGCATCCACAAGTAAGGGAGCAGATAGCATATTAAATATCCTCTCTGTGGTGGGTAGTATTGTCCATGGGCATCCACAAGTGAGGGAGAAGGTAGCATATTGAATATACTCTCTGTGGTGGGTAGTATATTGTCCACAGGCATCCACAAGTGAGGGAGAAGGCAGCATATTGAATATACTCTCTGTGGTGGATAGTATTGTCCACGGGCATCCGCAAGTGAGGGAGAAGGTAGCATATTGAATATACTTTCTGATGGGTAGTATTGTCCATGGGCATCCACAAGTGAGGGAGAAGGTAGCATACTGAATATACTGTTTGTGGTGGGTAGTGTTGCTTACAAGCATCCACATGAGGGATTTACTTCCCATAGAAATATTTTAGGAGGGAAGTTGTTGGGGTTTTTGAAATAGTGTTTATGTTTTAGTGCATGCCCTTTAAAATATCCCTCCTAGCAAAAATAAAATATAAAATAAAGTAAAATAAAATGTATAGAGATATATAGTCTCCATCAATGAACATGTAATTTGTGATTAATAAGTTGTTACTACAAATAAGAAAAAGTTGAGTAGTTTTAATGGTCCTAGTTCATATACTGTGGTGAGCAAGGGTTAGAAGTTGAAGATCCTTTGAACAAAGCAGTGTTCTTCTTGTGTAGCCTCATCCTGGCGCTTACAGAAACCAAGCTTTCTTGATGAAGCTTCCTTCTAAGTGGGCATGGGAGAAGCAGGGCAGCTTACAGCTCTTCCTGAGCTGCAGCATCTGGTTGGGGACAGATTCTCAGCCTTCTGGAGTCCCTGTTGGATGCTGGCTCTTTGTTCTCAACCCAGTCCCTGGTCACCCCACCTGTGTTCCCCAGAATCCAGCTTTTAGTCTTGGTAACTTCACACTTCCCAAAGACAGAATCAGCTGTGGCTCCCCAGAGCAAGCTGACTTGCTTCTTAGAAACCCCAGAAATAAACAGTCTTTGAATCCCAAAATGGTGTACTTGGAGGGGCCTATAGCATTCAAATTTCATTCAAATCCAGAGCTTAAAGGAGTCTAGGTTACCCAGAAGCAGATGACAAACAGGAAAAACTGCTCTGTGAGCTGGTTATGCAAATATTCTTTCAGAAATATGGAGTTTCTGGAATGAAGGAAGAGGATAACGGAATTAAGTCACGCGTGTGGTTAGCCCTGATTGCTAAGGGGAGCCATTCTCTGATATATAAATGACTTCCTGTCAAGGGAAAAATCAATGTCTTCCAGGGAGGGAGGAGGCGGGAAGTCTCAGTCTAGCAAAGACCACAGCTTGTGCCTGTAGCTGTTTTTAGTTCTCTGAGCCTTTATTTTGCTCAACTCTAACACCAGTGTTAGCCACCCGCTAACCCCACTCTTAGCCACCCACTAACCCCACTCTTAGCCACCAGCTGCAGTCTTCCTAGGGGAAGGCTCCTCTTCCTATGGGTTGGGTGAGTAACCACAGTGGGCTCCTGATTCTAAGCTGCCCCTCATTCCTGTGTTGTCTCCACCATTTTCTTCCTCAGCCTGGAAGTTGACACTTGTAATTTGCCCTTAGGCCCTCGTTAGGAGTAGCTCACCTGGGGCCATGGACCACAGCTAAGCCCAGGGATAGAACTGTACTTTCAGGTAATAGGTTTTAATTGTAATCCTATGTATTTTATTTTATTTATTTTACACACTGATAAAAATTGCTCTAAGAAAGATTCTATTGACTTCCTCAGACTAACAAAAGTGCTCACGGCCCAGAAAAGGTTGCTTCTTCCTGGCAGTGGACCTGCTGCCACCGCTTCAGTGACTCTGGTGTCCTTCCACCCTGGGACCAGGTTTCATTCATAACAAACCTGTGTCTTTGTCAGCACAGGTTTGTAGCCCGGATGACATCTGCCATCCTCCACAATGGAGCTCAAATGCCACTAAAACGCTTATTTCCAGACTTTGTCCGTATTTCATTTTTACCCGTTTTTGTCATGTTCCTTTTTTCATCAATAATGAAAAGTCCTGGGCCCTTGTGTCCTGGGTCCTATCTAATTCATCTTTGCATCCCAGCCGTTGTCTGACAGAAATGAAATTTTCAATCAAAGTTTGACGAATGTTTGAATGATGATGAATCTTGTGGCACAAGAGCCTGCTTTCCTTTCTTCCTATCAGGGCACCAGCGGCCCTGCAGCTGCAAGTGCCACCTCCAGCCAAGCTGTGTTTCTGGGTACCCCTGGGAGTTCCTGGTGGGCCCAAGTAAGGTAAGACAGAGAAGAAAAAAATGGCATGGGAGAAGAAGAAGAAAGAAGGAGATAGAGAAACAGGAAAGAGAGAAGAAAAGGGAGAGAGGAAGAAATTGTGGAGTGGAGGGCTGCCCTGTTCTCCACCTCAGGGACATAAGTAAGCTGCCTGTACAGGTTCACAGAAAAATGGATTTGATTCCAGAGCCCTTCCTCATTGTGTATATTTGCACTATCATGTTGTGTAGTTTTTAAGAACCCATAAAGAAAAGCAAAACCTTGTGGGCCTGTAATGATCTCTACAGAATGTCAGATAAAAAGATGAGTTCAATTCTACTATATTTAAAAAGCCAGCAGGATGCAGTGGCTCACACCTGTATTCCCAACACTTTGGGAGTTCTCTTGAGCCCAGGAGTTCAAGGCTGCTGTGAGCCATGATTTCACCACTGCACTCCAGTGCAGATGACAGAGAGAGACCTTCTTATCTCTTAAACAACCAAAAAGCCATCAACATAAATGTTGTTAACAGTGTGCTGTGGTCCATACCATCCTCTCTCTCTCTCTGAGATGTCTCTACATTCCAGTGGAGAGGGAAAATGAAATCTATTGTCAGCTAGGTCTGGGACTGGTCTTCCCCAGAGGCAGGATGGCTATTTTGGCATAATTTAGACATTGACAGAAAGCTGATTTGGCCCCCTGAATATCTAGAGTTTTCTCTCTAGTCTGATATTATGCCAATTATGGTATACTATGACAAGTTCTTTTGGGTCTCAGAGTCACCTGCTAGTACATGGAGGAACATATTAAGCCTCTATCAGCCCATCTCATCACACCTAGTGCCTGGGTGTATGCCAGCGGGTCCTGTAGAATAGGTATCAGCCCATCTCATCACACCTAGTGCCTGGGTGTATGCCGGTGGGTCCTATAGAATAGGTATAGAACAGGGTTTTGGTTTTTGTTTATTTTATGAGGGGCTCTGGAGTAGGAGAGCCAGAGCATGGGGGGATGCTATCAAGGACAGCTCAGTGCCATAGGGTGAGAAAGCCTACGCCACCAAGTGATGCTGTGTGTCTCCTGAAGTCATAAGCGACAAGGTTTATGGGGAAACAGAGGAAATCACTCAACTAAATATCATCTTCAATTTCCCCTAATTTCTGAAGTTTGGGAAATGCTGAGACCCATGACTTTTCAAATTACGCATGGTCTTTTTAAGTTAAAAAAGGGAAGTGGGTCAATGAATTAGAAGGGAAAAATAAGACAGTCTTCTCCCTTCTTCTATGTGGCAGGCAGGGGTGGCAGGGAGTTACTTCTGTAACTCGAAAGGCTTCTGACTTTTTAAAAGGAAATTGTTGTCATTGTTAATCAGGGCAGGGTCTTCTTGCCCTTTCTTGTAGAATAGCTTGGGTTTGAATTTTGGCTTTAGCCCAAAGTTTCTGGGTTACGATTGCACACAGCAGGCTTGTGAGTGCGGGTGTCAAGAAGGAGGTGGGATTTTCATAATTCCACTCTCTCAGCTCTCAACTTTGTGAAAGTGCCATTACTACCAGAAGTACTTCTCTATCTGCTCATGTCTTCCTGCTCTACAAATCTCAACAGACAATGATGAATCATCCCTGAAGACTGCTCCGCATCATACATTTATCTGTGTTTCTCAGTCCTGGGTTGACATTTTCCTTCTCTCTCTCCATCCCAGGATGTCTCAAGCTCAGCACTATTGACATTTTTGGTTGCATAATTCCTGGTCACAGGGGGCTTTCCTGTGTCTTGTAGGATATTTTAACAACATCTGGGCTTACATAAAGCACAAAAAGGGCCTGAAGCTCTGAAGGTTGGGGAAAGCACACTCAAAATCCAGAGCCTGGTCAGTGAGGCTCAGGCCTTCCCTGAGTCTTTGTCCACAATATCAAGAAACCGCAATGAAGACTCAAAAACTATGGACTATCTGCTGTGACATCTGCCTCTGAATTGTTAGATATTAGCAAAATAATATGGCTTTTGCTGGCACTTCAGATGCTGGTGGGCTATCACGTGGAATGATTATGAATTTCTGTAAAGAGCCAAGCCAGCTGAGGCTTGGTGGGTGGACTGTTAGGAAGCGTGGCTGGGTCCATTAGCCGGGTGTTTCAGTAGACGAAGCTCTGGGACGTGACACTGAAGTCAGCAGGCCCAGGAAGCTAACCACACGTCTTGAAACTGCAGCCTGTGGCACAAAAGTAAAATGGGAATAGATTAGTCTTTTGGGAGCTAATCTCCCAGTTGAGATGCAATAGAACTTACAGCAAGTGACAACTTTCTAAATTATTTTCTTATGCCTCATGCCGTTCTTTTGTCTCTATTTTTAGTGTTTCCACCTACTAACTTCATTCTTTCTCCCGCTATTTCTAATACATCGCCAATGATGTATTTTCAATAAGAATTCAATTACCTGGAGAGGCAGATGTGCTAACTGGCAATCTGAGGGTTTTTCTGCAAGTTGATTGCAAAGCTGACTTAAGTTTCTAGCCCTGCTGCTGTCAGGAGAGACTCACTGTCAACAAGCTGTTAAAAATGAAACTTCATAATGAGGGAGAATGTATGGAACATCAAGTAATCTCCTTGTTCTTACCAATTGCCTCATTTAATTGGCACTGTTTTATTGAATTTTTAATAAGTGAAGTGAGATTTTAATGTAATCCCATCTACTTTAGACCTAATTCAACATATTAATTTATTACGAATCTTTGTTTTTTATGAAGTTATGCATTGAAAAGTTTCCCAAATTGCCAGTTATTTGTAAACTTTAAAAAACTTCTCCAAAGTAGTTTTGTCATTTGTAATAGTGCAAAAAGCAACGCAAAACCACACAAGAGCATTTTGTTGACTGTCGCCGCAGTTAAGGTACTGAGTGTTGTTAAGGGAATGTATGTTTATATTTGCTAAATTTTCATGAACTTGGTAATTGAGCCATGATTATATTAACCCTTTAGATTGATAGAACTATGGCAATAACTATGTAGTCCTGTGATAGGCCTGGACGTTGAAAAGGTAAGTGGCTGATTTCATTTAATTGTGTGATCTGAAGTGGGTCTCATTATAAACCATACACCTGATTTGAGTCATACAATGTAACTTTTAGTGAAAGTTGTAAAGGTTTTCCTGAAAAAATGCTGAAGGTGCTTTTGCCTAGTAACTGTATTCTGATTATTGTATTTCAGGGCACTCAGGGAATTAGCAGCTTCTCAGATAGAGCACGTAACGAGCTACCAGTGTGTAAAGTCCCCACTATTTTAACAAGGAGACACTAAAACCAGAAAGACATTTCCAGTCACCCAGATCCCGAAAAGTACATAAAAATCACCTCAGGACATTTAGTGGAACCCATGAATAGCTTTCAGTAAAATGCACAATTCATGTGTCTATAATTTTCTAAAAATTTGGTTCTAAATACCTCTTAAATTTCATAAATAATATACGTTAATTTTTTAAAATATTAGACAATAAGCATAGAGAAATAAAAAGTTAACTTGTAACTTTATACCCAGAGGAAATTACTGTTGATATTTTGTTGCATAATCAGAGACATTTCTATTTTGTACAATATTGTGAAAAAAAAACTGTTCATAATATTTTAAAATAAATTTTCTAGTGAATAATGTAACTAACAAGCACATTATTAGCAGCAGCATTGATTAATGGCTGCAGAGCATCTTTTGGTATGGGTCTACTGAAATGTATTTAACCAATCCTCAAAGTTGGTTATTTAATTTATTTTTAATATTTCTGCTACCATAAATAACGTTGTGCTGAGCACTTGCACTTCAGGTTTTCTGTGCTTCTTCACTGCGGTCTTACGATAAATATCTAGAGCGAAAGGGAATTTACACGGCTAAAAAATGACTCCTAGAGAACTTCAGAATCTCCCAGACAGCCTATTCAATTCTTTCTATGGTTCAACAAATGGAATAATATTTCAACAGGCACTTCACAGAAGAGATGAACAAAATGGAAAAAAGAAAGAGAATGAAGTATGCGCTTACTCCCGAATCCAGAGCAGCAGTCTCACTGGTGCAGACACGTCCCTGAGGGTAGATGTTACTTATGGGGGATCTGGCGTCAGCGGCTGTCCTGGACCCTGGCCACATTATGCCGTCCTCATCGTTCCTGCTCCAGGAAGAGAAACAACACTGCTGAGTTGCTGCTGGGCGCATGGCCCTGGCATCGTGGCCTCCATATGTCGGTTATTTACAGGGTTTTCCCTGCTGCACTGGTTTCCCGTGGTGGCACAACAAATACTACAAATTTAACATCTTAAAAAAAACAGCAGTTTCCCCTCTCCAGGTGCCGGGGGCTGGAAGTGTGGAGTCAGGCCCAGCAGGGCCGTGCTCGCTCTCGAGGCTCCAGAGGAGAGCCCTTCCTTGCCTCTTCCAGATTCTGGTGGCTCAGAGCTCTGTTTGGTTATTTTTTACAGTTTCTATTTCTCTGATGATATAGTCAATCTTTCCACTCATGTGAAGGGCACTTACCTTCATCTCACTGAGCACAATTATGCGAGCGTTGCTTCAGAGTCTTTTGGGGATAACTTTGACATTGGGTCTTCTCAGGCTTGGGATCTTCTCTCTTGAGAACTGGTCACATTTTCCTGGTGATTTATATGTCAATTAATTTTGAATTGCATCATGGTCATTTTCGACATGATTTTGTGTAAGCTCTGGGTCTTCATTTTAAAGTATAAGTTTTATTATTATCCAGGTATGGTGAGGCCACCAAAGGAAGTCACAATTGCCATCCAAAATATAATTTGCTGTTCACAGCTCTCAAGAGGTGGGGTGTGCCTCGACATGCAGGGACACCATGAAAGCACAAGGGTTGGTCATGGACAGAAGGAAGGGGAGGAGAAGGTGGCAGGCACCTTCATCATGGGATCTGCAGGAAGGAATGGGCGAGGCAGCGTATGCTGGCTTAGGACTGGCCAGTTTGAATGCTTTCAGCAGGCTCTGGGTTGGGGGCCACCTGAGTTGTTGGGCACCTGGTCCTGAGACGATCAGGGAAGGGGCATATGTGTTTGGTGCTCAAGGGCCAGACAGGGGAGGTGGGGGTGGGCTGACTCCAGCTTGGTTGGTTTCCCCTGAAGGCTGGGCTGACAGGTGAGTTGTTTGCTATCTCTAGGAATCAGTTAACCCTGGGAGGGGTAGTCTGTCCCAGGTCAGCAAGGCCCCAGATGCCAAGGCATCAAGAACACAGAATATAAGAAACTAGAAGGAATGCAGCCTTGTTAAAAACCCCTCGGGGAATGTTGTTTATTTTTTCCCCGCAGGCAAATCCATGTGGCTTGGCTCAGAGGGCAAGTTCTGTCTCCCTGTGCGTGGGCGGATCCCAAGGCCTTTGCTAAGCTGCCCTGGTGGCTCTGATTTTGTCCTGTGCACAAACAGCTGGGGGGGGGAGGTGGGGACCAGGACTGTGGGGGTGCTACACACAGAGCCAGACAAGCCCATTCTGCAGCTCTCTCCTCTAAGGGCTCCCCCCACCTCCCTAGCTTACAGGGGCTCCTTCTCCTGATCCTTTGGCCAGAAGGAAGGGGTTTCTTTTAAAGTCCTTGCCCTGAGGCACCACACAGATGTGGCTCTATAACTGGTGCCACCTAAAGGGAAACATGACAAGAAGAGAGAGAGAAGGAGGGAGAGGGAGAAGGAGGAAGATAGAGGGAAAGGAAGTTGGAGAGGGAGAGTAGGGAGAGAAAGGGGAGAGAAGAGAAAGGGAGGAGGGAAAAGAAGTGGGGAGGGAAAAAGAGAGGGACAGAAGAGGTGGGGAAAGAGGGGCAAGAGGAAGGAGACAGGAAAAGCGGAGCAGAGGAGGGAGGAAGAGGGGCGGGAGAGACGGGGATTGAGAGAACACACAGAATTTCTTCCCCCCATGCTTTGAAGACAGGATCCTTTTTTCTTCTGGCCACAGACACTGGATTTCTCCTGGGATTTAGCTGCTTGTGCCACCACAGCTGGCGCTCCACTGGGGAGAGCCAAAAAACAAAAAAACTAACCCCTCAAAGGAAGCACTTCCTTTATATGGACTGAATCGTGTCCCCCTTGAGACTCACAAAATGAAGCCCCAGCCCCAGTATCTGAGAGTGTGACTGTATTTGGAAACAGCAGCTTTAAAGACGTGATTGAGGTAACATGAGGCCATCAGGGGCCGCAATCTGGCCTGTGCCCTGATAGGAAGAGGAGACTGGAACAGGACACACATACTGCAGGAGGCACAGAGCAAAGACGCCACCTGCAAGCCAGGGCCAGAAGCCTTGGAAGAAGCACCTGCACACCTGAATCTTGGACTCCAGTTTTCAACACCGTGAGAGAGTAAATTTCCATTGCCAGCCAGTCTGTGGCCATCTGCAATGACTCTAGCACGTTAATATACCCATCTAAGGGTTGCCTCCCCGAGTTTTTATTCTCTTCCCAGTCTGTCTGCTTTTGTGGATGTCTGGAGCTCTTGAGCAGTTGCTTTCTGATTTTGCCCAGAGCTTTCAGTTGCAATCAGCGAGAAAGAAGCTGCAGGAACTTGTTTCATCTTGACCATTCATACATATTGAACTGATGTGTTTGTTACATTCTACCGTCTCTTGAGTGTAATCAAATAAAAGAGCATCTGATGTAATAGGAAAATAGAGCAGGCTTTGCTAACCAGCTCATCCTCCCTCCGCAGACACCACACAGAACGTTGGTTCCTGGAGGCTCCAATCCATGTTGAGGATTGGCATAATGGGAACGGAATGATCTTGGGTCATAGGTTTTGCTTTTTTTTTTTTTTTTTTGCTTCTATTCAGAAAAAATTATACTTTAGAATTCTGATTAAAAATCTGAGAAATGAAATGAGCATGCCTTTTAAAAAATGTTTCACAAGAACATTGCAGTTTTATTCTAGAAGTTGTAGCAGGGAGATTTTGGCTTCATGTAATAGAAAGCCCAATGAGAATAAGATTAAACACTAAGGGAAATGGGTTTGCTGCATGTAAGGAAATCTAGAAGTGGGCATGGCCTGGACTGGCTAATCCAGGGGATTAGCCAACTCTCTTACCTGGGGAAAGTTGCGGATATTTTCCATGTAAATTCTCCTGAGTCCTGCAGCCTCAGTGAGAAAGTGTGCATGTGTGTACTCACGTGTGTGTGTGTGTAATGTGATGTGGGGGCTTTGGACAATCCATTCTCTTCTGTGCAGAGGTGAACTTTCACTTTGGAGAAACTGAACAACTGTCTGAGTGAGAGCACACTCTTATCATCCTGTGTGATCAGTGGCACTTTGCTAATGATCCAAGAAGTGAGAGACAACAGGTGGAGCAGAAATTAGAGTCCACCAGGCCATATTACTCCCACTGGGGAGGGCTGCACCCAGTGATACACTGAAAAACCTGTAACACGTCACTCCCTGAAAAAGGCTGTGCTTTGTAGCATTTGTCAATTTCCGTGGTCTAAATATTGACCCACTTTTTGTTCCCAACACAATGTCCCTAAAAATGGCGATGGGAAGCTTTGCACCCCAGGCTCTTATGAGCCGGCACGAGCTGGCTCCAGCACACCACTGGTTTCCACTTGAAATAGTGAGAATATCTAGTTTTTATTGAGAACGTGGCTGTGCACAGCCTAGAACAGGATTTCTCAGCCTCACTTCTACAGGCCTTCTGGGCTGGCACATCCTCTGTTATGAGGCCTCACTGTCCATGGTAAGATGTTTGGCAGCATCCCTGGCCTTTACCCACCATGGGCCAGTAGTATTCTCCCAGTTGTGACAACTAAAATATCTTCAAGCTTTGTCAAATGTCCCCTGTGGGCAAAATTGTGCCCGTTGGAGAACCACTGGCCTAGAAGAAGGGTGAGTTGGCTCAGTATGGAAGCTGTGTATTTGTTTTGAGGTCCTGCTAACATTTGAAGGCAAAGAGAAGGCCTGACATTTGCTGTGGGCTTGGGCTTCATAAATGCCCGTCAAAGAATGGTCTATGCAAAGGCAGTGATTTCACATATGTCTGAATGTGGATTTATACATTTTTTTCTAGTTGGTGTGTGTCAGGTGTAGAATCCCTACATTCTGTTTGCTCTATAAGGTAGTATTTTTAACAGTGATTTAAACATTTTAAACTATTGATTTTTCATCATAGTTTTTGCTCCAGTAGAAATTAGGAATTGATCAATTCTTTTTAACTTCAGGTGTGCAAAGCAATTGGCTGATTAAACCTACAAATATAGTAGAACCCTTATGTTATTTTCTGGATGAGAACTAAATGTTAAAATTTGAGAAAGGTGAGGACAAAATTCTTTATGGATCTTGGTTAGGGGTTTCAAATGTCAATCAAGATATAAATGAGATGAATGCCTTGTGGAATTAATTATTTTTATGACTGTGTTATGATATGAAAATGTTATGATAGGGAAAAATGCAAGAAACTGTTACCCCTGTAGGAATATTGACTTTGTAGCCTTGGTTAGAAGACAGGCTCTGATGGAAAAATTTGCTATGATGGATTGTGCCATGGAGACTTGACTCTCTCTACATTTATGGCACTGAAGCCACCTCTGTGGTGTGCAGTGTGGACGCATGCCACGTCTCTCAGACGAAGCACACCTGGCAGTGGGCAGGCCCTGGCTGTGCCCTGCTGCTGTGGCCTGCCCCTTCTTCCTCTAGTAAGGCGGGGACCCTCTAACCAGGCAGCTTTGGACTAGACCAGTGCTATTCGAAGAATGATCTGGAGACAGTGACCAGGAGTCCTTTGTGGACCTGGGGACCTAACATTAGGAATGATAAGTCCAGAAACTGAGCATTTAGAAACTTGTAAAGAAATTTGATGTTGCCATGTGAAGTAAAAATGTGGTCTGTTTTAGCAATTCATTTATTTTGTAGTTTTTAATAGTGTTGGTCTACAATAGATTAGGAAAAACAAAACCAAACAAGAAACCAACCAACCTCCTCCAAATCTGGTTCTTTTCCTCCAAATACTCAGAGAAGCACAAGAATAGACTGTTTACACCCTGGAGAGTCTTGCACAGTCTGTTTCCAGCTCATGCACCATGAAGGCTGCTATGAGAGTAATAAACTGTGTTTCTTTCAAGGGAGGTGATGAAAATTGGAGAAGGTGGTGAGGATGCTTGATTGAAGTGAGTCCACAGCAGGCTTCACAGGGACTGTGGAGGCCTCTGCCAGGTGCATGTCCAGCCCCCTCAGCTTCTTTGTGGACATCCTGGGCCCTTCAGGGCTCTCTCGGGGTAAGGCGTGAGACCAGATCCTCACATAACTTCCAAGAGAACTGAAACCAGGACAGGGATGCAACACACTCAACTGTTCACTCTCCAGAACGATTTTCAGCATTTCAGGTGGAACTGAAATCTCTCGGACTCTGAGGCCTGCTCTCTTGTAACCTCTAACTTAAGTGCTAAAAGGTATACTAAATGCATTTTCAGTTTTGTTGCTATATTTGCAAGTGTCTGAAACTCTGCCTATAGTTCATAATTGTAGATAAAGAAGTAAAAAAAAGAAAGCATTTGTTCTGTTGAAGGTAAAATATGCCCACATGTCATATGCAAAATGACATTGATGTGAGAGCCATTTCCTCTCATTTACATAAGACAAAGTTCCTTCCATGCCAAACTTCTCTAGAAACAATATCTGGAAAAGCACAGGTGAAGGAGAGGTATGACAGAAGAATCCCAAACTGGATACTGAACGCAGAACTTGTTGCCCTTGTCTAGCAAGTTCAGATTGCCATAAGGAAGTCACCATGAGTGGTAGGTTAAATGGCCATTGCTACATTAAACTTTCTCTTAATATCACTTCAAACATTTAAAAATATATATTAGAAGAAATGCTACCATTTTCAATTAATTCTATTTTACTGGTTTCTCTTTCTGTTAATATAAATATGCATAGCTCTTTTCTTCAAATACAAAGCTGTTGGAAATTTCTAGGAACTAATTATCAAGAGGAAGAAGAATATTAACAATATACCTTGAAGTTTGTATTTCTTTTAGTCATAGCATTTTTAGATATTCATTTAAACATGAAAAATATTGGAACAATCTTGTTTTACCAACAAAACAACAGATTCCTAGATATAATTTTTATTTAGTCAGGCTTCTCATTTTTTTCAGTCCTCAATTCTTTTTTCTTCTATTGTCTAAAGGACATCTTACCATGCTGCATCCCTGTTGTCTTCAGTAAGGATGGCACCAAGTTCAAGAGACTGAAGAAGAGACCTGGAGCCAGTGAATGAGACATAGAGTTTACTGAGGGGACTTACATACAGGGCAGTCCACTGGTAGGAGGCTGGACAGCAGAAGTGCTACCATTTATAAAAAGCATGCAGTTTATACAGACTAGGTGAGTCTGCATGCTCAGGGTATGCTTAAATTAAGTTATTCCTGTCAGGTTTGTCTACCGTACCCTCCTCCCCAGCAGACCCTGGAATGCCGCTCACATTCTCACCGTGTCATTCCTCCACGATTTCCCTGGGCCAGGTATGGGGGGGAACATTGCAGCCAGATCTCATAGCAGCAACACAAATTACAACAAAACAGAATAACAAATACAATAACAGTCATAACGTTTTCCCAAGTGCTTGGGAGTTGACCTTACATGCTCAGTGGCAGGCCTACGGTGGAGAGGACAGCTCTTCGCACACCCAACAGTCTGGATGTTTTCTGGAGAGATGCCACCATCTGCACCCAGTTGGCAAAGAGGTTTGCTGCACACCATCCAACAAGATGACACCCAGGTATTTGATTGATAAGCCTGGCCCCTGGACTTTGTGTTGACCACCC
Source organism: Homo sapiens (assembly GCF_000001405.40). Lineage (NCBI taxonomy): Eukaryota > Metazoa > Chordata > Mammalia > Primates > Hominidae > Homo > Homo sapiens. Next base: position 9,750,238 of record NC_000021.9, read on the forward strand.
ATCCTCTGTTCTCCAAGTGAGACAGCAAGGTGATTGTTGCAGTTTGTAAGCTGGAAAAACACTCGAAGTTAATGGAAAACATGTACCCTCCCCCTCTGGGATGATATTTCCAGGGGAAGATGGTAAAGGCCCGTTGTTCTTATGTTTGAGGGAGCGAAAATATTTTGCATATTACCAAGTGACTAGTGTCACACCCAGTGGGTCACCCTGCTGGCCCTTTGGTTGCCCCCTTTCCTTTGGCGCCCTTGACTTTCATCCTTGTAGCATGTACCCCTTGCCCATGCAGTTTCTTCATGTCTCCTAAGTCAGTGGCTGCTCGGGCCACTGGAGACACTGGCTGTCCTGCCTAAGGGTTCAGGAGAGACACTAGCACTCCATACCACTGACTGGATGCTGGCTCTAATCTTTCATGCTGCCAGTGAACAAAAGCTGATTTTTGGAAACTAGATAGTGCTCAGCGTAGATAGCATGCTTCCTTCTTAATTCCCAGAGGATGTCTGGCACTTTCGTCAGTCTGGCGTTGCAGAGGAGATGTGGGGATGTCTGCTCAGCATAGACAGTATACTTCATTCTTAATTCCCAGAGGATGTCTGGCATTTTCGTCGTAGGCTGGCATTGCAGAGGAGACGGGGTGGGGGTGGTGTCTCACTCATTTGGCCAGTTCCCCTTGCAGCCACAACCACCCAGCTACCATAGGTATGGCTCAATCCTCATTACTGGAGCTGCAGCGGTGCTGCCTCAGGACCGGGTGGCTTGTGGTGGACACCATTCCACTCACCTCAAATGCAGAGATACAGCACCTCATGTCCCCTAGTGGTAGAAGCCACCCGTGATCAGCTCTCCCCCTTCCTCCTGAAACTATTTCCCAGCTCCACCAGTTCCACAGTGGTGCCACCCTGCGCTGTGTCATGCTGCCATCTTTCAGGCAGGGGAGACAGTTCCACAGTGGTGCTGCCTTGTGCTGTGTCATGCTGCCATCTTTCAGGCAGGGGAGAGAGTTCCATAGTGGTGCCGCCCTGTGCTGTGTCGTGCTGCCATCTTTCAGGCAGGGGAGAGTTTTGTGGGTCTACTCCCTGAGGGAGTGATTGGCCTGCCTTTATCTTGGTGGTGACCACTAGATGTGCATCGGGGGCTGGGAATCTCTATGGACTTATCTCAGTCCTTGTCCTCACTCTCCTCCCAGCGGGGCTCTCCATGGGGCCCTAGGACTTAGGGCCCCAGGATGATTGGGTCATGATAGCCCTGACTAGTAGATGTGGCAGTCAGCGACCCTTCAAATGGGCTACCCAATGATCCAGGGTCTCCATTTTGCCACCCTGTTCTCACAGGCAGGACAGTAAGTCTCTGATGTTTCAACCTGAGATAATCTTGTATCTCTTTCTGGTCATAAATTGTCTTGTACTTGATGCACCTTTGCCTGTGCTGTGAGCTGAGCCTCAGTGTCTGTTTGGAGTGTAGTCAGGAGCAGCCGCCCGTTGTGGCTGCCAAAACTTGGGCATCTAACCTTGCTTAGATAGATATGCCCCCTGCCACAGCTCTTCCAGACCTCTCAGCATTTTCAGGGGGTTATCATACTCACTCATTTGGCCTCATCCATTAAGGATAGTGGCTATAAGGCCCACATAGACATGGACAGCCAGCCCAGGGTCTCTCCCGTGGATGTCCCCTTCCCTGATCATAGGCATGGACAGCTGGCCCAGGTTTTCCTCCGTGGATCTCCCTTTCCTGATCACAGGCATGGACAGCCAGCCCAGGGTCTCCCCCGCAGATCTCCCCTTCCCTGATCATAGGCATGGACAGCCGGCCCAGGGTCTCCCCCATGGATCTCCCATTCCCTGATCATAGGCATGGACAGCCAGCCCAAGGTCTCCCCCGCGGATCTCCCCTTCCCTGATCATAGGCATGGACAGCCGGCCCAGGGTCTCCCCCATGGATCTCCCATTCCCTGATCATAGGCATGGACAGCCAGCCCAGGGTCTCCCCCGCGGATTTCCCCTTCCCTGATCATAGGCATGGACAGCCGGCCCAGGGTCTCCCCCGTGGATCTCCCCTTCCCTGATGCTATCATCTTAGTATTCACGGGGTTTGCTCTGACTTACTGGCTTCCTCACCAGTTGTGCTGGATCCTTATTGGCTTTGGTAAGGATGGCACCAGGTTCAAGAGGCTGAAGAAAAGACCTGGAGCCAGTGAACAGGATACGGGGTTTATTAAGGAAACTTTCATACAGGGCCATTGAGCGGTGGCAGGCTGGACAGGAGGAGCACTGTCATTTGTCAAAAGCATGCAGTTTACACAGATCTGGTGCAGGTACATTCTCAGGCTTTGCTTAAGTGATTTCCACAGGTGCATCTGCTACACATATCTCCACTTCATCATAAAAGCAGAATTGTGTTCCCCTGTCCTTTTCCCAGCTTTTTCATATATGTAAGTCGTGACATAAAATGCAAACTCTGGTCATTTTTATCCTTTTTCTGCACTTTTCCACTTATGGCTGGCTTGTCTTCAAGTCTGTTTCTTCTTCTTTCTTATGTTCAGATATTTCCATTTACTTACTCTCTCATCAAAGTGCCCTAGAAATGGGGTCAGTAGTGGCTTCTGCACATAGCACTGAGGTTATCTTTCTAAATTCTTCCTCTGTACTATCCTCCATAACAGCACATTAGCTTCCATTTGGGTCAAATTAACCTCAACTTATGAACTTTAATACCCACCATCATTACATCCTCTTGTTTCATTAGGCACCATCTAAACCAAGTACTTTCGAAGTAATAAACATAAAAAGTTAAAAAACTTGGAACACAGTTTTTACTATGACTATTTCGATTTAGATTCTATTATTTATGCTCATGTGAATGCCTTCTAGTAAGTTTGGCCTTCTTGAATGCAGTCATAGCTTGCACACGTATGGAATTGCTGGGTCGTGTTTTATTTTGTGTGTGTTTTCCTTGCAGTTATCCAATGGGTCCTGAGAGAGTGTGTTGGAGTCTGAACTGCCATTCTCAGCAAGTGTCTGACCCTTAACCCTGAGCCAGGCAGAGTCCGGGGACTAAGGTTCCATGCAGGAATGGAGTGGGGTAGCCCATCTCATGGAGGAGGAGATGAGACATAGGCAACAAGATGTGGTTAAAGACGGACAGGGGGTCAGAAATCAAAGAAAAAGAGAAAATCAAGTATCATCATCTCTCAAGGGTCGGGGTACCAGAAAGAAAGCCAACTTGAAGCAATGAGTATTTATTGCCAGTTATAACTACAGATAGCTGAGTGGGGAGAGAAGCGTTGGAAGCAAAATAGAAGAAGAAACCCAGAAATGTCCAGGTGTGCGAAAACAAGTGCCGGCAGTCGCATTAAGAGTTTACTGGGGCCTTGACCGTGGTCAGGGAGAGAAATGGCATCAAGGCAGCTTAGAGACGCGCTGCTGGGAATTTCAGTTTGGCTTTCGTGGTAATATTAGTACCTGGATTTTAACGAATACGTGTGCACTTGGCACTGGGCTGATATTTATTCAAGGGCCTTAATTGATGCTAAGAAACATAATTTTAAAAACCACTGTTTTCTTTATATTTAATGATTTTAGTAGTAGTTATGATACCAGTAAAATATTAATGTTCATTCAGCTCTCCTTTGTGCTGGCATATCCAGGTTTTCATCCACTGTGGCTGACTGAAAAGCATGGCCATGCTATTTTGTAGCTTTCCTATCGGGACATGATCTATTTCTCCACCCCTTCACTCTGGGCTGAACTTGTGATTTGCGGTGACTAACAGAATGCGGTGAAAGACCCCCAAGAGGCCTTGCCTCTTCTGCCTTCACTTTCCTGGGACGTTGCTGCCTTCATGAGAGGAAGTCAATGATCCTCTTTGAGACTGAAAGACGACCTGGAAAGGAGGAGCTCTTGCGGTTCACCCAGCTGAGCTCAGCCTAATCCAACACAGCTGAACCCATGCAAGATCAGCAAAAGCACCTCTTGGCCCACCCAGAGAGCTGTGAGAAATGTAAGTCAGTCCGATTTGGGGTACCTTGTCTGGCAGTATTGAATAACTAATGAACCTTCAATTTTAACAAGCCTGCCCTTTGGCACACACACTCACCCGCACACTGATTCAAACAACAAACTATGCGAGGCCCAGGACGTGACCAGGTGGCATGTCAGTAAATACCTGTTTCCAGGCCCTTTACGAACTTTTCAATACTCACTAGAGCTGCACAAAAATTGTGCTATTGCTACATAAAGATTGGCTATGACCATTTTTTGTGGAGAGACAATTTCACATCTTGAAAAGATATAGTTTTTACCCAAATCTGGGATTCCACACCCAAGACATGGCTGCTCAGAAACAATTGCGCTGAAGAGATTGATTGCCTCTTGGTTGTTGTAGGCTCAGGGGAGGAAAGATCTGGGTTTGAATCACTGGCCCTACAATTAACAAGATGTGTGGCATGGGAAAAATGCCTGACTTTCTAAATCTTCATTGCACCTCTGTAAATGGAGGCAAATAACATTAATCAATTTAGGTTATTTTGAAATACATAGTAAAATCACTCAATCTAGTGCCTACCACATACCAATTTTCAAAAACTGTAGTTTTCCTCCCCTGGTACAGTGCTTCTGTAACTGTTGTACCATTACAATCTGCACCAAAAGCAATTGGAGTTTGTTTAAAATGTGGGTATCCAGGCCCACCACACAGTGGTCAGTTATATTACTTTTATCTCTTATAATCCATTTTTCTTGATTATATTATTTTAAAATATATGTGACACCAACTAGAATGGCTAAGATGGAAAATACAGACAGTATTAATTGTTGGCTAGGATGTGGAGCAGTTGGGACTCTCCTACTCTGCTCCTGGGGGTGTGCACTGCTGTATTTACTAAAGCTGGGCATAACTGAACCCAAGAATTCCAATCCTAGGCATATTCCCAATGGAAATGTGTGCATGTGATCACCAAAAGATAGATATTATTAAAATGTTTATAGCAGCACTCTTTGCAATAGCTCCCAACTGGAAACTACTAGGTGCCCATCAACAGCAGAGTGGACTTTTTTTGAAGCTGGGATACAATGCAGCAATGAGCATGAACAAACGACCACACACTGCAGCACAGGTGCATCTCACAAATGCCATGTTGTAGACAAGAAGCACATACAACAGTACATACTGTACAATTACATTGACTTAAGCTTAAGAAATGGTAAAACTGGTTGGGTGTGGTGGCTCATGCCTGTAATCCCAGCACTTTGGGAGGCCGAGGTGGGCAGATCACGAGGTCAGGAGCTCGAGACCAGCCTGGCCAACATAGTGAAACCCCGTCTCTACTAAAACTACAAGAAAATTAACCGAGTGTGGTGGTACGTGCCTGTAGTCCCAACTACTCGGGAGGCTGAGGTGGGAATTGCTTGAACTCGGGAGGCAGAGTTTGCAGTGAGCCGAGATCATGCCACTGAACTCCATCCTGTTGACAGAGTGAGACTCCATCTTAAAAAAAAAAAAAAGGAACTGGTAAAACAATACTATGGTCTTAGAGGCTCAGAGTAGTAGCTACCCCTGTTTGGGGTAGTGACGGGAAGGGCACCAGGAAGGTTTTGGGGGTGCAGTAATGCTCTCTGTTTCTTGATCCAGGTGCTGACTAGATGGCTGTGTTTGTTTTGTGCAAGTTTGTTGAGCTGTACCACTTATAATCCGTCCACATCTCTGGATGCATATTATACTAAGTAAAAAGTTTACGTTCATAAAATAAACCATGGGACATAAAGGATACGTTTTTGCAAACTTCCTTTATGTCTCTCTAAATTCTCCCCTGCGTTCCTCTCTTCAACATGAATGTTTGGAGAACTAAGAGAAAGAAACACAAACCCTGACTAACTTGAATTTAGTATTTTTTGACTTACAATAGGTTTATTGGGACGTACCCCATTGTAGGTCAAGGAGTATCTGGACTTACAATGGTTTACCTTAGGATATTTTGAGTTTATCATGGGTTTATCAAGGTATTAAATGCATTTTGATTTATGATATTTTAGACTTATGATTAGTTTATCAGGCTGTAACCCCACTGGAAGTCTAGGAGGACCTGCATTCTAATTTTAAAAATATGCAAGCCTGTTTACATATTTATTTTATATTTCTTCACCACATCTACAAAGCAGACCACAATTAGCTTTGTAAAAAAGGAGATATGGAATCTAAATGTTCCAGGACATAGTTGTGAGAGCTGCAAAGATGAGTCGATTGATTTTGTTCGGGGTCCTCCTTCTTGCTGATGCTGGCTGACCTTGTTTACTCAGCCTCCATCCTTGGGCCTGGTCAAAGAGTATTGCCGACTAGCCTGCCTCTTCCTCATCTATACTGTCATAAGACTATCTCTTTTTTGTCCAGGTACCCCTGTTGCAGTCTTAAAGGTTGTCTTTCAAAAGTTGAAAGACACAAAACTTGATGTGATCTGGCTGCTCTAACTTGATTCTGTGTTTTTGCAGAAAAACCCTCCCCACCATTCTCGTCTCCCGAAAAGCATTCATTAAGGGTTTGAACGGGATGGAAATAATTATTAATCTCACCTATTTGCTCAATGTGTTGCCCAGGCTGCAACTCAAGTCTATGAATGTCTCATCTGCCCATTCACAGCGATTCGAAAACGAGTTTTAAACAGTAGAACCATTAATTCGGTGACCTTTTAGGCACACAACACCAGCCACCTGGAATCTCTCTGTCAGTTCACAGTGTGTATTTATTTTTTTTTTCTTTTTGCTCACAAAGCAGAAAAGTTTGCATGAGCTGGCGGGAGTGAGTAGGGGTGAACGGAATCAACATTTGTTGAAGTGTTCATATGTGTTTTAATGACATTGTGTAAATTATTCTATGTAACCCTCACAGTATCCTGAAGGGAAGATAAAAGCATTTTCATTTTACAAATTAAAAGAATAACCTGTGAGGCAGGCTCACTGTGAGCGGTGACTGGCGTGCCTGAGTCTGTGGAGGGAGAGCACACTCCCAGGCATCAACTCACATGACGCAGATTTGATACTTGTGGATAGGCAGCAAGGAACAACAGGAGTTTGTGGGAGCTGCTTCCTCGAGACTCAGAAAGCTGCCGGGGTGGATGGAGCTTTGACTGTGTGTGCCCCCGTTGTGCTGTAGATGAGGGACCCTGAAAAGCAGCCCACCCTGGGTTTTACACCACGGGGGAACATGATGCAAGGAGCTCCAGAATTGAAGGACGTCCCGTTTCTAGGGGAGGGTGGGAACAGAGCCTGAGAATTCCAGCCTGCTCACCCTTATCTCAGAGTGTTGCATTCCCAGGACATCTTCCAAGGCCACCTGGAGAGCTGTCCTGCAGTGACACACCTCAGCTTACCCAGCGTAGAAGTGAGGGGCTCAGATTCAGCATCCGCAGCTATCCCCAAATGCCGTGATTATTATTCCACCATCCAAGGCTCACAGTGAGTTAACTGTTTTCTTTCTCCTGTCATTCAGGAGCCCAAGGGTGGTGGCTTCAGCACCCTAGGAAATGTGCCAGCAAGGTCTACAGTATCAGCAACTTTACCTCTCCCTCCCAAAGCTTTCTGGAGTGCTTAGTAGAAGACAGAGGACTCTAAAGTGTGAATGTGGAATGGAAATCGAGGCCACTGGGAACGGCTGCGTCGAAGAGTAACTTGGGAACGCATAGGGATTCACAGGATAGATATTGTCTGGATATCAGGGCGAAATGTTAATTAGGGATCAAAATGTCCTTTTAAATTAGCTATGTTGAAGAGAAAGGAGAAGACCAGGAAACAGAAGAAAGATATATGTTATGTGGTATTTTGGAATAAATATTTATAGAAAACAATGATCTGTTTGTTTAAAAACTACCGATCTAAAATGCTGCCCCGTCTCATCCCTTCTTCCTGCTTTATTTTCCTTCTCACTGTTTATTCCCTGACATGTTGTAAACTACACTTATTTATCTTGCAAATGTTTCCTACTAGAACGTAAGGCCCATGAGGGCGGACGTTTTGCCTCATTCTCTTTGGAACAGTGGACACACAGGGACTTACACAAATATCTGTTGAATGAATGAATGTACGCTTCACATTTGATGACTTACTAATGTAATGATGTCTGACCAATAGATAAATCTTTTTCCGTATTAACTGATTGGACATGTTCCTTGAAGCCATCACTGGGGGTCTGCTCTGAAGTTTATGGATCACTCAGGATGGTGGGCTCAGGGCTCAGGTGGGTCCTAGGTTGCCTTGTTAGTATCAGTCCAAGGTGTCTATCAGAGTTGCTACCAAAAAGACGATTTTCCAAGTCTTCAAAAATGAACTGTTAGGGAGGATTATGCTGGATATTTATATCAATTTCTGGACACTTTAAAGCTATGAAGACAGATATGAAAATAAAGGTTTTATTCATTTTAGGGGGCTGAGACAAAAATAGACAATTTGAGGAAAATATAAATGTATCCATAGAGGTCATTGTTAGCACCTTTCAAAAACTTGTTTTGGTCGCCTAAAAGCATAAAGAATCTACTGTATATGGTAAACCAGTATTCAGGGTCCAGCCAAGAAAACAGAAACAACACTAATTATTTTAGTACACAGAGATTTAAATGTGGGAAATTGACTAAATAGAATAAAAAGGGGGAACTGAGGTATTGCAGAGAGTGAAACTGCAGGGGCAGCCACCAGCTGTCTAGGGCTGAGGAACAAAGGAAAGAAGTTGGGGTTACTAGAATCCAGAAGCTGGAGGAGGGGTCCCCAGAGCTGGGGCTCAGTCCCCCAAGAAGGGGCACTGCCCAGCTTGTGCTCAGGCCTTTGAGAGGCTCATGGGGAGGGTGTCTCCGGGAGCACAAAAAGAAGCCAGGCATGGGAACTGATGTTATGGCTACTGACCGCTGCTGCCAGGGTGAAGGGCATTGCTGAGCAGCCTGGGTAGATGACAACGCCAGTAGGAACCGGTCCCTTCTCCCACCACCTGCCTCCCAGGCTCCCTCCGGTGCTCCTGACCCTGGCAGGACCAACCTGGATGCCGTTGACAAGGAGGGAAGCTTGTCAAGTCCTAATTTCAGCATCTGACCGTGACAAATTCAAAGCTGAGAAACAATAACCAAAGAACCAGAATATATGGTAATCCATTTGTAGCAACGTAACTATAGGTTCCTAAAAATCTTTAGGATGTAACTATCATAACTGAGGAACTAAGTCTTTTTGGGGACAAGTAGAATGGAGTGGAAAGATAAGATCAGAATGACAAAAATTCAAGGAAACATTAGCATAGGGAGTGTGTGGGATTATTTTTTTTAAATTTACATTTGGTAAAATAAAATGAAACAGGTTGTAAATTACAAATAATGGAGACCATATAATAACACATTTCTACATATTTATTTTTTTAAACTTTTTATTTGAGAACAATACTTACAGAAAAGTTGCAATGAAAATACAAAGAACACTTATACACTTTACCCAGATTCACTACGTGTGTTAATATTATACCAATTCTTTAATTATTTTTTCTCACACATATATTTATATGTATACTTATATACCTCTACACTTATTTGTATATGCATTTCTTTTTACATATTTGTATGTTTACAACATATAATATATACACATTCTCATATACTCGTATATAACCTGCTGTCTGAGATCTAATTCATCAAATGACCCAATAATATCTTTACTAGGATTTGTTTCCCTTCAGGACGGGCTCCAGTTAAGAGAGGATTGCAGTTAGCTGTCATGCCTCTTTAGTGTCCTTTATTCTGAAACTTTTTCACAGCATTTCTTCTTACTGTTATATTAACCTTGTGAACAATATAACCCTCCCTTTTTAGAAGATGATTCCTCATTTTGGATTTGTCTGCAGTTTTCCCGTGACCAGAAACAGGCTGTGTTCCTGAATGCGATAGTACCAACGTGACGCTGCGGTAGTACCGACATGATGCTGGGTTGTATTCAGGGCCTCGCAGCTGGGGACGCACAATGTCCCTCATCAGTGCTGCTGATGTTGTTAAGATGTCAACTTGGTGTCCAGTTTCTCCATGATAAAATTACGTGTTTTCTCTTGCAATCAATAATCTGTGGGAAATATCCTAAGTTCTGAAAACTATAAAAATATCCCATGCTTCATCAAGATTTCCCCTGAAATTTGGCATCCACTGATGCTTCTTACCTGAACTAAGGCTTACTGTGATGAGTGAAAAACCATGATTCTCTCACTCCCATCTTTTCTCCATGTTTAGCAGGTCAACACCTGGTGCTCCAGTGTGAGCAAGAGCCCCCCTCCTTCCTCCTACTTTCTGCATGTTTAGCAGGTCAACACCTGGTGCTCCAGTGTGAACAAGAGCCCCCCTCCTTCCTCCTACTTTCTCCATGTTTAGCAGGTCAACACCTGGTGCTCCAGTGTGAGCAAGAGCCCCCCTCCTTCCTCCTACTAAGGTATGTCTTCGTTTAATGCTCTTTATTATCCGTAAAAGCACATGGATTCTTAATTGTTCAATGGGTAATTTAGTATGTTTTTTAGTTCTCTTGGTGCTCAAACTGTCCCAAATTTAGCCAGCATAAGTCCCTTCAAATTTCTCCCCGTAGTTTTACAAAATGCCCCATCAATCCTTTGAACACTTCCTTAATATATGGCATAGAAAGGTATTCCAGGCTCGTCTTGCAGTTTTCCTGTCCCAGCCCTGGAATTGGCTATTTCTCTCAGAAGCCCTGGTTCCTTTTAGTGGGGAAGAGTATTGACGATCTGGGTCTCAGATGTGCTTACTGCTGTTGGGGTATCTTTGCTTATAGGTATAGTCAGAGAAGTGTCCCCCTCCTGCATTACTTCTACTCTGTTCTCTCTACCCTCCTAGATAACCAACTAGATTGTTTGCTGTTTTTTTAATCTTATGTTTCTTTTTGCAAAACTATACACCTGTGTGTTTTTATCTTACATATATTTTTCTTACATGAAGGTAGCATATGCTTTCATGCATTTTCCTTTTATCCTTTAATAATAGCTCTTGGAAACTGCTCTACTTCCTTTTGCAGAGATCAACCTCATTCATTTTTATAGTTTCGAAATACTCCATTGTGTGTATGTACTGTAGTTTATTCAGCCAATCGTCTATGCTTGGACACTTCAGTAATTCCAAACGATTGCAGTAAAAGTCATGCTACAAGTTACGCCCTCATGCATGTGTACTTTAGCGTGGTTGGAAGAGGTTTTTCCAGGGAATTTCCCAGAAGTGGGGTTGCTAGAATGAGGGTAAATGGAAATGCAATATTGCTTTCTAGCCAGGCACAATGGCTCATGCCTGTAATCCCACCACTTTGGAGGGCCAAGGCGGGCTAATCACTTGAGGTTAGGAGTTCGAGACCAACGTGGCCAACATGGTGAAACCCCGTCTCTACTAAAAATACAAAAAAATTTAGCCAGGCGCAGTGGCGGGCTCCTGTAATCCCAGTTAGTTACTCACAAGGCTGAGACAGCAGAATGGCTTGAATCCGAGAGGCAGAAGGGAGCTGAGATCGCGCCACTACACTCCAGCGCAGGCAACAAGAGCAAAACTCCATGTAAAAAAATAAAATACATATAATATATATATGTGTATATATGTGTATATATACACATGTATATATGTATATATGTATACATAAGTATATATGTATATGTGTTATATGCATATATGTGTGTTTATATGTATGTATATATGTATGTGTGTATATATGTATTTGTGTGTGTGTGTGTGTGTGTGTATGCTTTCCTTCATAGGGACTGTATCGTTTTGCATTCCCACCAAGAGTGCGTGAGTGGACTTTTCCCCCTACAGTTTCACTAGTTGTATGCACTGTCAAACGATTTTTTTGCTCATCTGATGGGTAAGAGCCTGTATCGCAGTGTAGCTTTAATGTTCAGTTATCTTATTATGAGGGAACTTGAAAAATCTTTCCATATACTTTCAGGTTCTTTTATATGTCTGGTTGTAAATTGCCTTTTCCTATCTTTTGTTCATTCATATAGAAGTGCTGTTCATTTCCCTCTATTTTTAAAAATATTTTTTAAAAGGAGGATTAACATTTCCTCCTTTTGGAATTTAGGTTACCAATGTTTTGTTATAGTTTATTTGTCTTTCAACTTTGCCCTGTACAACATTTTATTGTTAAATAATCAGTTACCAGTGCTTATCACATCTGGATTTGAGTAAGAGTCAGAAGATCTCCCCTAGACCCAGGTTAAGAGGTACAGAGTTTCTGTCTGGGATGATGATAAAGTTCTGGAAACAGGTAGTGGTGGCAGTTGTAAACACTGTGAATGTACTTAATGACACTGAATTGCACACTTAAAAATGATTAAAATGGTAAAGTTTATGTTATATGCATTTTTTAAAAGGTTAAATTCAACTTTTTTTGGTACTTGTATAATTTTGTTACATTTAGACCTTTGACACTTGGGATGATATTCTTTTGAATGGTGTAAGGAACTGATCTAATTATGTATTTTTCTAAATTATTATTCAGTTGCCTCAACTTTATTTAGTGAAAAGACCATCTTTGCTGCAGTAATTTGAGTACAACCATTAGAGTATATCAGATTTCCATTGGAGATGGATCTATTTCTTGATTCTCTATTCTATCCCATCCCATTGGCCTTTTCATACACTAATTCCACACTAATTTAGTTTTACAGGCTTTACAGTGTATTTTGATGAGGCAAAATCTAGTTTCTATTCAAAACATCTCCTTTTCTCCTATTTTTATTCTGAGTTTAATCAACAAAATTAAATACAGATATACTACATATATATAAATATTTATCTTTTTTCTGTTCTTATTTTTGTATTTATGGCTCACAGTGGCCTTTGTCTTTCCAAATGCTTCTTTGAGGATATTTAATTCACTTTGGAGTGTTGTGTTACAGATTTATTGTTTGTGTGCATGTATTTTTTAAATTGGGTAACAGCAAAAATGGTTTGCTTTACCTTAATTGTTTTAGGGTAGTTCCATTTGGGTGTGGTTTGTTTTTCCTCTTTGTATCCATTTTGCATGGATTTCAGTATGAACTTTTCTATTGGTTCTGCCCCCTGAATGCGCTGTTTTCTTATTGGACAATTGTGGAGAAGGATTAGTGCTTTTGTTTTGCTTTTGTCTCTGCAGGATACTCAGGTTTCACTTTTTTATTCTGTCCCTCAGGGCCTCCCTTCCCAGGGGTGCCCCTCTTTTCCTTATGTCTGACTCTCCCGTAGGTGAAACATGGGGCTTACCGCTTTTGGTCCTGCACATTTACAAGCCTCTTCCCTGCCTCCAGTCCCGTGAAGTATCTGTACCCTGCACCTCCTTCTGAGGTGAGATTGTCTGTGCTTTGTCTGAGTGCATCACTTCACTCTATTTTTTTTTTCATGGAATCTTGTGGCATTGGGTGGGCAGTGGGAGCTCCAGTGGAATTAAAGGTAATATGAAGATCACAGCCCTTGGTTTCTCAGTTATGTGGAGGGTGTGGATTACGAATATGGTTGCCCTTCTCGTGGATTTTATTATTTGTTCTTGGGAGGGATAGTGAAAATCAGGCTATTGCCACATTTTTTCCTGTTACAAATCCATAAGTTTGATTCACATTTACTTTTATTCTCAAGGTGACTTTATGATAATGATCAGAGGTTGTATGAGTGTTGAGGGAGCAGGAAGGGAAATTTGTGGACTATTACTGGGAAAGTTAACTCTCTGTAACCTCTTCCTCCGGCAGCACATGGATCTCACTCCCTAGGCTGGCTGGGGTGCAGTGTTGGAGTTTCACGCACATGCAGGGTCTTATACTCAAGATCCATAGAATCTAAGCACACAGCATTGCAAGGGGATCCCATGCTCCTGAACATGCTTTCTAGGTTCTTTCCAAGAAAGGACGCTAGTAACATCGTATTGGAACCTTTTCATATCTTTACAAACTTGTAGCAAATCAACCAAACTTTATTGGAAGGCCTATTGTTTCTGTACACATTCAAAGTAGTTCCTTAAAGTGTTTAGTGTTTTTTACCAGTTTATTTTCATGAATCTTTTTTTAAACACACGTCTTAAGGATCATACCGTGTTTTTTGATGCTGCAGTTTTCCGTCTATCTAATTAGAGGACTCTTTCCAATACTCTCCCTGGTTCTGCATTTCCTCAGCCGCCATGAGCACATTCTATTCTATGGTCATTGGATCGGCATTTTAAATCCTGTTTGGCAGAAAGAGAGTTTCATGTTTAGGTCCAAGATGTAATGGGTCTCTCTAAAGGACAGCATGACATTTCCTGCGTAAAACAACTAAAATCCAGAATTCACTTCCTGGTCAATATCGTGGGGACTACCTAAGCAGCATGTGAGCACACACACACACACACACACACACCACACACACAACAGAAAAGTGAGTGATAATCGATTTTAAGGACTAACTCTGGAGCCAGACTAACTGGGCTCTGATTACAGCTATGATTACAGCTCTGGTGGTAACTAGCTTTACGATCTTGGGCACATTATTTAACCTCTTGTCCCTCAGTTGCTTCATCTGTAAAACCGAGATAACAATTGCAATTATCTCATAAAATTATTGGAAGGAGTTAATGAATTAGTATCAGTAAAGTGATTGGAACAATTCCTGGCATATAATAAGCCCCACATATATGCTATATAAATGCTAGTTAAATGACTAGTTAAACACACAATGAAATGTAATAAAAGAAAATAAAATTAAAGATAATATATTACCAGTTGGGTAGATGGCAACAGAGAGAATGAAGACAGAGATGAATAATCAGAGATCTCTTCAACCTGGAGAGATATTCCATTATACGACATGGTGGCAACTTGAGTGGATTAATATGTATATGTGTGTATATATATATATATATATATATATATATATATATATATAATTCCCACATTTAAGAAAAAAAGGGATTAAAACAGAAATCTGTACCCATTCGAATTTTGCATAAAGAGAACCATGTTGAGAAGGAATTACTGTACTTTGGTGTGCTCATAAAATTACTATATATTTATAATGATTTTTAAAAATATGGACTTTAGATGACAATTTCTTAATATTGCACCTGTACAGAGACATTTGGAGAAACAAATTAAACCTTTATAGATAACCTTAAATATCTGAATATGTATAGAGTTGAATGATGGGACAATTGAGGGAAGGGGTAGACAGACATTAGGAAAAACAAATTAAACCTTTATAGATAACCTTAAATATCTGAATACATGTCTAGTTGAATGATGGGACAGTGGAGGAAAGGGTGTAGTGAGCATAGTTTGAATGATGGACAATGGAAGGAAGGGGTGTAGTGAGCATAGTCAGTTGGAATGATAGACAATGGAAGGAAGGGTGTAGTAAGCATAGTCAGTTTGAATGATGGACAATGATAGGAAGGCTGTAGCGAGCATAGTCAGTTTGAATGATAGACAATGGAAGGAAGGGTGTAGTGAGCATAGTCAGTTTGAATGATGGACAATGATAGGAAGGGTGTAGTGAGCATAGTCAGTTTGAATGATGGACAATGGAGGGAAGGGGTGTAGTGAGCATAGTTTGAATGATGGACAATGGAAGGAAGGGTGTAGTGAGCATAGTCAGTTTGGATGATGGACAATGGAAGGAAGGGTGTAGTGAGCATAGTCAGTTTGAATGATGGACAATGGAAGGAAGGGTGTAGTAAGCATAGTCAGTTTGCATTTGAAAGTGATGCTGAAGTCCTCGTCATTGGGATGCCAGGGGGTCTAGGTCACAGAACATACAGAAACGTTTGTGTGTAAGTGTTGTGTGCATTTGCACATTTTTCATGGGGAAAAGTCCATCTGATGATCAAAAAAGTGTGTGTCCCGGCAAAGGTGCAGAAATTATTATCATTTGATTTTCTGGTTAATAGTATGTTAAAGTATTTTAAAGACAATCGACTACTCATCATTTCAATAAGAGAAAATCTAAAAATTACCCATCTTGTATGAAACAAAGAGAAGAATCAGAGAAATTAAATATACACTTACTATTCCTTAAATGTTATTTTTCTTCCTTTTATTTCTCTTCTATATTCACTGTTGGGGCATTATATTGATTTTTGTTTTCTTTTTGTAATTTGGAAAGCAGCTATGTTCACTATTATATAAACAATGCTTGAGAGTTTTCTTATGTTGCTATTAAAGTTTGTGTTCAGGTAAATTACATTATCTAATGATTTCATTTCAAGGTAAAACACAAACAGTTTTATGTCTTAAAGAGGGCCTTGGTCTGATAGGAATGAGAACCACTCTGCCATGCCCTATGCGAACAATTCTAATTGGGTAAAATCTAATACTTTGCAAACTGTCCCAAGAGAGCTTACTGATTTTAGGGCAGAAGAAAAAGTTTCTATGTAGAACTCTATGTTTGAGAGGAGGAGAGGGGCTACAGCTAAGTATAGAGAAAAAACAACGTTCCATAATCAAGAAAGAAAAAGGTGGAATCTGAGTCTGTCTTTTTCGTCTTTACCGCTGTGTGTGTATGTTCTATACCATCATGTCTCATTTTTCTTTATGTCTTAAAGGGCAATGTGTGCACACAGCAGGCATATATGTGTTAATTGATTCATACTCCACACAATCCCCATTTCTCTTGTTCTTATCCCACCCACAATGGAGTTCAATAGAGCTAACAGTGGAAAAGATAATGAGTGGGTCTAAATTTAATCCCCTTTTGTTTAAGCTAATCTCCCTCTCTAATTAATGGCTGTTCATACCATTATTGCTCACGAATCTGGCGAAAGTTCTCTGCATCGGCGCAGGAAGCACTCTGTGAAATCATGTTGTCAAAGGGAACAGCATAGTCCAGTTCCCATTGCATCCTTGGTGACTTTTGGCCTAATGAAAAAGGTGTGTGGAACATGGAAACCAGAAGGAGCCCTCTGCTGTTAGTGCAGAGCTCCTGCTCCTGGGTTGCATTCTAGCTTTCGTCACACATTTTAAAATCCAAATGTAAGAATGATGTACCTTTGAAAAGACAGTGGGTTACAATGAGGGACTGAAGGAGTGGGCAGGGTCAAGTAGGGAGGGAAGAGAGAGAAGGCACAAGAGGAGCTGTGAGGAAATATCTCCCAGCCTCCACCCTCACCCTCCCTGAGCTTCCGCAGGGCTGAGGCTTCCTCTGCTGAGCTCGCGCCCTCACCCTCCCTGAGCTTCCGCTTCCGCAGAGCTGAGGCTTCCTCTGCTGAGCTTGTGCCCTCACCCTCTCCGAGCTTCCGCAGGGCTGAGGCTTTCTCTGCTGAGCTCGCGCCCTCGCCCTCCCTGAGCTTCGACAGGGCTGAGACTTCCTCTGCTGAGCTTGCGCCCTCACCCTCCCTGAGCTTCCGCTTCGGCAGGGCTGAGGCTTCCTCTGCTGAGCTTGCGCCCTCGCCCTACGTGAGCTTCCGCAGGGCTGAGGCTTCCTCTGCTAAGCTGGCGCCCTCGCCCTCCCTGACCTTCCGCTTCGGCAAGATTGAGGCTTCCTCTGCTCAGCTTGCGCCCTCCCCCTCCCGGAGTTTGGACAGGACTGACGCTTCCTCCGCTGAGCTTGCGCCCTCACCCTCCCTGAGCTTCCGCTTCCGCAGGGCTGAGGCTCCGTCTGCTGAGCTTGCACCCTCACCCTCCCTGAGCTTCCGCTTCCGCTTCCGCAGGACTGAGGCTTCCTCTGCTGAGCTTGTGCCTTCACCTTCCCTGAGCTTCCGCTTTGGCAGGGCTGAGGCTTCCTCTGGTGAGCTTGTGCCCTTACCCTCCGTGAGCTTCCGCAGGGCTGAGGGCTCCTCCGCGGGGCTGAGGGTTCCTCCGCTGAGCTTGCGCCTTCATCCTCCGTGAGCTTCCGCAGGGCTGAGAGTTCCTCTGCTGAGCTTGCGCCCTCACCCTCCCTGAGCTTCTGAAGGGCTGAGGCTTCCTCTGCTGAGCTCGCCCCCTCACCCTCCCTGAGCTTCCGCTTCCCCAGGGCTGCGGCTTCCTCTGCTGAGCTCGCACCCTCACCCTCCCTGAGCTTCCGCAGGGCTGAAGCCTCCTCTGCTGAGCTCGCGCCCTCACCCTCCCTGAGCTTCGGCGGGGCTGAGGCCACCTCTGCTGAGCTCGCGCCCTCATCCTCCCTGAGCTTCGGCGGGGCTGAGGCCTCCTCTGCTGAGCTCGCGCCCTCATCCTCCCTGAGCTTTGGCGGGGCTGAGGCTTCCTCTGCTGAGCTCGCGCCCTCACCCTCCCTGAGCTTCGGCGGGGCTGAGGGCCTCCTCTGCTGAGCTCGCGCCCTCACCCTCCCTGAGCTTCCGCAGGGTTGAGGCCTCCTCTGCTGAGCTCGCGCCCTCACCCTCCCTGAGCTTCGGGGGGGCTGAGGGCCTCTTCTGCTGAGCTCGCGCCCTCACCCTCCCTGAGCTTCCGCAGGGCTGAGGCTTCCTCTGCTGAGCTTGCGCACTTGGAGAAGCCCCCTCTGGGTGGTGATTTGTGTGCTGCAGTTCACTCCCACAGTTTGACACACACACGCACACACACACTCAAAGTCGGCAAAGGCACCAGCAGCAGTACATACATGCTTTCCTAATAGAATGCTGCTTTTAATAAACAGGCAACCTCTTACTCTTTTAGTTTTTGTGGACTTCATTGTTTAAAACTGTAAATAAACAAAGAACTCTGGATTCCTCATACATACTATTAAGTGTTAGTGTTTCCTTTACTGGAAGCCTTCAATGTATCAGAAACTGTGCAGGGTGATAGGGTACACAGAGGCCAAATCCAAGGCTACTGTCTTGCGGGAACTCTCAAGCCAGGTACTTAGAGACGGCTGTGTATTGCGGACCTCAGCCACGGAGGGCTGAATTTCACAGAAATCTTGGTATATATTTGTCACATGTGTTGCTTAATTAACATTTCCAAATAGTAATTTTAGTCACCTCTAGAATAATCTAATTATATGCACAGTCACGTGTCACTTAATGAAGGGAATACGTTCTGAGAAATGCATCCTTAGGTGATTTTGCCGTTGTGTGAACATCATAGAGTGCACTCATACAAACCCAGACGGCACAGCCTCCTCCACACCCGGGCCACATGGTACAGCCTGTTGCTCCCGGGATACACACCTGCCCAGCAGGGGACGCTACTGAACACTGCAGGCAGCTGGAACATAATGGTACGTATTTATGTATCTAAACATAATAAACAGAGAAAAGGTACAGTAAAAACATGGTATAAAAAGTGGAAAATGGTACACTTTTATAGGGCACTTACCACGAATGGAGCTAGCAGGACTGGAAGTTGCTGGGGTGAGTCTCTGAGTGAATGGCGAGTGGATGTGGAGGCCTGGGATGCTATTGTGCACCCCCTTATAAACACTAGACACTCATGCTACACTAAATTTATAAGAAATACTTTTTCTTCCTTCAATAATGATTAACCTTTGCTTACTGTAATGTCAAACTTTTTAATTACAAAAATGACTCGTAATTACACTTAGCTTAAAATGCAAACACATTGTACAGCTGTACAAAAATATTTTCTTTCTTTATATCTTTATTCTTTCAGCCTTTTTGTATTTAATTTTTTTTGACTCTGTAAACTAGCTCATCATAAACAAAGTCACAAACACCTACATTAGCCTAGGCCTACACAGGGTCGGGATCATCAATAGCACTGCCTTCCACCTCCACATCTTGTCCCACTGGAAGGTCTTCAGGGTGATAACATGCATGGACCTGTCACAGTGGATGTGAATATGCACCACTCATACTGTGGGTGAAAATGCTTTCCTAGGGCTATACACTAACCTTTACACTCAAATGCAGTAAGTTGTGTTAGCTGTATTGTTGAGCCCAGGGCTTGGGGACACGGTTACAAAGCACAGACACTTGTGGGTTTTGATCATATGCATCTGGAAAAATACAATCACTTATTTGGGTAGACAAGTATTATTTGTGTGTTTTCCTTTTATAAACACTTATCAAATGCCTACTCTTTGCTATTGTGTTGGTTTTGGTGATAGAAACCATATGGTCCCATCTTCAAAGAGTTTTCAGTCTAGGAGGGGAGGCAGCTTCACGAACAGTGATTGCCGCAGAATGTGGTCAGTGCATCGTCACGCATCCAGGCACAACCACGGCGTGATGCGGGGAGCGGGGAGCCATGAAGTCGGACAAAAGCATGGAAAGAAAGATCTTCGAAAAGGAGGGGGCCTGCAAAAGAACTGAAACATGAAGAGCCGTTGAAACAAAACTGACAGGCAATATGGTCAAGTTCCTGATGACCCAAATGATCACTCATTCAGGCAGTTTGGCTCACCAAGAACAGACCTGGGGGTGGCCTGGGAGCAGGTATCAGACTGCCACAGGTTAACATAGAGAAGCGAGGTGATGCTGGATGCAGTGGGTCACGCCTGTAATTCCAGCATGTTGGGAAGCCAAGGCAGGAGGATCACTTGAGGCCAGGAATTGCAGACCAGCCTGGGCAACACGGTGTGATGTCGTCACTCCAAAAAATAAATAAAAGATTAGCTGGATGTGGTGGTACGTGCCTGTGGTCCCACCTACTTGGGAGGCTGAGGTGGGAGGATCATTTCAGCCCAGGAGTCCCAGGCTGCAGTGAGCCATCATCACGCTACTGCACCCCAGCCTGGGCGGCAAAACAAGACCCCATACCTACAAAAAGAGAAAGAAAAAAGAGAAAAGTGAGGTCATGCAGTGCAGGGGCCTTCCTGCAATCCTAGATCTTGATGACTCCTGGTGCTTCTGTTGTCAGGACACTCATTAAAACTCACCCCATGAGCCTCTTTTTCTACCACCGTCACCCCCTGTGAGCTTCCTTTTATGCTACCATCTGCCACGATAAGCCTGTTTTTTCCACCATCACACCCATGAGCTTCTTGAGCTCAGGGACATGTCTCATTTGACTTGGCACCTATGTTTGCTATTACGATACTGTGTATTTATAAGGCACCACAATGTATGATTGTTACATCAATAAATGATCAGCAAACCTTGAAGATTTAATTGGGAAAAAAAATCAGCTTCTGTGGCAAGTCAAGAGCCCACAGGAGGCAGCTACTGGGGTCAGTGCTGTTGAGACTGCAAGGCCTGAGGAGCTGGAACCATGACAGATTGGAAACAGTACCTCCTCCTACCACAGGCTTTATTCACAAGTATAATTTATTTTTTCTGTGTAGGAGCTTGAGGGATTTCAGAGCATGATATCGAGTAAATGTATTTTACATGTTATTCCTTCCTTGGCATCATGGTTTGAGCCATTCAAATGTCTTCATAATCAAAAGCATAATAAATTATGACTAAAACGGTGTACCTGTGAAAACGTCCTTCGCACTCTCCCCAGTTGGAGGCTGTGCTTTTATGGTCGCAGACAGCAGGGTTGTTTGTGAGAACAGCAGGGCTCTGCAGCTGGAGCTGAGTCAGAAGACGCCTGGCCTGCACTGCGGAGGTGCGGAGACCACACAGGTCGGTGTGGCTCCATCGCAGCTAGAGGATTCTGGGACATAATATCCGCTCTGGACTGAATGTTTAAGTCCCTCCCAAATTCATGTTAAAACTCTAATCCCCAGGAAGACAGTATTAGGCGGCATGGCCTTTGGAAGGCGATTAGGCCAGGAAGGGCTTATTGCCCTTATAAAGGAGAGGGCTCCTGTCCCCTTCAGCCACAAGAGGCCACAGTGAGAAGGCACCATCCAGAAGCCAGGACAGTAGCCCTCACCAGATGCCAAATCTCCCCGCACCTTGACCTTGGACTCCTTCACCTCCACAACTGTGAGAAATAAATCCTTCATTGCTTATAAGCCACTCTGTCTATTGCATTCTGAGATAGAAATCCAAACAGACACAGACCATATTGGTCGTATAAAGTGGAATCCAGCTGGCCCCATTGTCTTGGTCCTGCAGGGGCAACCACATGCCTGCCTCAGAGGCATCCTCTTCTGAGACAAGGTAGCATAAATTGAGTCGGGAAGTGACCCACTCTTAGCTCCATCCTTTATTTCCTGGGTGATCTTGGAAAGCTGCATCTCTCTGGCCACTGGTTTCCTCTCCTGTAAAATGGGGATATTGGGAGTTCTTAGGGGATTAAGATATGCGACTGAAGCGGCTACATTGTCTGGGGTATATACCCTGGGGTTTCTTGTTGCGTGCCAGGAAAGTTTGGGACATGGACACACACGAGGAGCTTAGGAGTGGAGGTTTAAAAGGCAGAAGAGAAGAGAAAGAGAAAACAGCTCTCTCCAAAGAGAAAGGGGCCTTTGAGGGGACGGGTGGCTGATGCACCCAATTTTATCATCAGGTTTGAGGAGGCGGGGTCTGATTTCCTTAGGGCTCAGGGATTGGTTCCATCAGGTATGACATTTACATAGTGAGCGGGAAGGCTGGTCGCCCTACCCCAATCTTATTATGCAAATGGCCTTTCCAGTTGATCAGTGCCATTTTGTCTGCTCCTTACAGTACAAGTGGTTGACAAAGAGAAGGGAAGATGGAGCCCATCTTGAACATGTCTAGTCCCTAGTTCCTGCCAGTATTCACCATGCAAGCTCCCAGGTGGCTAGTCTATGTCTGCAGCTCAACTTTACAGGCTGCTCTTTGATAGAATATGATGTGGGGCTGCTTTTCATTGAAAACAAAGGCCTTACCAAGGACTCCCCTACCCTTTCTGTCTGCCTAAGTGATTTCTTCTTAACTCCTAGATCACTACGTAGCTAAAACAAATGATACCTGGAAACAGTTGACCAGTCGTTGTCATCTTTGGATGTCCCTACTAG
Source organism: Homo sapiens (assembly GCF_000001405.40). Lineage (NCBI taxonomy): Eukaryota > Metazoa > Chordata > Mammalia > Primates > Hominidae > Homo > Homo sapiens. The sequence continues at coordinate 9,772,973 of NC_000021.9, forward strand.
AAATGCACAGCGCTCTGCCCACCATATGATCTTTGTAGTTGTTCCCACCGGGCCTGAACCTCTCTCCCCATCGCCAGCCTGCCCTGCTGTCTGCATGGCTGACTCTCATTCATTCCCTCTCAAGCACTGCTTCCCAGAGAGTTTCTCAGCCGCCCTACCAAATGTGCAGTCCCTATCACATTACCCTTTTTATTTTCTCCACCACACTTCCCACCATCTACAATTATCTTGACTGAGCATTTGCTGGCCTGTCCATTGTCTCTCTACTCGTAGTAGAATAAAAGGTGATTGAAGGCAACAAACAGCCCATCTGTCATCCTCACTGCCATATTTCCAAGCCCTAGAAAAGTACCCGAACAAATGAAGCACTCCATAAATGCTTTTTGAATGAGTAAGTAAATGAACCCAAATGCATTTTTCTTACTAATCCTTTGAATTATTTTTACACATTTCCAATTACTTATTTCTCTTTTTCTCTACTTCCAAAGAAACCGCAGTGGATACTGTGCACGACTCAGAAGCTCCAGGCAAGGATAATAAACATGCCACATCTGTATCTGTGGATGTTCCTTCAGCCTGGGCAGAAAAGATACAGTCAGGAAGATACAGAGAAAGAAACAACAGTCCATATGTGTTTAATATTTATCAGTGTAGCAAATTTCTCCAGTAGAAAAAGAAAAGACAAAGTTAGTTTAATTGGATCCAGTTTCTTTAAGTACCTTTATTTTCCCTTGAAGAAAATAAAGGAGGAGAAGGGACTTAGCCAAATAATGATTTAAATTTATTCTAGTATTTCTGAGGGTGCCAAGTCAGGAGGTTGCTGAGGTTTCTTTCTCTTTCCTTTGCTGAGGTAAATTTCCAGCTCAGGCATATGGACTGACGTGGAAAAGCAATCAGTTATAAAGAAAAAATACATTTGGGGTCTGTCTCTGTTGGAAACATAATTGAAAGCATGAGTGTTGTGTGGTTTCTCTCAAACTTCAAAAGTGTGCTCAGGCACATGAAGGGGAATGCCATCTGTTTGTTGTTAGGGTCATGTTTTACTTTCCTGCTTACACTTTCAATATAGTCAAAGAGCTCAGCTTTTTATAAAGAAAATTACTACTTAGGTTTACATTAGTGGCAAATTTACTCATTTTCCCTTTTCCATTAGAAGAATGTTGTTAGATAATAGATTAGAACAATTTGGCAATTAATCACAGTCACCCACTCTTAGAAATTGCTCATTGGCCAAAATAATTAGTACAAACACTACTTAGAAAAGAAATGATCCATCTTTTGTAAACCTAAGAACATGTTGGCACATTTGCAATGCTTGATAACAATAGCTTTTGTGCTGCAATGTACAGGAGGTGCCTTGAAATTTATAGGCTGTTGGCTACCAGCACCCATCATCCACCTCAGCACCTGCAGGAGCCCTGATGGTCAATAGGAAGGCATAGAGGGAAAAATACTGAGCTTCGGAACTTGAACCTCAGACTCAGGGGCATGTAGAAACTAGTCCAAAGTAACACTATTGCTTAGTGGCAGAATCGAGCCTGGAATCCAGTTTTCCTGATTCCTGGCTCAGTGACCCCACGGCTGCACGTGAGGGTCCTGTGGAGTTAGTGTCCTCCCGTGCTAAAGTGACACGGCTTGCGTTAATCCATAGAAACGTTCCATGCTGATCCCACAGACATGTATTGAAGGCAGACTATGTTCTAGGCTGTGTTAGCGAAGCCTCCATATAGTCACAGTATTCATTTCCTAGCTTAATTGTTGTTTGACTATTTTCAAGGTATGTCAGGCCTAACCTACTAATTCCTCATTATCTGCAATCTTATTTAAATACACTGTGTCAATTGAGTGTTTGTGATATGAGCATCAATTTTGAGATAACAGGGATACAAAAGAAGAAGGATCCCTGCCTCTAAAGAGCTCGCCAACTTATTATGTGGAAATAATGGACCGAATGCCACTGATGCAAACGCACCTTCCCTCTAGGACGTGGCTCCTTTTTTCCTTTTTTAGTTGTTCTTTCACCACGTCAGCTCTTCTTTCCTGGTCTGCTTTGAAGTCTTCTTCTCTCCTCTTCCCTCTGCTGGTTCCTTTAGCCCTGGGCTTCCCTGGGGCTCAGTCCAACGTTCCCTCTTCTATTCTCTCCCAGGGTCATCTCATCCAGTCGTACGGCTTCTATTATCATCCATAGCAGAAATTATGAACCCAGAGTCCATGGATAAACTTTTGGGCCTGTGAGTTCCTTGAAATTATATGCAAATTTGGTGTATATGGTCATAGCTTCTGCCAGCTTGGCAGAGGGGACCTAGACTCCACAGCTCTACTGAAGTGGGTGATGCCCAGGACTGCATGTTCCTGAGTGTCAGGGGCCAGCTCTGACTGGCCCTGGGCACCGTGGCTTGGAGATCTCACAGCTGCATGAAGCTTAAAGCAATCTTATCTAATTGCAGTTCCCCATCCCCTGCCCGCATCTCTACCTTCCGCTTTTGTGTCCCTGTCATAGTAAGTAGCATCATCACCAGGTTGTCCAACTAGAAACCAGGGACTTTCCAGACTCTTCTCTCTCCCTCATTCCATACAGCCATCTCATGTGCTATGGGCTCTTTCTCCAAAACCTCTCAAATCTATTCCCTCACCTCCATTTCCCCTGCCCGGCCCTCTCAGCTCTCCTCAGCCTTTACTGGACACAGCAGCCTCCTGGCTGGTCTTTCCTCAGTCTCACTCCCATCTCTTCTCTCTATGGAGGCAACTGAGCATGCGTTTTCTTTTTCCTTTCTTTCTTTCTTTCTTTCTTTCTTTCTTTCTTTCTTTCTTTTTTTTTTTGAAACAGAGTCTCGCTCTGTCACCAGGTTGGGATGCAGTGGTCTGATCTCGACTCCCTGCAATCTCTGACTTCCTGGTTCAAGTGATTCTCCTGCCCCAGCCTCCTGAGTAGCTGGGATTACAGGCACCCACCATCATGCCCAACTAATTTTTGTATTTTTAGTAGAGAAAGGGTTTCACCATATTGGCCAGGATGGTCTCAATCTCCTGACCTTGTGATCTGCCCACTTTGGCCTCCCAAAGTGCTGGGATTACAGGAATGAGACACCTCGCCCGGCCCCGAGTGTGCATTTTCTAACATAAAATCTGATCATATCAACTGGGCGCGGTGGCGGACGCCTGTAATCCCAGCACTTTCAGAGGCTGAGGTAGGCGGATCACTTGAGGTCAGGAGTTCAAGACCAGCCTGGCAAACATGGTGAAACCCTGTCTCTACTACAAATACAAAAATTAGCCAGACATGTTGGTGGGTGCCTGTAGTCCCAGCTACTCAGGAGACTGAGGCAGGAGAATCACTTGAACTCCGAAGCAGAGGTTGCAGTGAGCTGAGATTGTACCACTGCACTCCAGCCTGGGTGACATACCGAGACTCTGTCTCAAAAATAAATGAATAAATGAATAAATATCTGATCCCATCATTGCCTGGCTCAGAAGCCATTCCAGCGTACTCCAGAGATGAAAACCACAAGGATTGCATAGCCTTCCGTAAATTGTTTCACACTCTGTCCCCAAGATCGTGACACTCACTGTAACCTATCACTTAGCTTCTCAAACATGCCATACTCCCTCCCATATCATGTCCTTGAAATATGCTTCTCTCCTATGCTACCAACCTCCCCTTCCTCGTCCAGCCCTCCCCACAGCACCCCCAGCCCCCACTTCTTTCATTCATCAGCTAACTGCTCCTCATTCTTCAGTTTCTACTTCTCCCTGAGGGAAGATCTGATTTCCTCAAGGAGGGAAGATGTCCCTGCTGTTGGTTCCTCCATAGCAACTCCTCTTTTGTAATATCTGGAATTCACTACCTTGTGGTGATGTGGTTGTGCCTCTTCCTCCAACAAACATCCACGCACTGAGGGCAGGGCTCACATCTAGATGCTTGCTTTCGTATTCCTAGGATCTAGAATAAGGCTCAGTACTCAGTAGGTGCTGTGCAAATACTTAGTGAGGAGTCAAGAGCCCATGTGCATGGGACAGATAGTGAAGCACAGTTAGAGATTTGAAAGGAAGTCACACCGTTGGTTACAGCTGTCATCCAGCAAGTAGGGCTTAAGCTTGTTCAGAAAAACAGATAGGGTGTGGCTTAGGCAGGATAAGAAAGCATAAAAAACAAAAGATGGAAAAACATTTTGGGAAAAGTGAGCTAATTAAAGATATGATCAGTGAATAGAGGAGCCACAAGTTTTAAGCAAAGCAGACCATTTCCTACACATAAAATTAACAGTAGAAAAATTAAAAAATAATTTATTGCTCACATTTTTGGCTTTAAAGGCCATATAGTTAAGTTGTTGCAACTACTTCACTCTGCTTTTGTGTTGTGAAAGCAGCCACAGACAAACACATAATTGAATAGATGTGGCTGGGCTCTAAGAAAACTTTACTTCTAAAAACAGACATGGAGTCTGCCGTTTCTTTAGAAATTCTTTAATTCCTTGCTTTTACAGGCTAGGCATTAATAAGGTAGAGATGGCAGTTGTCTGGAAACTTTTTCTAAAAGCATTTATGAGTTATAATTTAATGGCAATGTTATCTCTATTAGTTGATCTATTATAATTTAATGGCAATGCTATCTCTATTAGTTGATCTGTGCTCTATCGGTTTGTCTATCTACTGAATACATACTCCATTTATTTCTAAAACTTGATTTGAGATGCTGTTATATAATGATTACAAATTGTACTATTGATATTTACAAATAATCATTAATTTACTCTGAATAGTCTTAAAAACTAGAAAATATCAATCTAAATGACAAATTTTCATCATTTTGGTCATTAAAATATACAGTAAGAGATTCCTTGATGAAACCCACCATAGACAAGGGAGAGGACAAGGACAGGCTTTGCTCTCGGCTAAGCAAATGGGAACATGGAATTTTTCCCACTGATGGTAAGACAGAGCCAGCAGAAGAGGCCAGAAGAGATGAGGTCCACAGTGCAAAAACATGGGCTTGAGAATGACATCAGCGACTGGCTCCAGACTTCAAATACAGGCAGGGGAAGAAAAAAACAGGCTTTTGGCTAACAGTTCAGCATCTATCCCAGCAAGAACACACACACAAAAAAAATTCTTCTAAAAGAGTAATACAAAATAGATAGGATCAGAGAAGACAGAGGGTGGAATGAGTTCGAACATGAGGAATTCACCAGTGGCCTGCTGAGGACCATGTGGATTTTAATGCCACTTCAGGAAAATAAAAATGAAATGTCCCACCATCTTAAAGGTTTGGGACTTCTAATAGAATAAGCATTTGATTAATGAAAAAACATGTACTATAAGGAACAAGGGATCATAAAAGGCTGGTTTTTAACAGCCTAAGTACTTTTTGCATCTTGAAGTCTTTTATCACCTTGTAAATCACCCCTGGAGAGAAATAACCGCAGTGACAAGGCAGACTTCCATTACCAGCCTGTCCACCTTGGCTCTAGATTCTCAAGTATATTGTCCTGGCTAGCACCCTGTGGTGTCGTGCCTTTATTATGGGGAAAGAAGGGCTGGGGCATTGTAGTGGACCTAGTTTTAGTAAATGTCTCTGGACAAATACGCCCCCTCCAAAGGCATTTTCCTTTCCTTCACTGTCTCTGTTCTGTTCTGCAGTCCAGCATGCCTCTGTGGGTGGAATTTAACAGCCAGGGTGTCAGCCTGCTAGGGCTCCGCATCTTGTGACTTACAATAACAAACGTTCTGTTCTCCCAGGTTGCTGTGCGGGCTGCCTGTGGTTGAGTTAGGACTCTTCCATGTGCCTTTCATATCCAGACCCAGATTGGAGAGCAGGCCCAGGGGCATGTTCCTCTCATGGCATGGAAGGCAAGCTGCACCTGATGAGCTCTTTGGGAGCCACTGGTTGGACACGGTGTACTGGAAGTCTGCTCATGTGTCATTGCCCAAAGCAAGTCAGAAGGCTAAGCTCAGAGTCAGTGAGGGAGGAGGTGCGTTCACCCATAGGTAATCTGAGTCAGGATGAGGAAGGCAGGATGAATTGGAGTCAGCCATTCCATTGACCACACCGAAGATTATGCTTGTAACTACAGAGCCTGAATACCTCATTGACAATCTCTCAGGTCAAAGTGAGCTGTTCTACTCCTGGAAGACATGTACTCACATGTGGTAAGTTTTACTAAAATGTCAGGAAAGAACCCCAACTTTAAAAATTTGAATCATTTAGATTTATAGCCTTCACCTCAAGCAAATTCTTGGTGAAATAGCTCTTGACTCTTGAGGTATAGTAAAGGAACTGTGCTCAGAAGCTTCTGCACATGGTCTCATGTAGTTCCCACAACAGCTGTGAAAGGTGGTCGTTACCCCATTTTCCATATGAAGGAACTAAAGTTTAGAGACCACGTTGTATAAAGGCCATCAAGCTAGGGAGTTGGAACTGGGATTTGAACCCAGGTCTGCCTGACTCTAAATGACTATGCTGTGTTAGAGGAATGTCTCAGGGCTTAGCATTAGTGAGAAACTGAAACCCAACATCGGCTTGTACATTTCAATCCCATGTTCACATCCTTTCATCACCAGTGCCACTTCAGAGACTGATCTTAGGGGAAATCTCTTTGATATTTACAAAAGCGTATTCATGTAAGGGTGCTCATGGTGGTGCTATTTGTAATGGAGAAAAATTTGAAATTATATAAAAGATTAAACCTAAGGATGCAATAAGTAATTTGATATATCTGTTAGGCAACTTTAGACTTGTTATTTATACAAATATTTGATGTCATTGGAAGTGATCACAGTACAAAGGAGAGACTCTAAAGCAGTGTGCACAGTATGACCTCACACTGGTAGAAAGAATACTCCAATATTAATAGAGAACAATTCTGTATAATATGCTTTTAGGTAACCCACTCCCATGCATACCAAAAGTTTATCAAGTTACATATATATGTAAAATATTGTACAGAAATAATATATATTTGTTAATATATACGTGTGTAATGTATTTATGTAAATATATATATATTTATTTATTTATTTATAAGTACAGGCTAAGACTTTGCCCTCTCACCAACCCACACACCCCCAAAACCAGCCTTTCAGCCAAACTCAAGCTGATAAAAATTTCATTGATCTGAGCCCTTGCGGCAAACTAACCTTTAGCAAAAATGCCTTCTCTAGGCTCCAATTTGAGATCCAGGGAAAACAGGTTTGGAAGAGTTAACGATCTTGGGGAAATTACCATTGCTGTAGAATGAAGATTATTACTTGTTCTTTCTTCATAGGCTAGACACACTATTTTTTAAAGCTAGTTGTTTATACTGTTTATAAAGAAATAAATATTCCTCATAGGAAATTTAGAAAACAAAAGTTTTTAATGATAAAAAGAATATATGATCTCATCCCATCTCTTAGACAATAACACTTTTTAATCTTTTTTAAGACAAGATGTAGCTCTGTTGCCCAGGCTAGAGTGCACTGGCATTATCATAGCTCACTGTAACCTCCAACTTTTGGGCTCAAGCAATCCTCCCTCCTCAGCCTCCCAAGTCACTAGGACTGCAGGTGCACACCACTGTACCAGGCTAAATTTTTTATTTTTTATTTCTTGTAGAGACGAGGGCTTACTATTACTATGTTGCCCAGGCTGGTCTTGAACTCCTGCATAAGGGATTCTTCCACCTCAGCCTCACAAATTGCTGGGGTTACAGGCATGAGCCACTGTGACCTGCCTCTAACATCTGAATTGACATCCTGCATGTAGAGATATGCACATATAGATGACAGCTGTACACCCATGCATATCTATATCCATGCATGCATGCACATGCTTTATCAGGCCTTCCACTCCTTAACAGCCTACAGATAGAAAACTTAGAGGAGCAGCAGGGACGTACTTTCATGTACTAAGCTACCTAGCATACAACTTTTAATGGTTTTTGATTTTAAATGGAAAGAATCTTTCAGCGGGAGACATCAAAGGGCCTAAGAAAAAAATGGTTTTGGTATTAAGTGGCTAGTATGCTTGTCAAAAAATGACAAGAAATAATTAAAACTAAACTGAAACAACCACCACCCCTACAAAATCCAGAACAATGCACCTCATTTAAATGTTTGTGAGGAAGTAGAATTGAGTATCTTTCTCACAAGTAAGTTCTTCTTGAGGCAGAACAGACAAGAAACAAGAACTAGAAGTATTTACAAATCTATGTCAGTGGTAGAAATTTCTCCAGCAGGAAAACAGAGCCTCAGGCTGTGTAATGAAAGTTGTACTGTGAGAGCTAACATTTATTTAGTGGATATTATGTAAAGTCAGCATTCCCCTATGCAAAGCATATTTTGGGGCCATGTTGTAAACAGCAATTTCTGCATTGAGTTGGCCAAATGTGTTCACTAAGGTGCCCACAAGCATTGGATTGCTCCAGATCGGGTGTTTCTTCTCCTATTGAAAGGCTGTTTCCTACCTTAATGTCATCTGTTGAGCTCTTTCTGTTTTATAAACGTATGGCTTATTGGATGATCCTAAAGTCATTGAGCCCTTATTATTGTAATTAAGATGGTAATATTAAGATTATTTTTACCTCAGGACTGAAATTACTTTCAATGAACAATTTAGGTCACTGTTACATAGACAAGAATTTAACTTAAAGAGTGAATAGGTAATAAATGATCTCTAGAATGCTTACAAATATCTACTAACTTTTTAATACAATGCTAAAGCCAAATAACAAGGCAAGGTGCTTCTGTAAGTGTTCTCGGGACCAACCCATTTACCAGTCTGAGTGCAGGCAACCACCATCTCATTTAAATCACAGAAGTTTAGGGAAAATCTTATCCAGTATTATGGGGCTGTACTAGTAAACTGCACACAAAGGAGGCCACACGAATTTGACAAAGATTTAGAGATGGGATTCTGACAGTCACGTTTTATATTAACCAGAAAAAGAGCCACCAAATTCAACCAGAGATGCAATTTTTTTGTTCTTTTCAACAAAGTTGAATAAAAGTTGTTGATCAAAGAGTGAAGAAATTTGAAGATAGAATTTGCCTTAATTTACAGATGAGCCACCAGAGGCTCAGAGGGATGAAGTGTTTTGTTGAAATTACACAGTGGGTGCCATTCCAATGACTTGTGACTCCACACATTGCCTTCTGATATTCATTAGGAAGTCATTTGAAGGAGGAATTCTAAACTTTTTGGAAACATCACTGCTCTCTACTCTTCACCCTTATTGGAAATGCTTTTATTTGGAGAACCTTCACCACCTTCATGGAAACCAAAATGAGGGTCTTCAGAGTTCATGTTCCATGTAGCATTAACCCTACCATGTGCTTCCCTTGCACAGGGAACTCCTCTGTAAGGAAATGGGGAAAAAGAAAAGTATTAAGAAACAATCATTATTCTCAAGGGAAAATGAGAGGCTCTGTTTCTCTTGCCTGAAGTAAAATCGGTGTTATTAGTAGCTGCATTCACAGTGTGAAGAATCACACAGAAAGCCAGTCATTTTGTTTGCTGATGGAGAATTCATGTGGTCCTGCTTCTGACTGATCGTGTCACAGATAATCAATGTGCTGTATCTCCAGCCACCTCACTCTCTGAACTTAAGGAAAATGAAAGTCATGGTTTCAGACCACTTCAGTTTCTTTTCATTTTTCCTGTCTTTGACAATGAAAAAGTGGGCAACTTTATAAAAAATGTCCTAAGTGAGTAGTTGAAATCACTGATTATTTTTCAGGTATCTAGTTTCATTCTCTCAGTAAAGAACACATGAGTGATAGGAATGTGACTCATATATAATTCCCTCTTTTTTCTGTTATGTAAACATTCCAAAAAGAGAAACATTAAAAATTGAACCCAGGGAAGATGCATCTATCATTATGAATCATGATTTCGTGGCAGTCACTGCAGGAGAGAACCTGTCTCTCTTATCCTGATGGTACTTGCGATAAAATACAAGAATATGTGGCACCACTGTCCTTGATAAATTGAGCACTAGAAAAGCCATGAATGTGAAATTATCTAGCACATGATAAATCTGCTGTAATAAATAAAAAACGAATAGTCAGAAGAAGTAGGAACTGCGTGAAGTAAACTTTGCTTCAAATGCTGCCTATCTAACTTTGGGCAGGAATCCTGGCTCTCTGAAGACTGTAGAATTGGGCTCTTTAGGTCATGATTACCACCACAGAAGCCCTTGCCTAAAAAGAAAACGTTATGGAGTCACAAGTTTCACCTTAAAAATGTGCCAAAGGGATGTGTCAGGATGAATGTGGAGTTGGTTGAAAATTCGTTATTACCTTCTCATTGTCAGGAGTGGCATGATCTTCCAGTTGACATCCTGGGAGGCTGTTAAACCTAGGCACAAGATGAATCTTTTAAACGTGCTCTCAATTTGCCTCTGCAAAACCTACTTTGGTCTTCAGGCAGAAATGAATGTCATATTTTAAAGTATGTCGAAAATTTCTAGAAAGCATCATCAGAAAGCCCTAATGCTCCCCTTCATCATTAAGCTTATCAACAAAGATCTAGTAAACACCCCAAAACTAGCAGGTCTCTAAATGCTGTTATGGCAACAAATGGAAAATTTAAATTTATTTAAAATAATTATAATAATTCTCAGATAAACCACAGGATTCAGAAGTCTGTTCATAATATTTTCCAGTTGTTGAGAATGTAACCCTCTTGTAGATTGAGTAAGAGTTAAATTAAGTGATAGCCCATCCTGTTCTAACAGGACCTCCAGCGCCTCCATAGGCCATAACTGGGCAGATCAATACTGAGGTGCTTCCCGCTCAGCTTGGGCTTTTCAAAGGTTGAGCTGGCAGGAATGGCTAAGCCCTCAGGGAAGGCACACCAGACACAGGAATGGGGTGTGGAAGGTCAGCAAAGAAGAAGGAGAAATAAAATGATTCTCTGATATTAAAGGTAAGCTGCTTATATTTGTTTAAAATCTTGACTGGGCACAGTTCCTCACACCTATAATCCCAGCACTTTGGGAGGGTGACACAGGCAGATCACCTGAGGTCAGGAGTTTGAGACCAGCCTGGCCAACATGGCAAAACCCCGTCTCTACTAAAAATACAAAAATTAGCCAGGCACGGTGGCGGGCACCTGTAATCCCAGCTACTTGGGAGGCTGAGGCAGGATAATCGCTTGAACCCAGGAGGCCGAGGTTGCAGTGAGCCGAGATTGTGCCACTGCACTCCAGCCTGGGAGACAGAGCCAGACTCTGTCTCAAACAAAAACAAAAACAAAAACAAGAAAATCTTTCTCTCCATCATGTTATTCAATATGTTTTTAAAAGCACCATTTCTTATAGCCTGATACATTTCAAATGGCCCCCCTCCCCCAGGGATCTCTGTTGCTCTCTCCTCATTTTCCATTGGCTTTGGTGTTTGTGATAAACCACAGCAGAAGTGAGTACATGGAATCATTTATTTGTAGCCCTTCTGCTCCCCCCTAATCCAAGCCTGCTGAATCCAAGCCTGTGGACCATTCTGTGGTCCTTGCTTCAGTGGCAAGATACAACAGTGTGGAAAATCTAGAAAAGTCTGGCTTCCTTGAGTTTATTATAAACATCAATGCTGTTAGGGAATCAGAAGAGGACTCCAGGAAGCAAAGAGAAGAAAAGGGTTCCTTCTCTCCCGTTTCCAAGACTGGAAGAGCCCCTCTGTGTGGAGCAGGGCACGCTAGTGTTAGGTAGGGGTTCCTAGAGAGGAAAGGCCTGCTTTTTGTCTATCAGCCACAGCTCTGGGTTGTCTGCAAATCCTGAGAAAGCTTTGTGAGATCTGAGAGCAGAGATGACCTCTGTCTGGAAAGAGTGGTGAGGAGGTGGAGGGAGAGGGCTGCAGAGAGCCTGGGCATAAATGCCATAGAAACAGTCATGAAGTCTCCCATAATGTTGGGTGGCACAGAAATGTAAGGCCAGATCCTGTGTCTCCATCTATGGTATAGAAGCAGTCAAGATATCCACCAACCAGAAAGAGAACACATGTACAGAAGTGTGTGACCATAGGTGGCATGTGTGTGTGTGTGGATGAGGGAACACCCCAAGAGGATGGCAGCATCTCATTGGATGCTGAAGTGAACAGATGACATCTAGGACCAGGTGCTCCCCCAAACCATGGTGCCCTGGAACTTAGATACAACTTCTAGAAAGGTAGGGAGGAAATACTGACATTGATTTTTCTTTATTCCAATAGAATCACAAGCTAACTATTTAAAAAAAATAAGAAACACAACTTATTCACATTAATTTCTGGACTGAGGCTTATATCCACAAATGCATTTTAACTTTAAAGAGCTTAATGAAGAGCTTACTTTCTTAGGGTCTAGTGACGTACATATCTGATTGCTCATGTGGGAGGCTGCATGGTGCATTGGAAAGACGTTAAGTCAGAGAAGCACAAGAAGACATTGAGTTCTGTTCTGCTACTTATCTTCTCTTAGTCTCAGGTTTTTCCTTTTTTTTTTTTTTTTTTTTTTTTGAGATGGAGTCTTGCTCTTTCACTGGGCTGGAGTGCTGTGACGTGATCTCGGCTCACTGCAACATCTGCCTCCCGGGTTCAAAAGATTCTCCTGCCTCAGCCTCCTGAGTAGCTGGGATGCCCAGCTAATTTTTGTGTTTTTAGGAAAGATGGGGTTTCACCACATTGGTCAGGCTGGTCTCGAACTCCTGACCTCATGATCCGCCCTCCTTGCCTCCCAAAGTGCTGGGATTACAGGTGTGAGCCACTGTGTCCTGCCATGGTCTCAGGTTTTTCACATGCAAATGAACAGTTTGGACCTGATAATCTCTGAGGACCCTTCCAGCTCTGACAATGTGATTCCTTGAGCTGAATTGTTGGTAGTGTTACCAACAGATGAGATGAGATGTTGGATACAAAGCACATAGCTCGAAGCTTGGCACTTATGTGGTCAAAAAAATACTAATTCCTGATATCCTCCCAGTGGTATTATCTAGTGAGCCTTCTTTCAAATTCAAAGGTTTTATTTCTCAGATATAATTTACGTGAAAGGCTGTGATTTTCTCCTTTCTCTGAGTTCCAAGTGCAGGTTTTGTTCTGAAGAAGTCACACAATGGACTGATTTGTCAGTGTATTTGTTTCCAAGGATTTCCCTTCTACAGTTCTTTTCATAAAAGTGGCACTGGTTGACCTGAATTCATGACCAGGCTGAGACAGGGCTTTCTGCAACCCTGTTGAGGCCAATCTCGCTGTCTGCTTCTATTGCATTCTTCAATAGGACACTTAGTCCATTGGGCCAGTGCACCATGCCAAAAGGAGTTACTAAATTGTTAAAGGGGGCCTCAGCGAGTTCACGTAGATAGAGGGAAATGCCAGGTCATCCCAGAGGCTGAGGGTCTATCGAAGTTAGTGCTTGAAGGTGCTGTTGCATTGGCAGTGCATCACATGATACAGGGTTTTCACGTCTGCTTTGAATACAACTGTTTCCTGCAGGGCTGCTAGTGTCCGAGCCTTGTCTTTTTCTGTTAGAAACCTTCAACAAACTACTCTCTAAGGGGACAGCGTTTCTAATAGGGGATACTTTTGACAGAGCTGGCTGAAGAAAGCAAATCGTGTGATGGCTGAGAGAGGATCCTATCACCCTTTATTGCACCATGCTCTTTATCTCTTCATTTACAACCACCTTCTCATTGGCCTCTTCATCACTGTATTTTGAACACATAACTAGTCTTTTACCCACATACAGCGTCCTGCACCTGCTGGGGCTGAGCTGCAGTATGTAGGGGCTCACAACGATGGTGTTTTGCTTTGCTTTTCAGACTCAAAATACCTCAGCCAGGAGCCGCAGCTGGTTTCTTTCAAAGTGGTTTGCAGATCCCCTGCATCCTAATATGCCTGGGGTGCCCAGTGAATGCAGGTTTTGAAGATCCCATTCCAGATCCCCTGATTCTCCAGATCCCCTGATTCAGAATCTCTGCACTTTCACCTAACACCTTGATGCTGGAGACACCACTCACACATTCCCTTCTACACCTCTGTCTCACTGCTAGGAGCCACCTCAGCTAACTCATGCATCTCTTTGTAGATGGCTCTTTTAGTTGTTTTCTTTGCCAGCAGAAGCTGGGATAGATTTTCTGAGAAGTTCACACGTCTTATTTCAGTAGGCTCATACCTCTAGCACACTGTGGTTTTACCATAAGCACTTAGACAATGGCCACGGATTTAACATAACCGAGCGTGCAGTTCTAGTTCTCATCATACATACGCTTCCACCAAAGTTGTAATCTGTGTAACCATAGCGTTTCTTGTGCTTTTTCACCTGTTACTTTCTATTACTTAACAGCCCAATGTGAGGAAATGATTGTCAATGAGTGCTGGGAGTACCACACTGTTGTACTTTTTGACAGAGTAGGCGGCTCTGGAACCTGTATCGGTCTGGCTGCCTGGTGCATTTGCTGGCCGAGCATTTCTGTTTTTGTTTTCTTTTTTTCTTTCTTTTTTGTTTCTGAGATGGAGTCTCACTCTGTGGCCCAGGCTGGAGTGCAGTGGCATGATCTCAGCTCACTGCAACCTCTGCCTCCCGGGTTCAACTTTTGTATGTTTAGTAGAGATGGAGTTTGACCATATTGGCCAGGCTGGTCTTGAACTCCTGACCTCAAATGATCCACATGCCTCGACGTCCCAAAGTGCTGGGATTACAGGCATGAGCCACCACACCTGGCCCTGGCCAGGCATTTCTTACTGATGATCTGAGTTGTTCCATCTTACTCTGTTCCCTCTTAGTATTTCCTAGTTACTAACATGCCCTGAGGCTGCATTTGGATCAATTTAATACCACTGTTGTTTCCAGTTGTCACCTCCCACCATATGGCAGTTACTCCAGTCTCCTGCTCTTGCTTATCCTTGAAATGCATCCCAGCCAGTTAGGCATCTCTGCTTCTGAGACAGGAGGCTGAGAATTCCACCATGTTCAAGGAAATGGCCCTTAGGCACTGTCTAAGGGGACCATATAGGCAGTCTGATAAAGTCACATCTAAGAAAAACATTTCAGAAAGCGTCAGCTAGCACACCTTTGATTATAGAGGAAGCCAATTATGCTCAAACACTAATGAATTCATTTTTAAGGATGTTATGATGCAGTTATGCATGTGCTTCTTTCCCAATGCATTAAGTAAAGGGAAACAGCTGTGACTGAGATGATCTTTGTAAATTTGAAGAGCTAGTGATCATAAATGATATTTTGAGATAACTAAAAATTATATTAATGTGAAAATATCTGTAATTTGTATTGGAACAATATCACATGTACGGTTAGTAGTATTGTGGGTTATGACTTACATTCATAATTGGAGGAAGTGCTATACATTTTAGTTAAAGATTATAGGAAATAAAGATTCATTCTTTCATTAAGTTCACGGTCCCCTCAACTGATTTCTAAGAACCCCTGATCTAGCTCAGTCTCCCAGTTCTACCTGGGAACAAAGACTCTGAGATATAAACTGGATGCCAGGATCACACTCCTGTTTGCCAGGTAGGATTGACTCTCGGATCCCTTCACCCATGCTTCTTTCTGCTGTGCTCCCCTGCTCCTGCTGCTGAATCATGAGATGGACTTTAGTGGTGATTGTGCTTCGTGATCCTATTATAGTTCCGATGTTTTTGTGTTACATTTGATCCCAGCAATTCTATACAATTCCTTTTCTCTGACGTGCTTTCATTCTGATTGAAGGTCAGTGCTGGGTGCATGCCATACTCCATTTCTCCTGGAATATGATGGCAAGTTCCCTAATAATTTTTTTCATTCTTATTGATCAAAGTACCATGCTCCTACTTATTTAGAGGGAAATAAAAAAAAATGATAGCAGGAAGCGTGTTTTTCTTTTGGGTAGTGTGGATCTGAAGATTGTATTACAAAATTTGATCAATATATGAAATATAGAGAAAAACCAGAAGCGATCAACCAAATTAACAGAGCCTTCTGAGGCAAGAGTCACTGGGAGACTATGGAAGAGCTAGAATACACTTCGCAGAATGGATTTCAGTCTCTCAGAGGCTCCAATTAGGAAAAGTATTTCCTGAAGCAGACTGGATTCTGTGGGATCAACCACATTTTATAGCACTCCAATTGTTTGCATTTGGAATTCTCCCAAACATTTCACCATTTTTGGAATATTTTTAGATTGGAGTCAAAGATACTATATTAATCTTCAGATCTTGTGTTGTTACTTAATTTTTCTTATATGTAATTTTATCTCCTTAACTAGGCTACCTGCATTTTGAGATTAGGAAACTAATAAGAAGTGTTGCATTTCTCTGCATCTTTCACAGCCTTTATAATGGTGTTTGGCTGCAAGTTTACGTACACAGTGCACTGCGGAAAGAGCCTTTGCTTTCCACCCACACACACAAGGAGCAAATCCCATCTTCACTTCCTATTTCTTGCCAGGTATTAATCCAGCTAGCTATGCCCCAGTTTCCTTACTAAGTAATACCTACTTATGCAGGTGCTTTAGTAGAATGATACAGAGCAGAAGGTGGTTAAGACAATACATGGCTCACAGCAGGGGTTTGAAGAGACAACTATTATTAATTAGGTTTCCATAAATATGTGTGATTTGGTGCTCTTACTAGCTAGTGTCCAGGGGGCCTCTCTTGTACATTTTTTTGTAGTAGTCTTAGAAAATTGGAGCTAAATAAGGTGAAAGCCTGCAGAGAGGTGCAGCACGGAGCATTCCCATACATTTTAGCGACTGTTTATTGTGGATGTGTCATGTCTATTTGCCTCCTTCCTCTTTCAAAGAATTGATGCCATCCAGCATTGGCGTGTTTTCTCTTCAGTTCTTAGAGCCCTGCTTACTAAGTCAGTGAAATTGTTTATATTGCTTTCAAAGGGCCAAGAAGTGAAACCATTTGAAAAGAGATAGGATTATGTTGGGGTTTTAGAAAGCTGACATGTAACACTAATTTTTTCCATCTCGCATTCACAATATATTGAGAGAGTACCCAGAAGACAGATAAATGGAGATCAAAATTTTAAAATATTTGTTATGTATTTTGAAAATTCTAATCATGCCAAAGAAGATGACTTTAGCTCTATGGTCTAATACTTCCCCTAGGTCTATGCTAAGGCTTCTCAAAGCAAAGAAGAGCAAAGCAAAACAAAACAAAGGAAAACAGAACAAAATTGGAGGTTGTCCCCCCGCACATGCAGACAGAGCTTGCCCTGAAAAGCCATCCTCACAGTGGATAAAAAAGCATCCTCTCTCCAGGCTCACACATTGAAGAGAACTCTCTCCAGGCTCACACATTGAAGAGAACTCTCTCCAGGCTCACACATTGAAGAGAACTCTCTCCAGGCTCACACATTTGAAAAGAGAGAGGGGATGGCATTCTGCTAATCATGTTGTTTCTTCTCCCACACTCAATAGTAAGATCAGTCTCTCTTCCCAGAAGAAGGAATTTTAAAAAGAGGCAGAGAAGTGCTAAGCATCTTCTAGCTGAGTGGTCCTCGATGTGTGGTCCCAGGCCAGCAGCATCACCTCAGCTGGGGATTCATCTGTGGCCTCATCCTGGATCTGTGACTGCTATGATGGTCCAGAGTCCAGGGATCTGAGTTCCACCAAGCCTTCTGGGCATTCTCCCTCAGTGGCCCTTAACCCAGGGTCCAGGGATCTGAGTTCCGCCAAGCCTTCTGGGCATTCTCGCTCTGTGGTCCTTAACCCAGGGCCCAAGGATCTGAGTTCCGCCAAGCCTTCTGGGCATTCTCGCTCTGTGGTCCTTAACCCTGGTTGCACATCAGCATTTCTTAAGAAGATTTTAAAATTATCCATGTTCGAGACCCACAGGCAGAAATAATTTATAAATTGAAATTCCTTAGGCTAAGGGCAAGGGATTCACACATTTTGCAAGTGCTTTGGATAATTCTCAGGTGCAGGCAGCGCCCAGGGCTACAGCATGGTCCAGCCCAGTCCATGGAAACAGGAGTCCTGGGCACAGTGCAATGGGCAGACGCTGGCGGTGACTTCAAACTCACAGTCCTGCCTCTGGGGTGTGTCCTTTCCTCCTGCCTCAGCACCTGGCCTTGAGAACATTATGAAGTCACCTGAGACACAATTAGATCTGGTGACAATGAACAGTGTGAGATGGTGAGTTTTTGAGGCACAGAAAGCTCAAATACCACTGACACCTCTAAACTTGTCAGTTAAAATGTGGACTGCATTGTTTCAAGCCGTCACAAAATCCAAAGTAGGCAGACATTACCTAATGTATTTTGAAGAGATAATTTCACATCCTTGAAAGGAATCCAGACTGAAGACTGCCTTCGTTGGCACCTGAGATGACCCCTCAGAGAGCCAGTGAAAATGTAGAAAAGACACAGAAGCCTTAAAGTTTTTACATAAGTTATACTTAAAAAAAAAAAAGATGGAAAGATAAGCTGTGTAGCCAAAGAGAAGAATGTTCTTTAGAAAGAGTGAATTACAAAAGGGACATGAACGCATGGGGTATTAAAGTAAGTGCTGACAATATTCTGATGACGGGAAAATTGAGACTAAGATTAGTGATATGGTTTGGCTCTGTGTCCCCATCCAAATCTCATCTTGAATTGTAGTTCCCACAATCCCCAGGTGTTGTGGAAGTGACCTGGTTGGAGGTAATTGAATCATGGGCGTTGTTACCCCCATGCTACTCTTCTTGTGACAGTGAGTACGTTTTCATGAGATCTGATGGTTTTGTAAGGGGCTTTTCCCCTTTTGCTCAGCACTTCCCCTTCCTGCCACCATGTGAAGAAGGAAGTGTTTGCTTCCCCTTTTGTCATGATAGTAAGTTTCCAGAATCCTCCCCAGTCCTGAGGAACTATGAGTCTATTAAATCTCTTTACTTTCTAAATTACCCTGTCTCTAGTACATGTTTATTAGCAGCATGAGAATGGACTAATACAACTAGTCTTGACTTTCTTGGGGCCCTGAATGAAAAGCAGCTTTGTATTTGTGCTTCCTCATAAAGTGCCCATTGACTGTAAAGAAAAGCATCATGGGCCACATGAAAAACTGCTTAATTTTTCAGACATGGGCAAACCTTTTCGTTTGCTCCAATTTTCAGAAGAGTAGGACACTAAAACATGATGAATACAACATCTAGACTTAATTCTATATTATGTGAAAAGTAGTAAAAAGAATGAAGGATAGAAAAAAAGAAGTGCTAAGGGCCAAAGAAATGGAAGAAAAGAGAAAAGGAGAGAGAAAAAAGAATAGAGCATGATAACAGATCAATAGAGAAAAACACAAAGACAGAAGAAGAGAAAAAGGAAGGTACAAGACAGATGTGGGAATTGGTATAAGAAGATGATGAGTAGTCAATATGAGGTGTTAGGAAATGGCCTCTTGGGTTGACTTGGTCCCTGGCCTTCAGTCCATTACAAATCCTCCCAACAGACATTGAAATGAATAACTCTTTGGCTTGTATTCAGAGATATTTCACTCTTCTTCATTTTTAGCTTTCAGAGATGCTGCACTGAAAGGGATGTCATAATAACCCCACAGAGTATAAATTACTCCATGAACTGCAGTGTCAGTGATGAGAGCAATATTAATTTCAGGTCCAAATGAAATCAAACAAAGGGTTAGGTCTACCTATGTACTGAAAGTTTCCTTGTCTGACTCCAAGACTCTGGTGTTGAAATTCATTGATCATTTGGAAAAGAGGCCTTCTGCAAATTCAATACACATCTGAAAAGCAAAAATGACATGGTATTCCTGCAGACTGCTGCCAGTAAAATGCTGAGTGAACACTGATAAAATTAATGTGCCTTCAAACTTGCACAGTGCACCTCTCACTGTCTTGGGGATCAGCCCAAAATAGGGGTTATTTTAGCAGCATGTCTGCTGGTTGTGGAACTTGAGTCATGGCTCCTTGCTAAGCCCCTGCCACTGGAGATTATTCCAGCAGCATGCTTTGGAGTGGCAGGTGGAATCCAACCCATTCATCATGCAGCTAGGCCCAATTTTCTTTTCTGATTTCCTTGGCCGACTTTGGGGATTCCTTAAGGAAACTGTGTGGCACTTGCTATACTTGGGAGATTATTAGAGGCCGATTATCAATCTAGGTATCTCAGAGAAATCTGATTTATGTACTTGAAATTTTCTATTTCCTGGATTTGGTGAAATAAGATCAAAGTGACAAGTCAGTCGGGAGATAACTTTTAAATCAGTGGTAATTTTTAGTGTTCCTGTGTTTACTTTATGACATTAGGTAAATAAATTCTAAACATCCTTAGTTTACCATTTGAATCCCCTGTCGTATACTGTGCTTCCAGTAATCACAGGGTCATGTACTGGCCTTGGGGTTGCCTACATAAATAACAGAGCCTGGGCAACCTGTTCACAGGTGTAGTTCTCGGGAGCAACACAGCCGTGATTTTTAACCAGAGATGTCTGTGTTCAAAGCTGGTACTTTAAAACAATTTACCAGCTGGGCATGGTGGCTCACTCCTGTAATCCCAGCACTTTGGGAGGCCGATGCAGGTGGATCGCAAGGTCAAGAGATCAAGACCATCCTGGCCAACATGGTAAAACCCCGTCTCTACTAAAAATACAAAAATTAGCTGGGCATGGTGGTGTTCACCTGTAGTCCCAGCTACTTGGGAGGTTGAGGCAGGAGAATCGCTTGAACCAGGAAGGTGGAGGTTGCAGTGAGCTGAGATCATGCCGCTACACTCCAGCCTGGTGGCAGAGCGAGACTCCATCTCAAAAAACAAAAAAAGAAAAAAAAAGCACTTTATCATTCTGTCTCTTTATATACACATTATATACTCTGGAAGTAGAATCTAGAGTCCATAAAAAAGATTACAAATAATAAATAAAATATTTAGAATAACGACTAACACACAGTGGCCATTCAGTATGTAATAGTTTTCCTTATAATAATTGTTATATCATATTTTTCACAATATAGATTGGGAAAAAGCTTCTGAGTGACTAAGTATATCACACAAAATCTATGGTACAATTTATGGGGCTATTTTAACTTATTCGCATTTCGAATACATGTTCTTATCTGGTTTCTAGGGCCACTTATTAGAAGCAGCAAATTAGGACAGAAAAGAGGGACTGTTACAGAAAAGGAGAGTGGTAAGTGTGAGAAATGGTGGCTAAAGGCTATTAGTGGTTTTGTGAAAACTACAAAATTATAACATTGGGAACATAAACTGAAACATTAAGAAAAACAGCCCACTGGAACCACTTCGTTTAGGAGTAAGATAAACACTAGTTCAATAATCCCTGAGGACAATTCAGTCCTAACCGTGTTCCTGGATCCACCATCTGCAACATTTCTTGTGGTGTGTTCTGCTGGTAACGAATTATTTCTTCATTTATATGTCTGGAAAACTCGATTTTACCTTGATCTTTGAAAGATATTTTCTCTGGTAGAGAATTTTAGGTTGACTTTTTTCCTTTCAATCCTGGAGAGATTTTGCTCCTCTGTCTCTTCCCTTCCCTTGTTTGAGATGAGAGATAGACGGCCATTCTTATCTTCATTCCTCTGTGTAGAATCTGACTAGGCAGGTGCTGTGGCTCACACCTGTAATCCCAATACTTTGGGAGGCTGAGGAGGGCAGATCACAAGGTCAGGAGCTCAAGACTAGCCTGTCCAACATGATGAAACCCCGTCTCTACTAAAAATACAAAAAAAAAAAAATCAGCTGGGCGTGGTGGCGGGTGCCTGTAGTGCTAGCTACTTGGGAGGCTGAGGCAGGAGAATTGCTTCAACCTGGGAGGCAGAGGTTGCGGTGAGAGGAGATTGCACCACTGCACTCCCATCTTGGCGACAGAGCAAGACTCCTGGAAAAAAAAAATAAAAAAAAAAAAAATATATATATATATATATATACATATATACATGACTTCCCCTCTCCCACATCTCCTGGCTTTCAGCGTCTTCTTTTTATTTCTGGTTTGAGCAATTTGGTTTTCACATGTCTTGGTGTCGTTTTCTTCTTGGTTCTTGTGCTTGGGGCTAAACTTCTGGGATCTGTGGGTTTAATACTTCTGCTTTTTCCATCTTTGAGGATTTTAATTCCATGTATATTGGACTACTGGGAGTAGTCTCACATTCTGTGATTAGCCCCACTAATGCTCTCAGTTTTTTTAACTATTATTTTTTCTATGTTACATTATGGAGTTTTTATTGCCACACTTTCAAATTTACAATTTTTTTCCTGCAATGTCTAATCTGCTGTAATTTCCACTTTGTGTATTTTTTGACCTCAGGAAACTGTAGTTTTCTTCCCTAAAAGTTCAGTTTGGGCCTTTTTAATCTCTCATGCCTCTACTTAACCTTTTGAAGATGTGGGATATAGCAATAATTGCTTTGTAAATGTTCGTTTTTGACCATTCTGGCATCTGTGTCAGCTCTGCTGTTGGCTTGCACTGTGTGGCCCCTGCAGACTTCAGGCTGGTTTCCTTTGTGCCCTTTCTCACAAAGCTCATGCATGGATTTCCAGCAGGTGTGTGAGTAAAACCCAAATCAGAGGTAATTCTGATTAGCTCTGGAATCCTGTTAATGGATAAACCTGTGTCCGTATCAAATGGAGGGAGAGAAAATTATTTGTGCCTTCAGGGTCATCTCCTGGTGTTACTGAAAAATACTTCCAGAGAGTCTATGGGCCACTGTGAACCGCTGTAGCTACGTCCACCCAACTCCACCATCATCAACTAGATAGTGAATCATTCTGTTCTTTTCCATGATACAAAATGCCTGATATGACCTGAGTTTTAGACATCGTCCCAACCTCCACGCATTTAGAATAATAGGTACAATATGTCTGTTAGTGCATGAATAAAGTCATATAAAATTGTGACTTTGCATTCAGGAAGAGTATTCATGGCGAATATTTAGTGCATGCCATCTGATACAGAGACACTAAGTTCCTCCAATATGTTTGCAATGCTTTGGGGGCAAGGATTATATCTTTATTCCCTTCTTTAGTTCAGTGGTTGGCAATAACATAGGTACAAAGCAAAAATGCGTTAGTGCATTATGGCCACACCGAGCAGCGTATTCACACTGGTAATGTTTATTGAAAGAAACATTAAATATCACACCTCGATATTATCAAGGAAACTAACTGGATACACTGTTTACAAGGCTCGATGAAAATGTGAGGTACCTTGTTCAAAAATTATTAAGAATTCTAAGACTTTGAAGTAGAGCATAAAACCAAGTGCCTGTCTCTGCAGCCACACTGATCGTGTAGCCGTGGAGCTGGCCTTGCCCAGAAATAATAGTTTACAACAAGCTACTGTACAGTTCAGAATAGTTAGAAGATAATCATTCAGGTGTTTCTAGCATAAGAAACAGACAAATATTTAAGGTGTTGGATACTCAATTACATTAGTTTCATTTTTACAAATTATATGAATGCATTAAATTATCACATGTACTACCAAAATATGTACATCCATTATGTATCAGTAGAAAATTAAAATTTTTATTAATGGAGAAAAAAATGAAGTCCCTGATTAAAAGTGCTAGAAATGAGAATTTAGACCTTAAAAACAGCTAAAAATTTAAAAGGAAAGTTTTGGCAACAAGCCAACCTCAGAAAGTATGAGACCCAAATTCAAAGAATGAACTATGCAAATTTCTGGCTCACAGCAAAATTGCACATGTGCAAGGGAGATCTATGAAGCCTAGTGAAAAAGCAGAAAGAAAAAATAATTAAAAACTGTAGAAAGTAAAACCCAATTTCAAGTACAAAAAACAAAACAAAACAAAACAATACCTCACAGATTTCTAAGTTGCTGAAGACAACGTAATATTTCCTCCCAAGACCAAGAAGAAGTTGATTTGAAAAGAGCAATTACTATACAGACTAGTGTTATATACCATTGGTCTAGTTAGATTTGCTGCGCTTAATGTTACTATTACGTAAAGTTAGTAGTTAGGGTCTCGGACTTTTAAAATAAAAAAAATGTAGGTACTATGATGGCAAATATTGGGGTTCATATTGCAGAACAGTTGAAGTCATATTTCACTGTTGATTGAATATGCCATGGATATGTGAGCATCTTGAGTTGGTTGCACGACTTTTATACTTCCATTCTGAATGCAAAAAATTAAAGCTTTATGCTTAAATTAAATAATGTGGCTAAGATTGTTAACACGAGCATATGAAACTCAGCTCCTTGAAATAGCCCACCTAAAAAGATGCTTGCTTTGGGGGAGCTGAATAATTTTCTGGGGACACATCTTTTCTTTGTTTGATTTGTTTGGTTCAAAAAAAAAGCATTCATATTATGGCTTGATATGCCATAAAATTTTGATTTAAAATCTCGAAAAGCCAGAGAAAGACTATCTACAAAACTGTCAAGATGCATTTTGGATTGTCTCCCTACTTCCATTTTCTTCAAAAGATTTAAATGCAATTTGGATTATAAAAATCACATTAAGATAGAAAGACTGTGGGATGCATTTCACCTGGGGTGCTTGTTAAAAAACGCAATTTCTGGGATTTCATTCCAGATCTACTCAATGAGACTCTGCAGGTGTGCCCCTAGAATCTGCATTTTTTATGCTTTCCAGATGTTTCTTATGCACAGTCAAGTTTGCAAACCACTGCTCTCGAGTTTTAATTGACATTAAGTAGAACTTTTAATGGATGCACCCCTAATTTCTGAATTATTAATGATTAATAGAATCTGCTTTTACTATACACTCACTAAAATACATAGCTGCTTGGGCTGAAATATACAGATGTGTTGCCTTGCTGAAAAGGGAAGGAAAATCAAAGCTCAGACTGAGTCATGTTTGAAGTTTAGCCATGAAATTTGATGGCTTTTAGCTGAATTAAATGGCAGGCAAAATGTGTGTCTGTTCTCCACCTCTCTCCTCTAACAGCGTTTCCCTGTCTTGAGCTAATCCTTATGCAGGGATGTCTTATCACTGCTCACTGAATATCTATAGAAAGACACGAGTTACAAAGTCAAGAGCTGCAGACGTCTCTAGGTTTCTCCTCGGAACAGTCAGTGACACAGAGCTGTGTCAGGCAGAGCCTGCTGCTGATTTAATTTGATCTTTCTAGGGAGGATTAAGAATATTGTCCTCAACCCAGTTAGAATGTTGCTGCTAAGTTTCAATGTGTCAGAGGCTTTTTCATTTTCCCAGAGCCAGTGCTGGCTGGCGTGGCGAGTGACAACATTGCAGCATTTGCAAAGTGACTACGTCGTAGCATTTGCATTATCTTCCTTGGTGTGCATATCTTTCAACCATGTCAGGGAAGCGGTTGGAAGGAAAAATCACAGAGCACATAAGAAGGACTTCTGGGCCTGCTCCGGAGGCTTGCAGAGGACATGCCCGAAGGGGTGCATGAAGCCTTCTGTCCCATACCTGTCCCTTGCCTCGATGGGATTCTGTACACCACAGGTTTCTGTCACCACTTTGCCTTGAAATTGGAGGCCTCAGTTATGAATTTTATAACAACATCCTCAAATAAGGCCTCACTTTGCAGTGGGTGCCTAACTTAAGGATGATTTTTAAATGACTGTGTCATGTTTGTAAAGACACTTTGTACTTATCGAAGTGCTTGCATATATACCATCTCATTTAATGCTTGCCAAGATTCTGTTAGGTATGCGAGGCAGGTACTGTTATCTTCACTTTATGAATGAGGAAAAGGCACACAGAAGCTAATAACAAGTGAAGTCAACACTGGGTCTGAAATTTGTAAACTCTGATATAAAAAAGAAATCGTATCTCTGGAAAGAAAACTGTTGCAATCTATACACCTGCTTTCCAAAACATGTGTGGCTCTTCAGTAGCTATTTTGCTGCCTTCTACCTACTCCGGTGTGCTGTTGGCTATGTCCAGTGCTGAGGACTGGGGAGGAGGCTTTTCTTCCCGCTTTAGGATCATGGTGATGTCCTTGCTGACGACTGGGGAGGAGGTTTTTCCTCCCACTTTAGGATCATGGTGATGTCCTTCCAGAATTTGAACTGTGCTTTGGTCCTGAGCATGTCCTGGGGTGCAACATTCATTGTTCTCATTTGTTAGAGAATACAAGATCAGAATTTAAATAGTCACTGTTTTCCAAGATGCAAAGTGATACGCTCTTGGTGTTTTAAAATCCTATCTGTTGATCTGATTGGCTGGTATTCCAGTCTTCCCTGTTTATTGCTCTGTGACTGGTGGGATTTGCCAATAGGTCCAAGTACTTTCTCTTTCCAGAAGCATACCATAATATTGGTGTAGGATTTGTGGCCGGAACTTACTGGGCATCACCCCAGTTACTGTCCTAATACCTCATATTGTGTCAGAAGCTGACAATAGGAGTTGAAAATGCCATAATATGAATCTGTTCTCATAGTGAAGGTCGTAATGAGAACGGGAAAAGCTGCAGACCGAACCAGTTCTCATTATGTTCTGAAGCCACATTTCCTCCCCACAACATGAATTGTATGGTCCAGGCTCTTTAATCAAGAAATGTTCCATTTGAAAGCATTCCTCATCCCACAGAAAACACAAATTTCACTTTGGAGCACATATCTAGTAGGAGAATTTGTTTTCTCATTCAATTAACCAGATTGAAAATGTAAGAACACTATTATGGAAGCTTCAATGTCAATGTGTGTGTGTATGATGATTGTTGCTAATTAAAAATAAGCTGATTTAGGACATTTGAAGCAAAGAAGCACTCACATTCCCTTATCTCAGCATTTAAACAGTGCCTGGACTCTGTGCCCTCTGCCCACATTATCTGGCTGTGCGTGGCATAGCTTCTGGCTGCAATAGTGGGAAAGAATTTAGCAGATGTTCAAAAACAAATACATTGTTAGCTTATATTGTTGTTGTTGTTAAGGCTGCTTCACGTATTTTAAATTTTTCTTTTCCTTCTGGGAGAGGAGTTACTACTATTAACAATTCTGCACATTGCTTGAGGCAATGATAAACCATATTACCCTATTTATTTTACTCTCATTGCTATTTGAGAAAATGGTGGGCCATATATGCTTGTAGATTAGCTGGTGTCTTTTTGAAGCTACTGGCAAGGCTATGTTTAAAGTTTCAGTTCTAATAAAAATGTGTTTAAAGCAACCAATGGCACCGTACAGGGAATGGCAGAGGAAAGGTCATTCTGTGTGTCCTGCAGCCTCAGAAGTGGGATCTTCCCCACACTTTTCTGTGAAGACAATGCAATTCAGAGCAGAGACATCTTCAAAGCTGCTTTGCACATGATGGTAATGAAGGATTGCAATGTGAGATCACTGGGATTCCCAATACCACAAACACTGGTGTTATGAAAGGATGCTTAGTCCCAGCATGCCTAAGAAAAATAAATCTGATTCCTAGTCTTGGAAATCCCATCTC
The DNA here is from genome assembly GCF_000001405.40 of Homo sapiens. Taxonomy (NCBI): domain Eukaryota; kingdom Metazoa; phylum Chordata; class Mammalia; order Primates; family Hominidae; genus Homo; species Homo sapiens. Next base: position 9,800,279 of record NC_000021.9, read on the forward strand.
ATGCATGATGCCATGTTTCCAAAACTGGAACATTTCTACTGACTTATTTCCATGACTTCCTTTGCTCCAGCCACTGAACACTCACTCCCGGTGTGTCCTTACTAAAATGTTAGTTAATGTGTTATCTGTTCATGATAGTGCAGCTGTCTGCATAACTTCTGTGTATTTGTTTATTTATTTAATTTATTTTTTTGAGATGGATTCTTGCTCTGTTGTCCAGGCTGAAGTGAATTGGCGCGATCTCGGCTCACTGCAACCTCCACCTCCTGGGTTCAAACGATTCTCATGTCAGCCTCCCGAGTAGCTGGGATTACAGGCACACACCACCATGCCCAGCTATTTTTTGTATTTTTAGTAGAGACAGGGTTTCACCGTGTTGGCCAGGCTGGTCTTGAGCTCCTGACCTCAAGTGATCTGCCTGCCTCTGCCTCCCAATGTGCTGGGATTACATGGGTGAGCTGCCACTCCTGGCCAACTTCTGTGTATTTATTGAGGGAGGTGATTTGTGTGGGGATGGTGGAAGGATTGGGGCATGTGAAAGAGAAGGAGTCCTGGTTTGTAAGTTAGATCATGTGAGGGATAGGGATAGGGAGTGGAGCACAGAGTGAATGAGACCACACACGTGTAAGAGGGAATGATGAGCAGGCAGGAAGAGAGGGTTGGTGTAGGAAAGGGTTGGTGCAGGAAAGGGGTGGTGTAGGAAAGGGTGGTATAGGAAAGGGGTGGTGTAGGAAAGGGTGGTGTAGGAAAGGGGTGGTGTAGGGAAGGGGTGGTGTAGGAAAGGGGTGGTGTAGGAAAGGGATGTTGTAGGAAAGGGTGTTGCAGGAAAGTGTTGGTGTAGGCAAGGGTTGGTGTAGGAAAGGTGTGGTGTAGGGAAGGGGTGATATAGGAAAACTTTGGTGTAGGAAAGGCTTGGTGTAGGAAAGGCTTGGTGTAGGAAAGATTTGGTGTAGGAAAGGGGTGTTGTAGGAAAGGGTTGATGTAGGAAAGATTTGGTGTACGAAGGGGTTGGTGTAGGAAAGGGGTTGTGTAGGAAAGTGTTGGTGTAGGAAAGGGGTGGTGTAGGGTGCTGACATTTGCATAAATTGCACTGGGGTAGGAGTGGATGATGATGGAAAGTTGGAAGAATGTGATATTTTGGTGGAAATAATAACTTAGAAACTGAGTCATCTTTTAGCTACAGAGAAGGGTATTCCCTTCACCATATAGTGAGCGGTTGCTGTATCCATGGCTCTTGACAAAGATGTTCACTTTGTGCCTTTTCCTGCATTATTGGCATCTGGAGTTCTAACAACCAAGAGAGACAGAGGTCATAGTGGAATCAATATTTCTATTACAGATAAGAAAATCCCAGAAGGAGGGCCTACATAGATTAACCTGTACACAACCAAACTAAGATTTAAGAATTTTTCTGAAGATAATCCTGGGATTATGTCTCACATTTCATTTTAAGCTTCTTTCTTCATTTCCCTTTGCTTTATATTTCTCTCTCCTATTTTATTCCTCCTTGAAATAAAATGGGACAATAATGTGTTTTAAATGTAGAATCAAGGAATAACAAGAAATCATCATTTCAACTGCTATCATGTCCAGTGAAATTAAATGCTTGGATAATTACTTTGTTAATTACTAACAACTCCAAAATTCTGATTCTCAATCCACAGTCTATTGAATCATATAAATGGCTTGCTTTTATTGAATGGAAAAAGACAAAGAAGAAAAAGAGTGTCCAGTAGAGAGGAGGAGAAAGCACTACAGGGAACACTAGGGTCCCCATGATAAGTTCACTTTATTCCACTCCATAGTTCCTGTTAATTAGGAGCTTCCAATCATTGCAGCAACATGGGTTCCTACACTTCAATCCAACCCCTCCTCTTCTACTATCCCTAACTTTGACTAGTATGAGATGAATACTTGAGCTCAGCAACTTCCCATGGCTTTCGAATCTCAGGAGTTGTTCTTACTCTTTTTGATATAACAACCCTCAATTAATGTTTGGTATTCTTATGCAACCAGTGGGAAAACAAGTATGCATCTGGAAAGCTTAGAAAATATAGAGATAGTCATATACCTAGGCTTGTTTTTATTTTAATTGAGTAATTTGCAAAGGTATCTTCTATATTAATAAATGCACATTCAATTCAAACAGATTGATATTGAATTAATAGGAAGTAATAAATTGGTTTATTTATGCTAGTGGAATTAAAAAATCTTGCTACTCTATACATTCAATTTCTAGTCCCTACTTTGAAAAGAGCATTTTCTTCCTTTTGAAATATATTTGAGCATAGTAACTTTCAAGGTCCTAAGTTTATTGGCATAATTTAATGGAAAAATTTATGCTCTAAAGCATTCATTTTTTTCCCCAAGCTTTGTGGTTTTCAATTTCTCATCTACTGGATGGCTTTTAGTTTACATGGCAGAACAGAATCTTCTCAACTTTTTGATTCCCCTGATAAAATATTCAATAGAGAATTAAGTCAAAATTTGCTTCACCCAAGGACATGATCTCATCCTTATTCTTGTCTTCATGCCTATTGAAATACAGCTATTCTTATATGTATTTAGCTAAGTGATAGGCTTAAGCATCAGTTATCTTTTTTGGCTAATTTGTTTCAAAAGTAATTGAGCCCATGTACACATGAAATAATATGTAAAACAGTAAAGATCCCTGTACACAACAGTATTGAAGCCACTGTAATATTTCAAGACTAAATTAGACACTCTCTTCCTAGCCCCCTTTCACTCCTCCACCCTCCACCACATAGGACACTTTCTGGAAAAGAAGTCCAGGCAAAGAGACGTTAGTTTAATTGTTGCTAACGTCATATAAAAATGATCACCAACTTGGAATTTCTGAATTCACATGAAAGGGTGATACTGAGTTTAAACGTAAAGTTTCATATCCCATTGGTGTCAAAATTGGTGGATAGAAAGAGTACAGGATTGTAAAGCAATTTCAGAGCAAGCTTCTAATGGCAACTTTAGTCCACAGTTTGGATCCTGTGCCCACCTGACATCTATTCTTTTTTTGAGTTGGAGTCTTGCTCTCTCTCCCAGTCTTGAGTGCAGTGGCGAGATCTGGGCTCACTGCAAGCTCCGCCTCCTGGGTTCACGCCATTCTCCTGCCTCAGCCTCCCTAGTAGCTGGGACTACAGGCGCCCACCACCAAGCCAGCTAATTTTTTGTATTTTTAGTAGAGACGGGGTTTCACGGTGTTAGCCAGGATGGTCTCGATCTCATGACCTCGTGATCCACCTGCCTCGGCCTCTGAAATCTATTCTTAGCTGTAGGTGGGGACCAGGACCAGAATCTTCAGAGCAGGCCCTAGAAAGCTGGGAAGTCAGGGGATTCCACTACAGGTTTCTCTATTCTGTCGGCATTTTAAGTGGTTCTGTTTAGATCTAGGCACATTAGAGCTACCCCTCAAACAGACGACGACTCTTAAGAGCCCCGGAATTTCTTTATTACCCAGGGAGTCACTGGGGACTGGCAGTAGGTGCCAGGTTTGGCGATGGCGTTTTGTGAATCACTGAGCTCATCTCAGGGCAGAGCAGCTTCCTAATGTGACTGTCATCTCCTCTTCCTTTCCCTCCAACACCAGCCACACTTCACCACACTGGCCAGGTGTTTACCAACCTACCCCTTCGTACAAAGTTCAACCTGACATTGTTTGGTAGTCAATGATATAAAGCTTGTTGTCTAAGTCAGCATCTGCAGTTTTACCGACTGATAGCAAGGTACAAGATAGAATATGATTCGGGACAGGAGTCATCAACGTGTTGCCTTTCTGTTGCATGGAATGAACGTTTTGAAGTTGGAAGTGTCCTGAAATTTCAGGACTTCATCTTAAAGATGAAAAAAAGATGAGGTGTCATGCACAGACAGCTATTTTGTGGCAGCATTTGAATTCAACCCCAAGTCAAGTTATGATATCTCCTGTGTCAGAGGAAAGTACTTTTGATAATCCTAGAAATATCAAGACTCCAGTGGCAGTGAATATTTGATTTCCACTTTGAAATGTAGATCACATTAGCAGGATATTCCCTAAAGGAGCTTTATACACAGTTGGTCCTCCCTCTGTCAACCTCATCTCCGACTCAAGTGGATCGAGTTCAAAACAGCCACACTTGTTCCAGAAGCCAATTTTGTTTGGGCCATAATATAGAGATGGTCCCATCCAGCCTTTAAGCATGCTAAGCACAGGTAGCTGTTTGTTACAATAGTTGAAAGGAGAAAGCCATAAAAACAAAGTCTCCCACTATTTCATCCAATTTAAAATTGCGGAAGGTGACAGAAAATATAACTGAAAGCTTTCCCTAACCTCTCTTTAAAGAAGTCCTAGAAAAAAAAAAGAAAGCATTTATTTCCTTGATGATTTCTAAGTAATAACTAAATATGGATGCAATTTTGAACCGTGTATGGATGTTCCCAGTATAATGTTCCTCTTTTGGAGACATCGCATCATATTTATTTATCTCACTCCCTGTCCTTTCCCCCATTAAAGTGGACCTGTGCATAGTTGATGCTTGTACCAAGATACACACCTTCTTCCTGTTTCCAGGACGGTACGATGGGAGGCAGGAGTGAGTGTCCGGAAAGAGGGAAGAAAAAAAAAAACAAATCTCATCATTGCTTATTTGTCTACTGCTTTTGGCTCTGCTGAGATGTGAAGTCATTCTCATTTCATTGTGTTCGGAAGTATAGCCTGCGACTTGTTGAAAGCTTAGCGCTAGACCTGCCTCTCAGAGACTTGCTCCCTCTGGAAATGCCCAGCTGAGGATGCGCGTGGTGCGTGTTGAAGAACACTGCCTTAGAGGTGGACACTTGGGGACAGGTGCGCTGCGGCCGGACTCGTGGACAGTTGCGCTGCGGCTGGAGCTGGCCCCGCATTTCTTCACTTTCTGAATCGTAATGCTCTCAGTGAGTTGCAATTTCATATTGCTACATTTGTTTTTACTGGTGTTAAATTCAGGCAGTTAAATCTTTCAAGGGTTACTAAAAAATGCGAATATTTGTGTATTTACATGTCTAAGGAGAAGACCCTTTGGCAATCCAGGAGGAGACAAGGACTCAGGCTTTTTCTTCCAGTTAACTGTGGAGGACACGCCATTGCTGCTGTGGCTGCTGAAGGAGGAGAAATCTCCTTGTTCTCCCGTCTTCCTGCTCTCCAGTCCCCTGTCTGGGCTTCCCATTTGCTGAACACAGCCAGATGCCAGCCGAGCTCAGGAAGCGTAGTTTGCAGGGGGTGTATCCAGAGACACAGCTCGGAGCAAGGGAAGCGAGAGGAAGAGATCCAACCTTAGGACAAAGGGCCAAGAACTTGGAGAGGACTTGGCCTAGGAGACAATCTAGGGCAAGCACGTTATCCAGGGTGACTGGGCAGGCAGAGAAACCCCAAGAGGCATAGAGCTCATGTCCGTTCAAAGTAGGAGAGTCTGGGCTCTGCTCTCGGAGTCGGAGCTGGGGGCCTTCAGGGTACTTCCTATGGAGACAGCCTAGTTTATCAGAAAAAAGGGAACTTTCTTTTTTACCATCTAGCCTTCACCTTGGCAGGGAGACAGGTGTTTTGAGTAGAAACACTTCAACTCGACATGTCAAACCAGTGCTTCAGCAGAGCTGTGCCTGGCCCGCCCACCTCTCCCCTGCCCTCGGTTTTGGTCCAGAGTCTATTCTGAATGTCTGATGTCTCTCTTGGTTAGTGTGATTGAAATACGGCAGAAAGCCGATTGCATCGTGTGGGGAAGTTGAAATCAATGCAACCAACAATTATATTAACGGTCTAGTTAAGAATAAAAAAGTAATAGAACAGACGTGCCTTGGTGAACATTTATTTTCTATGGAGAAATAAACATAGTTGCTGCTTTTGGACTCCACCCTGGGCAACAAGGTAATGAATGTGGAGTTAGGTGGTGACTAAAGAATTTGGATTCTTTCCTCCAGGTTACAATGCTCGTTAAGGGGCAGCCTGTAATGAAACCTGCGATATGTGCTAGAACCAACTAAATGATTATTTTAAAAGTCACAGTCTGCATGGGGCTTCATAAATTCACACCAGGGAGAGCTGTCTAATGGGATTGCCACCTTCCACCCCCAACGCAGACTTCAAAGCTCCTTGCTAGGTCTCCACTCAAAGGCTTATCCCATGGCCCGAGCAAGGAAGGCCTTTGTGTGTGAAAACACCTGCCACCCAGCTTCAGGAGCACTGAGCGCTTTCGGCATGGCCGTCCCCACTGGCCCACATGGCATTTCTTACAGTGAGCTTGGTTTTTGACTGCATTGTTTTGCTTAACAAGCTGTTTTTTTTCTACAGATGTAACCTTTTCCTGTGTTTCCTGACTGGGACATCAGCCAGGTATTCTAGCCAACTTTGGTAGATATATATCATTGTTTTTGTGCCAGGCTTGTTTTAAAAAATCTACCTATTGCTTGCCCTGATCAATCCATCACTACCCTTGAAAAGGTCATGGTTCTCTCATCAGGAAACTTTTCAAAAATCCTTGGCTGTGATTTATCTTATGTTATGGGCTCTGACAGTGATTCTCAGGAAGTGAGGCCCATTAGTTTCTTGTAAGGTCACTCCCCTGCTGTTGCATGCAGAGTGAGTATCAGTTGTGCTTGCCTGAGTTTGAAGCATCCTCTTGGGTGATTTCAAGGGGGGCAAAGGCAGGGCCATGACTGGTTTCTGTGTGGAGACTCACACGGGTGAGACAGGTGATCCATGGTGGAGAGGGAGGGTGTCTCTTGTAGGTGCTAGAGCCTCAAAGATAGCTCTTATTTTCAATCCTGCTTCTCCAAGATTCAGTTCACAAAGATAAGCATGCCTGGAAATATTTAATATTTTATCTTATTATATTCATATTCTGTGGTTGTTTAAAAATTCTTCAGTATGTTATAAACAAATGTTTCTGATTGCCCATAAGCTTCGTAGGGACATTAATTATTACTGACATGAGAAATTAAAGGCAGCCTAGATATTATTTTTAGGAATTACAGCATTTGAAAATCATATTCAGTGAATTTCAGAGAAATTATATCTATACTATTTAACACCGAGTAATGTTTAGTGAAAGGGTCAGACACTTTGGGGTAAAAAGCGGCATTATGAAGTCAAATAATTTGTTTTCATGTTTAGGAAGACATTTTTAGGGATATAGTTTTGGTTATATGAATTCTTTGTGATAAGGGCAAAATCAGATATTATACAGGAAGCATTTATGATACCCATTCAATTGTAAGATCTCACTATTTTCCCATTCAATAATCTCAGCCACCTAAAATACGTCCAGTGTATATTTTCTGTTCTTTCTAGATATATCGTCATTTCAAATGCTCATTTCAGCCATGATCATTTATTCCAGAAACACTTGTTAGGACATTATACTTATTTCCTTTAAGTATAAGGTCCTGTGTTGACTACTGAGAATGAAAAACTGAACAAGACAGAAAGTCCCACCTTGAAGAGCTTCCAAGTGTAGCGAGTCTCCTGGCATCAGGTATGGCTGGTATCATGGAAACACTCGGCTGACTGTCCAGGAGATGCTGGTTAAGAGGTGGAAGGTGATGGCGTGAAATCAAGTTCAGGTTCAGGGGACACTCCTGAGAGCATTCCTGCCCTGTCCCCGTGGCCTGAGCGGCCTTCTCAGTTGCACAGGTAGGTTTTCTCTGCTCTGCACTCCCTCTGTCCCAAGGTACCCTTTAGCAAAGTGTAAATTTGTAAGAGTGGTTAGCCCTGGACTTTATCTCAAGTCTGTAATAAGGGCACCTACACTAAGACTGAAACTGGAACATGCTATTGGTGATCAAACCATCAGTGTTAATAAGTCACTTAAGTTACATTTATGGACTGGAGAAAGAAATGGAAGAAAATCAGAGTACAAATAATAAATGGTTACCAGGTCCCTAGATCTGAAAGGGCGAATACATTCATGCAGTAGGTGTCCAGGATACTCATGTGGTCCTCCTTCATGCTTAGGAACACAGACGCTCATCTTCACTATGCAAACCAGAGCCTGCGTGCCTTTCGTGGTCCTTCATATTTGCAGTGTGTGGGTTGGAGTTGCTTTCTTAGCCATGACAGTGACTGAAGGGAATATCAGAGTCTGTTAATGAATGATGTTTAGAGATTTCATTTTCAAAATATATTTTTAAATTACCTAATTATATGATATTGTATTGGAAAGTTCTTAGATTAGGTTTCACTTTAGAAATGTGATTTGGCCCTAAGAGTGATAGGAAAGAAATATGTTCCTAATTATTCTCAGATAATTAAAATTCATCCTGTTCTTTATGCTTGTTGAATTAAACATAAAGGGAAGACATCTTATTGTTTAATAATTAAAATAATTTGAATTAGATTTTAAATTGGCCTCAGGAAGATCACCTTGGTTCATTTACTGATAATACATTCCAAAACTGATGATTCTAACTACTTACCTTTGAAGGAAAAAATTTGGATTTTTTTCCTCATTTCTTCTCTCCCTCCTCCTTGAGAGTAATGTGGTGTGGTGGAAGAAAGATTTGCTGAGTGTTTGGAAGCTTACGTTTTAGCTTGGCCTCCAATATTTCCTCATAGTAAATCTCTAAAGCCCTTTGAATTCTTTGAATTCAATTTCCTCTGTGGCAAAATGGAGCTAGTAATGCAACCTCATGCAAACAACAGAGACTCAGATGAGAGAACTGATATGAAGACATTAATACAGCTGCAAAACATTATATAAATGCAAGGTATTATAATTACTAGTTCTGGTTCAATACAAGGCACTCCATGCATGTGGAAAATAACTACCTATGGCCAAAAGGCGCATCATGAGTGTCTCCTCCTGCCACGGCTCCCCAGGTCTTCCGTCATCCCATTTCATTCCTAGAGGCAACCACTGTTCCTGGTGAGTGCTAAGGACCTTCTGGAAATAGCGACACAGCAAGAGATTTTGCTAAGTATGTTTAATAGACATAGGGCCCACTTCCCAGGAGAATACCTTTTAATTTTAGTAGGACACAGTTTTCTCAAGATTTGCTCAAGATTTAAGGAATCGTACTTGCTCAAGATTTAAGGAATACCACTTAGGAATTTTTTTGGTTAAAATAGAAAAGAGTAGGATCTGTATGCTGTTAGCTTGCTGAACCAGCCGTTTCTCAGATGTGGGGTGAAATTCATGGAGTACCACCGAAGGGGTGGAAATAACACAAGGAGCATGAGGTATCAGCCACATAGCTGCCTTCACTACCCAAAAGGTAGCATTTCTTTTCAAAGCTGTTTCTCCCCTTTCTCGTTTGTAGATCACTGGGTGACAGCTCTGACAGAAACGAATAGCAGGTGGGATGACATGCGTTCGTGGGATTTAGGTTATAGTTTGGCTGTAACATATTGCTGTGTCTCTTTTTCCAGACATGCCTTCATTTCGTAGGCTCAACACCTCTTTTCAACGTAATGATTAGATTCAAGGCCTGCATTTCAGTCAAGACGTAGTCACGAGTCACTGTGTTCTTATTGTCACAGCTGGGGCTTCAAGCCCACATCAGCTCTTCCAGAAGATCAAGGGAGTCAGGCCACCCAGAAGCAGAGGAGAGGATGTCCCTCAAGAATGAGACAGGAAATGCAGAGGAAATGGGACACCACCTGTCCTGGAAGACAAGGCCAGTCACAGTCTCGTAGCACTCATTCTAGGCAATCCACCCACCCATGAGGGAAAACGTGGGGAAGAAGAAAGCTTCCCTGCCTGAGACACGTATGGAAGCCAAGAGCTCCTGGGTCATGATACCTGCCCAATTAAGCAGAAACAGGTTTGGAGACAGAAACGATCATGACACGGACCTCCAGGAAGTGTCTCCTTGACGGACTGGGAAGTCATCTTTGTTGAAGGCATTCGGCCAGAGCGAAACACATCCAGGCCCCTGAGAAATAGGGGAGGCAGAGCCAGAGGGAGGAGAGAGCAGAGGCCAGAGCACAGGCAGGATACAGCACTGTGCCACGGCCACGGGTGTAAGGGGTGGGGTTCCAAAAGGGTGGCTTGTCCAGAGAGGCCAGCGTTCCAGTGACAGGGATTGTTGCCATCTTCCATTCCCGGTTTCCTCTTGCTGACTGTATCGTGGAGTGGCTTCATTTCTCAGAGAAGAGCCGTGAAGAGATACAAGCGTCTTCTCTAGCGTGGATCCGCTGCTCTCCTGTGGGACAAAGAGTTCCTCTGGGGCTCTTGTCCTCCGCTGCAGTATGTTCATCTTGATCCTAGAAAAGAGGCTGCACAGGATGGGGATGAGATTTCACTTGCTCCGGGAGCGACGCGTCTCCTCACGTGGGCCAGGCTTTCACACACCCAAAGCGGATCCGCCGCGGCAAAAATGATTGACAGCCGGCTTCATGACCCAGGCAGAGAAGCAGAAAGAGGCTCGCCAAAGACAGGCCACCATGCGACAAACCACTTTGTGCCGCACAGGGCACATTCGGCCAAAGACACACATGCACACCGGCATACACACACAAATCCATAGAGAGAGGGAAAGAAACACACAGAGACTGAGAGATAGAGAGAGAAGAGAGAATGGGAGACACACAAACAGACACACACACACACGCAGAGTCATACAACAGAGGCATTGAAACACACACCCTCTGGCAACCCCTGAGGCTGCGGGATTCTGCTCTGGAGGAGAACGACCCTCGGGTGAGAGAGCAGCCCAGGGGCACGCAGGCCGACCCGTCCTCGAGATCACGGACGGCGGCACGACTTTTGGTGAGACTCACCCCAACCAAAACCGTCGGTGCAGGCCTGAGGCTGGGATCCCGTGCTGCTTCCCCCGTCTCCGCCTGGGGTTTCATCATCATGGTCGGCCCTTTGCGACTGCTGTCATCAGGAGAGGTTCCCTTCGACCCCGTGGAAAGGTGAGGCCGGAGCCTCAGAGCCTGGATGCCCAAGCAGTGCCAAGGAGGGCTCCTGCTCTGCCAAGCCTCGGGAACTGGTGTCTAAGACAACCGTGGGAACCACTGTGACGGGAGAAACCGCTCGCGCCTAGCGCATGCGCATTGGCTGAGCCGACTCACGCTCCACTCCTGACAGATAGGCTGCGTCCCCTTTAAATATCGCCACCGCCGCGCGGCGGCCGCGATGCTCCTGCTGCCGCCCCGGCAGCGCCTGTGTCCTGGGTCCTGTTTCAGGCGGCGTGGGAGAGGGGGCGACGGGTGTCTGGTCCTGTCCCAGGCCCAAACCCCCAGGGCTCCTGTCCTCAGGACCTGCTTGAGCCGACTTCCACCAAGGGAGGGGGAGCTTCAGGACGCCTGCTGTGTTCTCTGGACTCCCGTTGAGATCCCATTCTGGCCCCCTCCGAGTGACATAGGATGGGCTCACCACATGTGGTCAGGCCGGCAGGGCCTCGCTGCAGCACACAATGACCCCATAGTTCTCAAGGCCTAGTGTCAGAGCAAACTCATTCATCCATCAGCCCTCTGCCTCCCTCCTCCTTTGAAAGAGCAGTGGCCTGCCCCGCTTGTAAAAGCCGAGGGGTTCCGGAAAGCCGACCATGCTTTACAGGACAACTGCAAAGAGGAACAGAGGCGAAATCCAGGGGGAGACCATGTGACCACGCGTGGCACTGGCCAATCCCACAGCAGTTGGTGTTAACGTGTGACACCGGAGGCAAACGGGGCGACGGCGAAACGAAGGGTGGGGTCCATGCACGTGCCGGTGGAAGGGGGAAACGGGTGACCTTTCCGTCAATGCCAAGGAAAATCAAACAACACCTGGGACCCGGAGGGTGTAGGGGACGTCTGTGCCTGACCCAAGCCACGTTTTCAAATGCCTACCAGAGGAACAAAGAGGTTTCTGCCAATTTCGCAACACCCCCAATCCTCCACCGAACTCGTAGCCCTGATGCAACTTCGGCTGGAACAAACCCACAAAGAGTGGGAAAGAAACACACAGAGACTGAGAGACAGAGGGAGAAGAGAGAATGGGAGACAAACACACAGACACACACACACACACGCAGAGTCATACAGCAGAGGCATTGAAACACACACCCCCAGGCAACCCCTGAGGCTCCGGGGTTCTGCTCTGGAGGAGAACGACCCTCGGGTGAGAGAGCAGCCCAGGGGCACGCAGGCCGACCCGTCCTCGAGATCACGGACAGCGGCAAGGCTTTTGGAGAGACTCACCCCAACCAACACCGTCCGTGCAGGCCTGAGGCTGGGATCCCGTGCTGCTTCCCCCGTCTCCGACTGGGGTTTCATCATCATGGTCGGCCCTTTGCGACTGCTGTCATCAGGAGAGGTTCCCTTCGACCCCGTGGAGAGGTGAGGCCGGAGTCTCAGAGCCTCGATACCCAAGCACTGCCACGGAGGGCTCCTGCTCTGCCAAGCCTCGGGGACTGGTGTCTAAGACAACCGTGGGAACCACTGTGACGCGAGAAACAGCTGACGGCTCACGCATGCGCATTGGCTGAGCCGACTCACGCTCCACTCCTGACAGATAGGCTGCGTCCCCTTTAAATATCGCCACCGCCGGGCGGCGGCCGCGATGCTCCTGCTGCCGCCCCGGCGTCGGCTGTGTCCTGGGTCCTGTTTGGGGCGGCGTGGGAGCGGGGGCCGCGGGTGTCTCGTCGTGTCACAGGCCCAAACCCCCAGGGCTCCTGTCCTCAGGACCTGCTTGAGCCGATTCCCAGCGAGGGAGGGGGAGTTTCAGGACGCCTGCTGTGTGGCTCCGGACTCCCGTTGAGATCCCATTCTGGCCCCCTCCGAGTGACATAGGATGGGCTCACCACATCTGGTCAGGCCGGCGGGGCCTCGCTGCAGCACACAATGACCCCATAGGTCTCAAGGCCTAGTGTCAGAGCAAATTCACCGATCCATCAGCCCTCTGCCTCCCTCCTCCTTTGAAAGAGCAGTGGCCTGCCCCGCTTGTAAAAGCCCAGGGGTTCCGGAAAGCCGAACGCGCTGTACAGGACAACTGCAAAGAGGAACAGAGGCGAAACCCAGGGGGAGACCATGTGACCACGCGTGGCACTGGCCAATCCCACAGCAGTTGGTGTTAATGTGTGTCACCGGAGGCATACGGGGCGACGGCAAAACGAAGGGTGGGGTCCAGGGATATGCCGGTGGAAGGGGGAAACAGGTGACATTTTCGTCAACGTCAAGGAAAAACAAACAACACCTGGGAACCGTGGGGTAGGGGGGCCTCCTGTGCCTGACCCAAGCCACGTTTTCAAATGCCTCCCAGAGGAGCAAAGAGGTTTCTGCCAATTTCGCAACACCCCCAATCCTCCACCGACCTGGTAGCCCTGACGCAACTTCGGCTGGTACAAACCCACAGAGAGTGGGAAAGAAACACACAGAGAGTGAGAGACAGAGAGAGAAGAGAGAATGGGAGACACACACACAGACACACACGCACACACACGCAGAGTCATACAGCAGAGGCATTGAAACACACAACACCAGGCAACCCCTGAGGATCCGGGGTTCTGCTCTGGAGGAGAATGACCCTCGGGTGAGAGAGCAGCCGAGGGGCACGCAGGCCGACCCGTCCTCGAGATCACGGACGCCGGCACGACTTTTGGTGAGACTCACCCCAACCAACACCGTCCGTGCAGGCCTGAGGCTGGGATCCCGTGCTGCTTCCCCCGTCTCCGCCTGGGGTATCATCATCATGGTCCGCCCTTTGCGACTGCTGTCATCAGGAGAGGTTCCCTTCGACCCCGTGGAAAGGTGAGGCCGGAGCCTCAGAGCCTGGATACCCAAGCACTGCCACGGAGGGCTCCTGCTCTGCCAAGCCTCGGGGACTAGTGTCTAAGACAACCGTGGGAATCACTGTGACGGGAGAAACCGCTGGCGCCTAGCGCATGCGCATTGGCTGAGCCGACTCACGCTCCACTCCTGACAGATAGGCTGCGTCCCCTTTAAATATCGCCACCGCCGCGCGGCGGCCGCGATGCTCCTGCTGCCGCCCCGGCAGCGCCTGTGTCTTGGGTCCTGTTTCAGGCGGCGTGGGAGAGAGGGCGACGGGTGTCTGGTCCTGTCCCAGGCCCAAACCCCCAGGGCTCCTGTCCTCAGGACCTGCTTGAGCTGACTTCCACCAAGGGAGGGGGAGCTTCAGGACGCCTGCTGTGTTCTCTGGACTCCCGTTGAGATCCCATTCTGGCCCCCTCCGAGTGACATAGGATGGGCTCACCACACGTGGTCAGGCCGGCAGGGCCTCGCTGCAGCACAAAATGATCCCATAGGTCTCAAGGCCTAGTGTCAGAGCAAATTCACTCATCCATCAGCCCTCTGCCTCCCTCCTCCTTTGAAAGAGCAGTGGCCTACCCCGCTTGTAAAAGCCCAGGGGTTCCGGAAAGCCGACCGTGCTTAACAGGACAACTGCAAAGAGGAAGAGAGGCGAAATCCAGGGGGAGACCACGTGACCACGCGTGGCACTGGCCAATCCCACAGCAGTTGGTGTTAACGTGTGACACCGGAGGCAAACGGGGCGACGGCGAAACGAAGGGTGGGGTCCAGGGATATGCCGGTGGAAGGGGGAAACGGGTGACATTTCCGTCAACGCCAAGGAAAAACAAACAACACCTGGGAACCGTGGGGTAGGGGGGCCTCCTGTGCCTGACCCAAGCCACATTTTCAAATGCCTACCAGAGGAGCAAAGAGGTTTCTGCCAATTTCGCAACACCCCCAATCCTCCACCGACCTGGTAGCCCTGACGCAACTTCGGCTGGTACAAACCCACAGAGAGTGGGAAAGAAACACACAGAGAGTGAGAGACAGAGAGAGAAGAGAGAATGGGAGACACACACACAGACACACACGCACACACACGCAGAGTCATACAGCAGAGGCATTGAAACACACACCCCCAGGCAACCCCTGAGGATCCGGGGTTCTGCTCTGGAGGAGAACGAACCTCGGGTGAGAGAGCAGCCGAGGGGAACGCAGGCCGACCCGTCCTCGAGATCACGGATGGCGGTAAGGCTTTTGGCGAGACTCACCCCAACCAACACCGTCCGTGCAGGCCTGAGGCTGGGATCCCGTGCTGCTTCCCCCGTCTACACCTGGGGTTTCATCTTCATAGTCGGCCCTTTGCGACTGCTGGCATCAGGAGAGTTTCCCTTCGAGTCCGTGGAGAGGTGAGACCGGAGCCTCAGAGCCTGGATACCCAAGCACTGCCACGGAGGGCTCCTGCTCTGCCAAGCCTCGGGGACTAGTGTCTAAGACAACCGTGGGAACCACTGTGACGGGAGAAACCGCTGGCGCCTAGCGCATGCGCATTGGCTGAGCCGACTCACGCTCCACTCCTGACAGATAGGCTGCGTCCCCTTTAAATATCGCCACTGCCGCGCGGCGGCCGCGATGCTCCTGCTGCCGCCGAAGCGGCGGCTGTGTCCTGGGTCCTGTTTGGGGTGGCATGGGAGAGGGGACCGCGGGTGTCTCGTCCTGTCCCAGGCCCAAACCCCCAGGGCTCCTGTCCTCAGGACCTGCTTGAGCCGACTTCCACCAAGGGAGGGAGAGCTTCAGGACGCCTGCTGTGTTCTCTGGACTCCCGTTGAGATCCCATTCTGGCCCCCTCCGAGTGACATAGGATGGGCTCACCACATGTGGTCAGGCCGGCAGGGCCTCGCTGCAGCACACAATGACCCCATAGGTCTCAAGGCCTAGTGTCAGAGCAAATTCACTCATCCATCAGCCCTCTGCCTCCCTCCTCCTTTGAAAGTGCAGTGGCCTGCCCCGCTTGTAAAAGCCCAGGGTTTCCGGAAAGCCGAACGCGCTGTACAGGACAACTGCAAAGAGGAACAGAGGCGAAACCCAGGGGGAGACCATGTGACCACGCGTGGCACTGGCCAATCCCACAGCAGTTGGTGTTAATGTGTGTCACCGGAGGCATACGGGGCGACGGCAAAACGAAGGGTGGGGTCCAGGGATATGCCGGTGGAAGGGGGAAACGGGTGACATTTCCGTCAACGCCAAGGAAAAACAAACAACACCTGGGAACCGTGGGGTAGGGGGGCCTCCTGTGCCTGACCCAAGCCACGTTTTCAAATGCCTACCAGAGGAGCAAAGAGGTTTCTGCCAATTTCGCAACACCCCCAATCCTCCACCGACCTGGTAGCCCTGACGCAACTTCGGCTGGTACAAACCCACAGAGAGTGGGAAAGAAACACACAGAGAGTGAGAGACAGAGAGAGAAGAGAGAATGGGAGACACACACACAGACACACACGCACACACACGCAGAGTCATACAGCACAGGCATTGAAACACACACCCCCAGGCAACCCCTGAGGATCCGGGGTTCTGCTCTGGAGGAGAACGAACCTCGGGTGAGAGAGCAGCCGAGGGGAACGCAGGCCGACCCGTCCTCGAGATCACGGACAGCGGCGCGACTTTTGGCGAGACTCACCCCAACAAACACCGTCCGTGCAGGCCTGAGGCTGGGATCCCGTGCTGCTTCCCCGGTCTCCACCTGGGGTTTCATCTTCATAGTCGGCCCTTTGCGACTGCTGGCATCAGGAGAGTTTCCCTTCGAGCCCGTGGAGAGGTGAGACCGGAGCCTCAGAGCCTCGATACCCAAGCACTGCCACGGAGGGCTCCTGCTCTGCAAAGCCTCGGGGACTGGTTTCTAAGACAACCGTGGGAACCACTGTGACTGGAGCAACCGCTGGGGCCTCGCGCATGCGCATTGGCTGAGCCGACTCACGCTCCACTCCTGACAGATAGGCTGCGTCCCCTTTAAATATCGCGACCGCCGCGCGGCGGCCGCGATGCTCCTGCTGCCGCCGCGAAGGCGGCTGTGTCCTGGGTCCTGTTTGGGGTGGCATGGGAGAGGGGACCGCGGGTGTCTCGTCCTGTCCCAGGCCCAAACCCCCAGGGCTCCTGTCCTCAGGACCTGCTTGAGCCGACTTCCACCAAGGGAGGGGGAGCTTCAGGACGCCTGCTGTGTTCTCTGGACTCCCGTTGAGATCCCATTCTGGCCCCCTCGGAGTGACATAGGATGGGCTCACCACATGTGGTCAGGCCGGCAGGGCCTCGCTGCAGCACACAATGACCCCATAGGTCTCAAGGCCTATTGTCAGAGCAAATTCACTCATCCATCAGCCCTCTGCCTCCCTCCTCCTTTGAAAGTGCAGTGGCCTGCCCCGCTTGTAAAAGCCCAGGGGTTCCGGAAAGCCGAACGCGCTTTACCGGACAACTGCAAAGAGGAACAGAGGCGAAACCCAGGGGGAGACCATGTGACCACGCGTGGCACCGGCTAATCCCACAGCAGTTGGTGTTAATGTGTGTCACCGGAGGCATACGGGGCGACGGCGAAACGAAGGGTGGGGTCCAGGCATATGCCGGTGGAAGGGGGAAACGGGTGACATTTCCGTCAGTGCCAAGGAAAATCAAACCACACCTGGGAACCGGGAGGTGGGGGTGCCGACTGTGCCTGACCCAAGCCACGTTTTCAAATGCCTACCAGAGGAGCAAAGAGGTTTCTGCCAATTTCGCAACACCCCCAATCCTCCACCGACCTGGTAGCCCTGACGCAACTTCGGCTGGTACAAACCCACAGAGAGTGGGAAAGAAACACACAGAGAGTGAGAGACAGAGAGAGAAGAGAGAATGGGAGACACACACACAGACACACACGCACACACACGCAGAGTCATACAGCAGAGACATTGAAACACACACCCCCAGGCAACCCCTGAGGATCCGGGGTTCTGCTCTGGAGGAGAACGACCCTCGGGTGAGAGAGCAGCCGAGGGGCACGCAGGCCTACCCGTCCTCGAGGGCACGGACGGCGGCACGACTTTTGGTGAGACTCACCCCAACCAACACCGTCCGTGCAGGCCTGAGGCTGGGATCCCGTGCTGCTTCCCCCGTCTCCGCCTGGGGTTTCATCATCATGGTCGGCCCTTTGCGACTGCTGTCATCAGGAGAGGTTCACTTCTACCCCGTGGAAAGGTGAGGCCGGAGCCTCAGAGCCTGGATACCCAAACACTGCCACGGAGGGCTCCTGCTCTGCCAAGCCTCGGGGACTAGTGTCTAAGACAACCGTGGGAACCACTGTGACGGGAGAAACCGCTGGCGCCTAGCGCATGCGCATTGGCTGAGCCGACTCACGCTCCACTCCTGACAGATAGGCTGCGTCCCTTTAAATATCGCCACCGCCGCGCGCGCCGCGATGCTCCTGCTGCCGTCCCGGCAGCGCCTGTGTCTTGGGTCCTGTTTCAGGCGGCGTGGGAGAGGGGGCCACGGGTGTCTGGTCCTGTCCAGGCCCAAACCCCCAGGGCTCCTGTCCTCAGGACCTGCTTGAGCCGACTTCCACCAAGGGAGGGGGAGCTTCAGGACGCCTGCTGTGTTCTCTGGACTCCCGTTGAGATCCCATTCTGGCCCCCTCCGAGTGACATAGGATGGGCTCACCACACGTGGTCAGGCCGGCAGGGCCTCGCTGCAGCACAAAATGATCCCATAGGTCTCAAGGCCTAGTGTCAGAGCAATTTCACTCATCCATCAGCCCTCTGCCTCCCTCCTCCTTTGAAAGAGCAGTGGCCTACCCCGCTTGTAAAAGCCCAGGGATTCCGGAAAGCCGACCGTGCTTAACAGGACAACTGCAAAGAGGAAGAGAGGCGAAATCCAGGGGGAGACCACGTGACCACGCGTGGCACTGGCCAATCCCACAGCAGTTGGTGTTAACGTGTGACACCGGAGGCAAACGGGGCGACGGCGAAACGAAGGGTGGGGTCCATGCACGTGCCGGTGGAAGGGGGAAACGGGTGACCTTTCCGTCAATGCCAAGGAAAATCAAACAACACCTGGGACCCGGAGGGTGTGGGGGACGTCTGTGCCTGACCCAAGCCACGTTTTCAAATGCCTACCAGAGGAACAAAGATGTTTCTGCCAATTTCGCAACACCCCCAATCCTCCACCGACCTCGTAGCCCTGAAGCAACTTCGGCTGGCACAAACCCACAAAGAGTGGGAAAGAAACACACAGAGACTGAGAGACAGAGGGAGAAGAGAGAATGGGAGAGAAACACACAGACACACACACACACACGCAGAGTCATACAGCACAGGCATTGAAACACACACCCCCAGGCAACCCCTGAGGCTCCGGGGTTCTGCTCTGGAGGAGAACGACCCTCGGGTGAGAGAGCAGCCCAGGGGCACGCAGGCCGACCCGTCCTCGAGATCACGGACAGCGGCGCGACTTTTGGCGAGACTCACCCCAACAAACACCGTCCGTGCAGGCCTGAGGCTGGGATCCCGTGCTGCTTCCCCGGTCTCCACCTGGGGTTTCATCTTCATAGTCGGCCCTTTGCGACTGCTGGCATCAGGAGAGTTTCCCTTCGAGCCCGTGGAGAGGTGAGACCGGAGCCTCAGAGCCTCGATACCCAAGCACTGCCACGGAGGGCTCCTGCTCTGCAAAGCCTCGGGGACTGGTTTCTAAGACAACCGTGGGAACCCCTGTGACCCGAGAAACCGCTGGGGCCTCGCGCATGCGCATTGGCTGAGCCGACTCACGCTCCACTCCTGACAGATAGGCTGCGTCCCCTTTAAATATCGCGACCGCCGCGCGGCAGCCGCGATGCTCCTGCTGCCGCCACGAAGGCGGCTGTGTCCTGGGTCCTGTTTGGGGTGGCATGGGAGAGGGGACCGCGGGTGTCTCGTCCTGTCCCAGGCCCAAACCCCCAGGGCTCCTGTCCTCAGGACCTGCTTGAGTCGACTTCCACCAAGGGAGGGGGAGCTTCAGGACGCCTGCTGTGTTCTCTGGACTCCCGTTGAGATCCCATTCTGGCCCCATCGGAGTGACATAGGATGGGCTCACCACATGTGGTCAGGCCGGCAGGGCCTCGCTGCAGCACACAATGACCCCATAGGTCTCAAGGCCTAGTGTCAGAGCAAATTCACTCATCCATCAGCCCTCTGCCTCCCTCCTCCTTTGAAAGTGCAGTGGCCTGCCCCGCTTGTAAAAGCCCAGGGGTTCTGGAAAGCCGAACGCGCTTTACAGGACAACTGCAAAGAGGAACAGAGGCGAAACCCAGGGGGAGACCATGTGACCACGCGTGGCACTGGCCAGTCCCACAGCAGTTGGTGTTAATGAGTGTCACCGGAGGGATATGGGGCGACGGCGAAACGAAGGGTGGGGTCCAGACATATGCCGGTGGAAGGGGGAAACGGGTGACATTTCCGTCAATGCCAAAGGAAAATCAAACAACACCTGGGAACCGTGGGGTAGGGGGGCCTCCTGTGCCTGACCCAAGCCACGTTTTCAAATGCCTACCAGAGGAGCAAAGAGGTTTCTGCCAATTTCGCAACACCCCCAATCCTCCACCGACCTGGTAGCCCTGACGCAACTTCGGCTGGTACAAACCCACAGAGAGTGGGAAAGAAACACACAGAGACTGAGAGACAGAGAGAGAAGAGAGAATGGGAGACACACACACAGACACACACACACACACACACACACACACGCAGAGTCATACAGCAGAGGCATTGAAACACACACCCCAGGCAGCCCCTGAGGCTCCGGGGTTCTGCTCTGGAGGAGAACGACCCTCGGGTGAGAGAGCAGCCGAGGGGCACGCAGCCCGATACGTCCTCGAGATCACGGACAGCGGCAAGGCTTTTGGCGAGACTAACCCCAACCAACACCGTCCGTGCAGGCCTGAGGCTGGGATCCCGTGCTGCTTCCCCCGTCTCCGCCTGGGGTTTCATCATCATGGTCGGCCCTTTGCGACTGCTGTCATCAGGAGAGGTTCCCTTCGACCCCGTGGAGAGGTGAGGCCGGAGTCTCAGAGCCTCGATACCCAAGCACTGCCACGGAGGGCTCCTGCTCTGCCAAGCCTCGGGGACTGGTGTCTAAGACAACAGTGGGAACCACTGTGACGGGAGAAACCGCTGGCACCTCACGCATGCGCTTTGGGTGAGCCGACTCACGCTCCACTAATGACAGATAGGCTGCATCCCCTTTAAATATCGCCACCGTCGCACGGCGGCCGCGATGCTCCTGCTGCCGCCCCGGCGTCGGCTGTGTCCTGGGTCCTGTTTGGGGCGGCGTGGGAGCGGGGGCCGCGGGTGTCTCGTCGTGTCACAGGCCCAAACCCCCAGGGCTCCTGTCCTCAGGACCTGCTTCAGCCGATTTCCAGCGAGGGAGGGGGAGCTTCAGGACGCCTGCTGTGTGCTCCGGACTCCCGTTGAGATCCCATTCTGGCCCCCTCCGAGTGACATAGGATGGGCTCACCACATCTGGTCAGGCCGGCAGGGCCTCGCTGCAGCACACAATGACCCCATAGGTCTCAAGGCCTAGTGTCAGAGCAAATTCACCGATCCATCAGCCCTCTGCCTCCCTCCTCCTTTGAAAGAGCAGTGGCCTGCCCCGCTTGTAAAAGCCCAGGGGTTCCGGAAAGCCGAACGCGCTTTACAGGACAACTGCAAAGAGGAACAGAGGCGAAACCCAGGGGGAGACCATGAGACCACGCGTGGCACTGGCTAATCCCACAGCAGTTGGTGTTAATGTGTGTCACCGGAGGCATACGGGGCGACGGCGAAACGAAGGGTGGGGTCCAGGCATGTGCCGGTGGAAGGGGGAAACGGGTGACATTTCCGTCAGTGCCAAGGAAAATCAAACCACACCTGGGAACCGGGAGGTGGGGGTGCCGACTGTGCCTGACCCAAGCCACGTTTTCAAATGCCTACCAGAGGAGCAAAGAGGTTTCTGCCAATTTCGCAACACCCCCAATCCTCCACCGACCTGGTAGCCCTGACGCAACTTCGGCTGGTACAAACCCACAGAGATTGGGAAAGAAACACACAGAGAGTGAGAGACAGAGAGAGAAGAGAGAATGGGAGACACACACACACACACACACGCACACACACGCAGAGTCATACAGCAGAGACATTGAAACACACACCCCCAGGCAACCCCTGAGGATCCGGGGTTCTGCTCTGGAGGAGAACGACCCTCGGGTGAGAGAGCAGCCGAGGGGCACGCAGGCCGACCCGTCCTCGAGGTCACGGACGGCGGCACGAATTTTGGTGAGACTCACCCCAACCAACACCGTCCGTGCAGGCCTGAGGCTGGGATCCCGTGCTGCTTCCCCCGTCTCCGCCTGGGATTTCATCATCATGGTCGGCCCTTTGCGACTGCTGTCATCAGGAGAGGTTCCCTTCTACCCCGTGGAAAGGTGAGGCCGGAGCCTCAGAGCCTGGATACCCAAACACTGCCACGGAGGGCTCCTGCTCTGCCAAGCCTCGGGGACTAGTGTCTAAGACAACCGTGGGAACCACTGTGACGGGAGAAACCGCTGGCGCCTCACGCATGCGCATTGGCTGAGCCGACTCACGCTCCACTCCTGACAGATAGGCTGCGTCCCCTTTAAATATTGCCACCGCCGCGCGGCGGCCGCGATGCTCCTGCTGCCGCCCCGGCAGCGCCTGTGTCTTGGGTCCTGTTTCGGGCGGCGTGGGAGAGGGGGCCACGGGTGACTGGTCCTGTCCCAGGCCCAAACACCCAGGGCTCCTGTCCTCAGGACCTGCTTGAGCCGACTTCCACCAAGGGAGGGGGAGCTTCAGGACGCCTGCTGTGTTCTCTGGACTCCCGTTGAGATCCCATTCTGGCCCCCTCGGAGTGACATAGGATGGGCTCACCACATGTGGTCAGGCCGGCAGGGCCTCGCTGCAGCACACAATGACCCCATAGGTCTCAAGGCCTAGTGTCAGAGCAAATTCACTCATCCATCAGCCCTCTGCCTCCCTCCTCCTTTGAAAGTGCAGTGGCCTGCCCCGCTTGTAAAAGCCCAGGGGTTCCGGAAAGCCGAACGCGCTTTACAGGACAACTGCAAAGAGGAACAGAGGCGAAACCCAAGGGGAGACCATGTGACCACGCGTGGCACTGGCTAATCCCACAGCAGTTGGTGTTAATGTGTGTCACCGGAGGCATACGGGGCGACGGCAAAACGAAGGGTGGGGTCCAGGCATGTGCCGGTGGAAGGGGGAAACGGGTGACATTTCCGTCAGTGCCAAGGAAAATCAAACCACACCTGGGAACCGGGAGGTGGGGGTGCAGACTGTGCCTGACCCAAGCCACGTTTTCAAATGCCTACCAGAGGAGCAAAGAGGTTTCTGCCAATTTCGCAACACCCCCAATCCTCCACCGACCTGCTAGCCCTGACGCAACTTCGGCTGGTACAAACCCACAGAGATTGGGAAAGAAACACACAGAGAGTGAGAGACAGAGAGAGAAGAGAGAATGGGAGACACACACACAGACACACACGCACACACACGCAGAGTCATACAGCAGAGGCATTGAAACACACACTCCCAGGCAACCCCTGAGGATCCGGGGTTCTGCTCTGGAGGAGAACGACCCTCGGGTGAGAGAGCGGCCCAGGAGCACGCAGGCCGACCAGTCCTCGAGATCACTGACCGCGGCGCGACTTTTGGCGAGACTCACCCAAACAAACACCGTCCGTGCAGGCCTGAGGCTGGGATCCCGTGCTGCTTCCCCGGTCTCCACCTGGGGTTTCATCTTCATAGTCGGCCCATTGCGACTGCTGGCATCAGGAGAGTTTCCCTTCGAGCCCGTGGAGAGGTGAGACCGGAGCCTCAGAGCCTCGATACCCAAGCACTGCCACGGAGGGCTCCTGCTCTGCAAAGCCTCGGGGACTGGTTTCTAAGACAACCGTGGGAACCACTGTGACGGGAGAAACCGCTGGCGCCTCACGCATGCGCATTGGCTGAGCCGACTCACGCTCCACTCCTGACAGATAGGCTGCGTCCCCTTTAAATATCGCCACCGCCGCGCGGCGGCCGCGATGCTCCTGCTGCCGCCCCGGCGTCGGCTGTGTCCTGGGTCCTGTTTGGGGCGGCGTGGGAGCGGGGGCCGCGGGTGTCTCGTCGTGTCACAGGCCCAAACCCCCAGGGCTCCTGTCCTCAGGACCTGCTTGAGCCGATTTCCACCGAGGGAGGTGGAGCTTCAGGACGCCTGCTGTGTTCTCCGGACTCCCGTTGAGATCCCATTCTGGCCCACTCCGAGTGACATAGGATGGGCTCACCACATCTGGTCAGGCCGGCAGGGCCTCGCTGCAGCACACAATGACCCCATAGGTCTCAAGGCCTAGTGTCAGAGCAAATTCACCGATCCATCAGCCCTCTGCCTCCCTCCTCCTTTGAAAGAGCAGTGGCCTGCCCCGCTTGTAAAAGCCCAGGGCTTCCGGAAAGCCGAACGCGCTTTACAGGACAACTGCAAAGAGGAAAAGAGGCGAAACCCAGGGGGAGACCATGTGACCACGCGTGGCACTGGCCAATCCCACAGCAGTTGGTGTTAATGTGTGTCACCGGAGGCATACGGGGCGACGGCGAAACGAAGGGTGGGGTCCAGGCATATGCCGGTGGAAGGGGGAAACGGGTGACATTTCCGTCAAAGCAAAGGAAAATCAAACAACACCTGGGAACCGTGGGGTAGGGGGGCCTCCTGTGCCTGACCCAAGCCACGTTTTCAAATGCCTACCAGAGGAGCAAAGAGGTTTCTGCCAATTTCGCAACACCCTCAATCCTCCACCGGCCTCGTAGCCCTGATGCAACTTCGCTGGCACAAACCCACAGAGAGTGGGAAAGAAACACACAGAGACTGAGAGACAGAGAGAGAAGAGAGAATGGGAGACACACACACACACACACACACACGCAGAGTCATACAGCAGAGGCATTGAAACACACACCCCCAGGCACCCCCTGAGGCTCCGGGGATCTGCTCTGGAGGAGAACGACCCTCGGGTGAGAGAGCAGCCCAGGGGCACGCAGCCCGACACGTCCTCGAGATCACGGACGGCGGCAAGGCTTTTGGCGAGACTCACCCCAACCAACACCGTCCGTGCAGGCCTGAGGCTGGGATCCCGTGCTGCTTCCAGGTCTCCGCCTGGGGTTTCATCATCATGGTCGGCCCTTTGCGAGTGCTGGCATCCGGAGACGTTGCCTTCGACCCTGTGGGGAGGTGAGGCCGGAGCCTCAGAGCCTCGATACCCAAGCACTGCCACGGAGGGCTCCTGCTCTGCCAAGCCTCAGGGACTGGTTTCTAAGACAACCGTGGGAACCACTGTGACGGGAGAATCCGCTCGCGCCCAGCGCATGCGCATTGGCTGAGCCGACTCACGCTCCACTCCTGACAGATAGGCTGCGTCCCCTTTAAATATCGCCACCGCTGCGCGTCGGCCGCGATGCTCCTGCTGCCGCCCCGGCGGCGCCTGTGTCCTGGGTCCTGTTTCGGGCGGCGTGGGAGAGGGGGCCACGGGTGTCTGGTCCTGTCCCAGGCCCAAACCCCCAGGGCTCCTGTCCTCAGGACCTGCTTGAGCCGACTTCCACCGAGGGAGGTGGAGCTTCAGGACGCCTGCTGTGTTCTCCGGACTCCCGTTGAAAATCCATTCTGGCCCACTCCGAGTGACATAGGATGGGCTCACCACATCTGCTCAGGCCGGCAGGGCCTCGCTGCAGCACAAAATGATCCCATAGGTCTCAAGGCCTAGTGTCAGAGCAAATTCACTCATCCATCAGCCCTCTGCCTCCCTCCTCCTTTGAAAGAGCAGTGGCCTGCCGCGCTTGTAAAAGCCCAGGGGGTTCCGGAAAGCCGACCGCGCTTAACAGGACACCTACCTGCAAAGAGGAAGAGAGGAGAAACCCAGGGGAAGTCCATGTGACCACGCGTGGCACTGGCCAATCCCACAGCAGTTGGTGATAATGTGTGTCACCGGAGGCATACGGGGCGACGGCGAAACAAAGGGTGCGGTCCAGGAATGAACACGTGGAAGGGGAAACAGGTGACCTTTCCGTGAATGCCAAGGAAAATCAAACAACACCTGGGACCCGGAGGGTGGGGGGGAGGTCTGTGCCTGACACAAGCCACGTTTTCAAATGCCTACCAGAGAAACAAAGAGGTTTCTGCCAATTTCGCAACACCCCCAATCCTCCACCGGCCTCGTAGCCCTGACGCAACTTCGCTGGCACAAACCCACAGAGAGTGGGAAAGAAACACACAGAGACTGAGAGACAGAGAGAGAAGAGAGAATGGGAGACACACACACACACACACACACACACACGCAGAGTCATACAGCAGAGGCATTGAAACACACACCCCCAGGCACCCCCTGAGGCTCCGGGGTTCTGCTCTGGAGGAGAACGACCCTCGGGTGAGAGAGCAGCCCAGGGGCACGCAGCCCGACACGTCCTCGAGATCACGGACGGCGGCAAGGCTTTTGGCGAGACTCACCCCAACCAACACCGTCCGTGCAGGCCTGAGGCTGGGCTCCCGTGCTGCTTCCAGGTCTCCGCCTGGGGTTTCATCATCATGGTCGGCCCTTTGCGAGTGCTGGCATCCGGAGACGTTGCCTTCGACCCTGTGGGGAGGTGAGGCCGGAGCCTCAGAGCCTCGATACCCAAGCACTGCCACGGAGGGCTCCTGCTCTGCCAAGCCTCAGGGACTGGTTTCTAAGACAACCGTGGGAACCACTGTGACGGGAGAATCCGCTCGCGCCCAGCGCATGCGCATTGGCTGAGCCGACTCACGCTCCACTCCTGACAGATAGGCTGCGTCCCCTTTAAATATCGCCACCGCTGCGCAGCGGCCGCGATGCTCCTGCTGCCGCCCCGGCGGCGCCTGTGTCCTGGGTCCTGTTTCGGGCGGCGTGGGAGAGGGGGCCACGGGTGTCTGGTCCTGTCCCAGGCCCAAACCCCCAGGGCTCCTGTCCTCAGGACCTGCTTGAGCCGACTTCC
Source organism: Homo sapiens (assembly GCF_000001405.40). Taxonomy (NCBI): domain Eukaryota; kingdom Metazoa; phylum Chordata; class Mammalia; order Primates; family Hominidae; genus Homo; species Homo sapiens. Next base: position 9,827,018 of record NC_000021.9, read on the forward strand.
ACCGAGGGAGGTGGAGCTTCAGGACGCCTGCTGTGTTCTCCGGACTCCCGTTGAGATCCCATTCTGGCCCACTCCGAGTGACATAGGATGGGCTCACCACATCTGCTCAGGCCGGCAGGGCCTCGCTGCAGCACAAAATGATCCCATAGGTCTCAAGGCCTTGTGTCAGAGCAAATTCACTCATCCATCAGCCCTCTGCCTCCCTCCTCCTTTGAAAGAGCAGTGGCCTGCCGCGCTTGTAAAAGCCCATGGGGTTCCGGAAAGCCGACCGCGCTTAACAGGACACCTACCTGCAAAGAGGAAGAGAGGAGAAACCCAGGGGAAGTCCATGTGACCACGCGTGGCACTGGCCAATCCCACAGCAGTTGGTGATAATGTGTGTCACCGGAGGCATACGGGGCGACGGCGAAACAAAGGGTGCGGTCCAGGAATGAACACGTGGAAGGGGAAACAGGTGACCTTTCCGTGAATGCCAAGGAAAATCAAACAACACCTGGGACCCGGAGGGTGGGGGGGAGGTCTGTGCCTGACACAAGTCACGTTTTCAAATGCCTACCAGAGAAACAAAGAGGTTTCTGCCAATTTCGCAACACCCCCAATCCTCCACCGGCCTCGTAGCCCTGACGCAACTTCGCTGGCACAAACCCACAGAGAGTGGGAAAGAAACACACAGAGACTGAGAGACAGAGAGAGAAGAGAGAATGGGAGACACACACACACACACACACACACACACACACACACACGCAGAGTCATACAGCAGAGGCATTGAAACACACACCCCCAGGCACCCCCTGAGGCTCCGGGGTTCTGCTCTGGAGGAGAACGACCCTCGGGTGAGAGAGCAGCCCAGGGGCACGCAGCCCGACACGTCCTCGAGATCACGGACGGCGGCAAGGCTTTTGGCGAGACTCACCCCAACCAACACCGTCCGTGCAGGCCTGAGGCTGGGATCCCGTGTTGCTTCCAGGTCTCCGCCTGGGGTTTCATCATCATGGTCGGCCCTTTGCGAGTGCTGGCATCCGGAGACGTTGCCTTCGACCCTGTGGGGAGGTGAGGCCGGAGCCTCAGAGCCTCGATACCCAAGCACTGCCACGGAGGGCTCCTGCTCTGCCAAGCCTCAGGGACTGGTTTCTAAGACAACCGTGGGAACCACTGTGACGGGAGAATCCGCTCGCGCCTAGCGCATGCGCATTGGCTGAGCCGACTCAGGCTCCACTCCTGACAGATAGGCTGCGTCCCCTTTAAATATCGCCACCGCTGCGCAGCGGCCGCGATGCTCCTGCTGCCGCCCCGGCGGCGCCTGTGTCCTGGGTCCTGTTTCGGGCGGCGTGGGAGAGGGGGCCACGGGTGTCTGGTCCTGTCCCAGGCCCAAACCCCCAGGGCTCCTGTCCTCAGGACCTGCTTGAGCCGACTTCCACCGAGGGAGGTGGAGCTTCAGGACGCCTGCTGTGTTCTCCGGACTCCCGTTGAGATCCCATTCTGGCCCACTCCGAGTGACATAGGATGGGCTCACCACATCTGGTCAGGCCGGCAGGGCCTCGCTGCAGCACAAAATGATCCCATAGGTCTCAAGGCCTAGTGTCAGAGCAAATTCACTCATCCATCAGCCCTCTGCCTCCCTCCTCCTTTGAAAGAGCAGTGGCCTGCCCCGCTTGTAAAAGCCGAGGGGTTCCGGAAAGGCGACCGTGCTTTACAGGACAACTGCAAAGAGGAAGAGAGGCGAAATCCAGGGGGAGACCATGTGACCACGCGTGGCACTGGCCAATCCCACAGCAGTTGGTGTTAACGTGTGACACCTGCGGTAAACGGGGCGACGGTGAAACGAAGGGTGGGGTCCATGCATGTGCCGGTGGAAGGGGGAAACGGGTGACCTTTCCGTCAATGCCAAGGAAAATCAAACAACACCTGGGACCTGGAGGGTGTGGGGGACGTCTGCGCCTGACCCAAGCCACGTTTTCAAATGCCTACCAGAGGAACAAAGAGGTTTCTGCCAATTTCGCAACACCCTCAATCCTCCACCGGCCTCGTAGCCCTGACGCAACTTCGCTGGCACAAACCCACAGAGAGTGGGAAAGAAACACACAGAGACTGAGAGACAGAGAGAGAAGAGAGAATGGGAGACACACACACACACACACACGCAGAGTCATACAGCAGAGGCATTGAAACACACACCCCCAGGCACCCCCTGAGGCTCCGGGGTTGTGCTCTGGAGGAGAACGACCCTCGGGTGAGAGAGCAGCCCAGGGGCACGCAGCCCGACACGTCCTCGAGATCACGGACGGCGGCAAGGCTTTTGGCGAGACTCACCCCAACCAACACCGTCCGTGCAGGCCTGAGGCTGGGATCCCGTGCTGCTTCCAGGTCTCCGCCTGGGGTTTCATCATCATGGTCGGCCCTTTGCGAGTGCTGGCATCCGGAGACGTTGCCTTCGACCCTGTGGGGAGGTGAGGCCGGAGCCTCAGAGCCTCGATACCCAAGCACTGCCACGGAGGGCTCCTGCTCTGCCAAGCCTCAGGGACTGGTTTCTAAGACAACCGTGGGAACCACTGTGACGGGAGAATCCGCTCGCGCCCAGCGCATGCGCATTGGCTGAGCCGACTCACGCTCCACTCCTGACAGATAGGCTGCGTCCCCTTTAAATATCGCCACCGCTGCGCGTCGGCCGCGATGCTCCTGCTGCCGCCCCGGCGGCGCCTGTGTCCTGGGTCCTGTTTCGGGCGGCGTGGGAGAGGGGGCCACGGGTGTCTGGTCCTGTCCCAGGCCCAAACCCCCAGGGCTCCTGTCCTCAGGACCTGCTTGAGCCGACTTCCACCGAGGGAGGTGGAGCTTCAGGACGCCTGCTGTGTTCTCCGGACTCCCGTTGAGATCCCATTCTGGCCCACTCCGAGTGACATAGGATGGGCTCACCACATCTGCTCAGGCCGGCAGGGCCTCGCTGCAGCACAAAATGATCCCATAGGTCTCAAGGCCTTGTGTCAGAGCAAATTCACTCATCCATCAGCCCTCTGCCTCCCTCCTCCTTTGAAAGAGCAGTGGCCTGCCGCGCTTGTAAAAGCCCAGGGGGTTCCGGAAAGCCGACCGCGCTTAACAGGACACCTACCTGCAAAGAGGAAGAGAGGAGAAACCCAGGGGAAGTCCATGTGACCACGCGTGGCACTGGCCAATCCCACAGCAGTTGGTGATAATGTGTGTCACCGGAGGCATACGGGGCGACGGCGAAACAAAGGGTGCGGTCCAGGAATGAACACGTGGAAGGGGAAACAGGTGACCTTTCCGTGAATGCCAAGGAAAATCAAACAACACCTGGGACCCGGAGGGTGGGGGGGAGGTCTGTGCCTGACACAAGCCACGTTTTCAAATGCCTACCAGAGAAACAAAGAGGTTTCTGCCAATATCGCAACACCCCCAATCCTCCACCGGCCTCGTAGCCCTGACGCAACTTCGCTGGCACAAACCCACAGAGAGTGGGAAAGAAACACACAGAGACTGAGAGACAGAGAGAGAAGAGAGAATGGGAGACACACACACACACACACACACACACACGCAGAGTCATACAGCAGAGGCATTGAAACACACAACCCCCAGGCACCCCCTGAGGCTCCGGGGTTCTGCTCTGGAGGAGAACGACCCTCGGGTGAGAGAGCACGCCAGGGGCACGCAGCCCGACACGTCCTCGAGATCACGGACGGCGGCAAGGCTTTTGGCGAGACTCACCCCAACCAACACCGTCCGTGCAGGCCTGAGGCTGGGCTCCCGTGCTGCTTCCAGGTCTCCGCCTGGGGTTTCATCATCATGGTCGGCCCTTTGCGAGTGCTGGCATCCGGAGACGTTGCCTTCGACCCTGTGGGGAGGTGAGGCCGGAGCCTCAGAGCCTCGACACCCAAGCACTGCCACGGAGGGCTCCTGCTCTGCCAAGCCTCAGGGACTGGTTTCTAAGACAACCGTGGGAACCACTGTGACGGGAGAATCCGCTCGTGCCCAGCGCATGCGCATTGGCTGAGCCGACTCACGCTCCACTCCTGACAGATAGGCTGCGTCCCCTTTAAATATCGCCACCGCTGCGCGTCGGCCGCGATGCTCCTGCTGCCGCCCCGGCGGCGCCTGTGTCCTGGGTCCTGTTTCGGGCGGCGTGGGAGAGGGGGCCACGGGTGTCTGGTCCTGTCCCAGGCCCAAACCCCCAGGGCTCCTGTCCTCAGGACCTGCTTGAGCCGACTTCCACCGAGGGAGGTGGAGCTTCAGGACGCCTGCTGTGTTCTCCGGACTCCCGTTGAGATCCCATTCTGGCCCACTCCGAGTGACATAGGATGGGCTCACCACATCTGCTCAGGCCGGCAGGGCCTCGCTGCAGCACAAAATGATCCCATAGGTCTCAAGGCCTTGTGTCAGAGCAAATTCACTCATCCATCAGCCCTCTGCCTCCCTCCTCCTTTGAAAGAGCAGTGGCCTGCCGCGCTTGTAAAAGCCCAGGGGGTTCCGGAAAGCCGACCGCGCTTAACAGGACACCTACCTGCAAAGAGGAAGAGAGGAGAAACCCAGGGGAAGTCCATGTGACCACGCGTGGCACTGGCCAATCCCACAGCAGTTGGTGATAATGTGTGTCACCGGAGGCATACGGGGCGACGGCGAAACAAAGGGTGCGGTCCAGGAATGAACACGTGGAAGGGGAAACAGGTGACCTTTCCGTGAATGCCAAGGAAAATCAAACAACACCTGGGACCCGGAGGGTGGGGGGGAGGTCTGTGCCTGACACAAGCCACGTTTTCAAATGCCTACCAGAGAAACAAAGAGGTTTCTGCCAATTTCGCAACACCCCCAATCCTCCACCGGCCTCGTAGCCCTGACGCAACTTCGCTGGCACAAACCCACAGAGAGTGGGAAAGAAACACACAGAGACTGAGAGACAGAGAGAGAAGAGAGAATGGGAGACACACACACACACACACACACACACACGCAGAGTCATACAGCAGAGGCATTGAAACACACACCCCCAGGCACCCCCTGAGGCTCCGGGGTTCTGCTCTGGAGGAGAACGACCCTCGGGTGAGAGAGCAGCCCAGGGGCACGCAGCCCGACACGTCCTCTAGATCACGGACGGCGGCAAGGCTTTTGGCGAGACTCACCCCAACCAACACCGTCCGTGCAGGCCTGAGGCTGGGATCCCGTGTTGCTTCCAGGTCTCCGCCTGGGGTTTCATCATCATGGTCGGCCCTTTGCGAGTGCTGGCATCCGGAGACGTTGCCTTCGACCCTGTGGGGAGGTGAGGCCGGAGCCTCAGAGCCTCGATACCCAAGCACTGCCACGGAGGGCTCCTGCTCTGCCAAGCCTCAGGGACTGGTTTCTAAGACAACCGTGGGAACCACTGTGACGGGAGAATCCGCTCGCGCCTAGCGCATGCGCATTGGCTGAGCCGACTCAGGCTCCACTCCTGACAGATAGGCTGCGTCCCCTTTAAATATCGCCACCGCTGCGCAGCGGCCGCGATGCTCCTGCTGCCGCCCCGGCGGCGCCTGTGTCCTGGGTCCTGTTTCGGGCGGCGTGGGAGAGGGGGCCACGGGTGTCTGGTCCTGTCCCAGGCCCAAACCCCCAGGGCTCCTGTCCTCAGGACCTGCTTGAGCCGACTTCCACCGAGGGAGGTGGAGCTTCAGGACGCCTGCTGTGTTCTCCGGACTCCCGTTGAGATCCCATTCTGGCCCACTCCGAGTGACATAGGATGGGCTCACCACATCTGGTCAGGCCGGCAGGGCCTCGCTGCAGCACAAAATGATCCCATAGGTCTCAAGGCCTAGTGTCAGAGCAAATTCACTCATCCATCAGCCCTCTGCCTCCCTCCTCCTTTGAAAGAGCAGTGGCCTGCCCCGCTTGTAAAAGCCGAGGGGTTCCGGAAAGCCGACCGTGCTTTACAGGACAACTGCAAAGAGGAAGAGAGGCGAAATCCAGGGGGAGACCATGTGACCACGCGTGGCACTGGCCAATCCCACAGCAGTTGGTGTTAACGTGTGACACCTGAGGTAAACGGGGCGACGGTGAAACGAAGGGTGGGGTCCATGCATGTGCCGGTGGAAGGGGGAAACGGGTGACCTTTCCGTCAATGCCAAGGAAAATCAAACAACACCTGGGACCTGGAGGGTGTGGGGGACGTCTGCGCCTGACCCAAGCCACGTTTTCAAATGCCTACCAGAGGAACAAAGAGGTTTCTGCCAATTTCGCAACACCCTCAATCCTCCACCGGCCTCGTAGCCCTGACGCAACTTCGCTGGCACAAACCCACAGAGAGTGGGAAAGAAACACACAGAGACTGAGAGACAGAGAGAGAAGAGAGAATGGGAGACACACACACACACACACACACACACGCAGAGTCATACAGCAGAGGCATTGAAACACACACCCCCAGGCACCCCCTGAGGCTCCGGGGTTCTGCTCTGGAGGAGAACGACCCTCGGGTGAGAGAGCAGCCCAGGGGCACGCAGCCCGACACGTCCTCGAGATCACGGACGGCGGCAAGGCTTTTGGCGAGACTCACCCCAACCAACACCGTCCGTGCAGGCCTGAGGCTGGGCTCCCGTGCTGCTTCCAGGTCTCCGCCTGGGGTTTCATCATCATGGTCGGCCCTTTGCGAGTGCTGGCATCCGGAGACGTTGCCTTCGACCCTGTGGGGAGGTGAGGCCGGAGCCTCAGAGCCTCGATACCCAAGCACTGCCACGGAGGGCTCCTGCTCTGCCAAGCCTCAGGGACTGGTTTCTAAGACAACCGTGGGAACCACTGTGACGGGAGAATCCGCTCGCGCCTAGCGCATGCGCATTGGCTGAGCCGACTCACGCTCCACTCCTGACAGATAGGCTGCGTCCCCTTTAAATATCGCCACCGCTGCGCAGCGGCCGCGATGCTCCTGCTGCCGCCCCGGCGGCGCCTGTGTCCTGGGTCCTGTTTCGGGCGGCGTGGGAGAGGGGGCCACGGGTGTCTGGTCCTGTCCCAGGCCCAAACCCCCAGGGCTCCTGTCCTCAGGACCTGCTTGAGCCGACTTCCACCGAGGGAGGTGGAGCTTCAGGACGCCTGCTGTGTTCTCCGGACTCCCGTTGAGATCCCATTCTGGCCCACTCCGAGTGACATAGGATGGGCTCACCACATCTGCTCAGGCCGGCAGGGCCTCGCTGCAGCACAAAATGATCCCATAGGTCTCAAGGCCTTGTGTCAGAGCAAATTCACTCATCCATCAGCCCTCTGCCTCCCTCCTCCTTTGAAAGAGCAGTGGCCTGCCGCGCTTGTAAAAGCCCAGGGGTTCCGGAAAGCCGACCGCGCTTAACAGGACACCTACCTGCAAAGAGGAAGAGAGGAGAAACCCAGGGGAAGTCCATGTGACCACGCGTGCACTGGCCAATCCCACAGCAGTTGGTGATAATGTGTGTCACCGGAGGCATACGGGGCGACGGCGAAACAAAGGGTGCGGTCCAGGAATGAACACGTGGAAGGGGAAACAGGTGACCTTTCCGTGAATGCCAAGGAAAATCAAACAACACCTGGGACCCGGAGGGTGGGGGGGAGGTCTGTGCCTGACACAAGCCACGTTTTCAAATGCCTACCAGAGAAACAAAGAGGTTTCTGCCAATTTCGCAACACCCCCAATCCTCCACCGGCCTCGTAGCCCTGACGCAACTTCGCTGGCACAAACCCACAGAGAGTGGGAAAGAAACACACAGAGACTGAGAGACAGAGAGAGAAGAGAGAATGGGAGACACACACACACACACACACACACACACACGCAGAGTCATACAGCAGAGGCATTGAAACACACACCCCCAGGCACCCCCTGAGGCTCCGGGGTTCTGCTCTGGAGGAGAACGACCCTCGGGTGAGAGAGCAGCCCAGGGGCACGCAGCCCGACACGTCCTCGAGATCACGGATGGCGGCAAGGCTTTTGGCGAGACTCACCCCAACCAACACCGTCCGTGCAGGCCTGAGGCTGGGATCCCGTGTTGCTTCCAGGTCTCCGCCTGGGGTTTCATCATCATGGTCGGCCCTTTGCGAGTGCTGGCATCCGGAGACGTTGCCTTCGACCCTGTGGGGAGGTGAGGCCGGAGCCTCAGAGCCTCGATACCCAAGCACTGCCACGGAGGGCTCCTGCTCTGCCAAGCCTCAGGGACTGGTTTCTAAGACAACCGTGGGAACCACTGTGACGGGAGAATCCGCTCGCGCCTAGCGCATGCGCATTGGCTGAGCCGACTCAGGCTCCACTCCTGACAGATAGGCTGCGTCCCCTTTAAATATCGCCACCGCTGCGCAGCGGCCGCGATGCTCCTGCTGCCGCCCCGGCGGCGCCTGTGTCCTGGGTCCTGTTTCGGGCGGCGTGGGAGAGGGGGCCACGGGTGTCTGGTCCTGTCCCAGGCCCAAACCCCCAGGGCTCCTGTCCTCAGGACCTGCTTGAGCCGACTTCCACCGAGGGAGGTGGAGCTTCAGGACGCCTGCTGTGTTCTCCGGACTCCCGTTGAGATCCCATTCTGGCCCACTCCGAGTGACATAGGATGGGCTCACCACATCTGGTCAGGCCGGCAGGGCCTCGCTGCAGCACAAAATGATCCCATAGGTCTCAAGGCCTAGTGTCAGAGCAAATTCACTCATCCATCAGCCCTCTGCCTCCCTCCTCCTTTGAAAGAGCAGTGGCCTGCCCCGCTTGTAAAAGCCGAGGGGTTCCGGAAAGGCGACCGTGCTTTACAGGACAACTGCAAAGAGGAAGAGAGGCGAAATCCAGGGGGAGACCATGTGACCACGCGTGGCACTGGCCAATCCCACAGCAGTTGGTGTTAACGTGTGACACCTGAGGTAAACGGGGCGACGGTGAAACGAAGGGTGGGGTCCATGCATGTGCTGGTGGAAGGGGGAAACGGGTGACCTTTCCGTCAATGCCAAGGAAAATCAAACAACACCTGGGACCTGGAGGGTGTGGGGGACGTCTGCGCCTGACCCAAGCCACGTTTTCAAATGCCTACCAGAGGAACAAAGAGGTTTCTGCCAATTTCGCAACACCCTCAATCCTCCACCGGCCTCGTAGCCCTGGCGCAACTTCGCTGGCACAAACCCACAGAGAGTGGGAAAGAAACACACAGAGACTGAGAGACAGAGAGAGAAGAGAGAATGGGAGACACACACACACACACACACACACGCAGAGTCATACAGCAGAGGCATTGAAACACACACCCCCAGGCACCCCCTGAGGCTCCGGGGTTCTGCTCTGGAGGAGAACGACCCTCGGGTGAGAGAGCAGCCCAGGGGCACGCAGCCCGACACGTCCTCGAGATCACGGACGGCGGCAAGGCTTTTGGCGAGACTCACCCCAACCAACACCGTCCGTGCAGGCCTGAGGCTGGGATCCCGTGCTGCTTCCAGGTCTCCGCCTGGGGTTTCATCATCATGGTCGGCCCTTTGCGAGTGCTGGCATCCGGAGACGTTGCCTTCGACCCTGTGGGGAGGTGAGGCCGGAGCCTCAGAGCCTCGATACCCAAGCACTGCCACGGAGGGCTCCTGCTCTGCCAAGCCTCAGGGACTGGTTTCTAAGACAACCGTGGGAACCACTGTGACGGGAGAATCCGCTGGCACCTCACGCATGCGCATTGGCTGAGCCAACTCACGCTCCACTCCTGACAGATAGGCTGCGTTCCCTTTAAATATCGTCACCGCCGCGCGGCGGCCGCGATGCTCCTGCTGCCGCCCCGGCGGCGCCTGTGTCCTGGGTCCTGTTTGGGGCGGCGTGGGAGAGGGGGCCGCGGGTGTCTCGTCGTGTCCCAGGCCCAAACCCCCAGGGCTCCTGTCCTCAGGACCTGCTTGAGCCGACTTCCACCGAGGGCGGCGGAGCTTCAGGACGCCTGCTGTGTTGTCCGGACTCCCGTTGAGATCCCATTCTCGCCCCCTCCAAGTGACATAGGATGGGCTCACCACATCTGGTCAGGCCGGCAGGGCTTCGCTGTAGCACAGAATGACCTCATAGGTCTCAAGGCCTAGTTTCAGAGCAAATTCACTGATCCATCAGCCCTCTGCCTCCCTCCGCCTTTGAAAGAGCAGTGGCCTGCCCCGCTTGTAAAAGCCCAGGTGTTCCGGAAAGCCGACTGCGCTTTACAGGACAACTGCAAAGATGAACAGAGGGGAAACCCAGGGGGAGACCATGTGACCACGCGTGGCACTGGCCAATCCCACAGCAGTTGGTGTTAATGTGTGTCACCGGAGGCATACGGGGCGACGGCGAAACGAAGGGTGGGATCCAGGCATGTGCCGGTGGAAGGGGGAAACGGGTGAGATTTCCGTCAATGCCAAGGAAAATCAAACAACACCTGGGAACCGGGGGGTGGGGGGGCCGACTGTGCCTGACCCAAGCCACGTTTTCAAATGCCTACCAGAGGAACAAAGAGGTTTCTGCCAATTTCGCAACACCCCCAATCCTCCACCGGCCTCGTGGCCCTGACGCAACTTCGCTGGCACAAACCCACAGAGAGTGGGAAGGAAACACACAGAGACTGAGAGACAGAGAGAGAAGAGAGAATGGGAGACACACACACACACACACACACACGCAGAGTCATACAGCAGAGGCATTGAAACACACACCCCCAGGCAACCCCTGAGGCTCCGGGGTTCTGCTCTGGAGGTGAACGACCCTCGGTTGAGAGAGCAGCCCAGGGGCACGCAGCCCGACCCGTCCTCGAGATCACGGACGGCGGCACGACTTTTGGCGAGACTCACCCCAACCAACACCGTCCGTGCAGGCCTGAGGCTGGGATCCCGTGCTGCTTTCCCCGTCTCCGTCTGTGGTTTCATCTTCATAGTCGGCCCTTTGCGACTGCTGGCATCAGGAGAGTTTCCCTTCCAGCCCATGGAGAGGTGAGACCGGAGCCTCAGAGCCTCGATACCCAAACACTGCCACGGAGGGCTCCTGCTCTTCCAAGCCTCGGGGACTGGTTTCTAAGACAACCGTGGGAACCACTGTGACCAGAGAAACCGCTCGGTCTTCGCGCATGCGCATTGGCTGAGCCGACTCAGGCTCCACTCCTGACAGATAGGCTGCGTCCCCTTTAAATATTGCCACCATCGCCCGGCGGCCGCGATGCTCCTGCTGCCGCCGAGTCGGCGGCTGGATCCTGGGTCTTCTTTGGAGCGGCGTGGGAGAGGGGGTCGCAGGTGTCTCCTCCTGTCCCAGTCCCAAACCCCCAGAGCTCCTGTCCTCAGGACCTGCTTGAGCCGACTTCCACAAAGGGAGGGGGAGCTTCAGGACGCCTGCTGTGTTCCCCGGGCTCCTGTTGCGATCCCATTCTGGCCCCCTCCGAGTGACTTAGGATGGGCTCACCACATCTGGTCAGGCCGGCAGGGCCTTGCTGCAGCACAGAATGATCCCGTAGGTCTCAAGGCCTAGTGTCAGCTGCAAATTCACTGATCCATCAGCCCTCTGCCTCCCTCCTCCTTTGAATGAGTAATGGCCTGCCCCGCTTGTGAAAGCCCAGGGGGTTCCGGAAAGCCGACCGCGCTTTACAGGACCCCTGCAAAGAGGAAGAGAGGGGAATCCCAGGGGGAGACCATGTGACCACGCGTGGCACTGGCCAATGCCACAACAGTTGGTGTTAATGTGTGTCATCGGAGGCATACGGGGCGACGGCGAAACGAAGGGTGGGGTCCAGGCATGTGCCGGTGGAAGGGGGAAACGGGTGACCTTTCCGTCAATGCCAAGGAAAATCAAACAACACCTGGGACCCCGGTGGTGGGGGGGCCGCCTGTGCCCGACCCAAGCCACGTTTTCTACTGCCTACGAGAGGAGTAAAGAGGTTTCTGCAAAATTCGCAACACCCCCATTCCTCCACCGACCTGGTAGCCCTGACGCAACTTCGGCTGGCACAAACCCACAAAGAGTGGGAAAGAAACACACAGAGACTGAGAGACAGAGAGAGAAGAGAGAATGGGAGACAGAGACACAGACACACTCACACACACACACACACACACACACAGAGTCATAGAGCAGAGGCATTGAAACACACACCCTCAGGCAACCCCTGAGGCTGTGGGGTTCTGCTCTGGAGGAGAACCACTCTCGGGTGAGAGAGCAGCCCAGGGGCACGCAGGCTGACCTGTGCTCGAGATCACGGATTGCGGCACGACTTTTGGGGGGAATCACCCCAACCAACAGCGTCCGGGCAGGCTTGAGGCTGGGATCCCGTGCTGCTTCCCCAATCCCCGCCTGAGGTTTCCTCATCGTGCTGGGCACTTTGGGACTCCTGGCATCCGGAGAGGTTCCCGCCAACCCCGTGGATAGTTCAGGGCAGAGCCTCAGAGCCCCGTCACCCAAGCACTGCCAGGGAGGGCTGCTGCTTTGCCAAGCCTCGGGGACTGGTTTCTAAGACAACCGTGGGAACCACTGTGACAGGGGTAGCCGTTCGCGCCTCCCGCATGCGTATTGGCTGAGCCGACTCGTGCTCTGCTCCGGGCAGTCAGGCTGTGTCCCCTTTAAATACCGCCACCGCCGCGCGGTGTCAGCGAGGTTCCTCCTGCTGCTGCGGCGGCGGCTGTATCCGGGGTCCAGTTTGGGGCGGAGTGGGAGAGGGGCCCGCGGGTGTCTTGTCCTGTCCCAGGGCCAAATCCCCAGGAGTCTTGTCCTCAGGACCTCCTTGAGCCGACTTCCTCCGAGGGAGGGGAACTTCAGGATGCCTGCTGTGTTCACCGGACTCCCGTTCAGATCCGATTTTGGACCCCTCTGAGTGAGATAGGATGGGCTCACCACATCTGGTGAGGCAGGCAGGGCCTCGCTGCAGCACAGAATGATCCCATAGGTCTCAGGGCCTACTTGTACTGTTGTACATAATGTATATAATTGACTTTTATTCACTCGACAAAATTTCCTAAAAATACATCCAAATGATTCCGTTAATTAATATTTTGTTCCTTTGATGACTGAATAGTATTTCATGGTTTCTTGTATAAATTCACCACAAATTAAACATTCACCTGGGCTTATTGACCTTTTCAACTGTAACAAATTAAGCTGTTGTAGACATTCATGAACAAGTTTTTGTGGGAACACAAGTTTCATTACTCCAAATTAAACACCCACAACTGCAATTGCTGGGATCTATGGTCTATGCACATCTGGTTTTTATTTTACTTTGAAAAATTTTTAATTATTTTCTTAAAATTTTGTGGGTACATTGAGTGCCCACAGAAGCTAGTAAGGATACTGGGGCATTGGAGAGGAGGTAGAGAAGGTTAATCAGCAGAAAAAAAAATGTGGAAAGAATGAATAACATGTCTGTATTTTTAAAAAACTGTCAACTATTTTTCAGAGTGGCTCTATTATTTTACTTTTCCACTAGCAACGTATGAGTGATCCTATTTTTTACATCCTGAATAACTTTTGCTATTGTCACAATTTTTAAAAGACATTTTGATAGGTGTGTAGAAATATTTCACTATGGTTTTATTTGACATGTCCATGATGATTAATAATATTGAACATGTTTCATGGATTATTTGACATCTGAATATTTTTCTTGTTAAAACGTCCATTGATGTCTTTTGTCCATTACCTAATTGGATCATTTGCATTTTTTTAAAAAAGTTGCTGTTGAGTTTTGTGTCATCTCTATTTATTTTTGTCGGTTTTGATAGATGTTTATCAATTGATTGATTTTTTCAATAAACCAGCTTTTTGTTTCACATTTTTTCTGTTTTCAATTTCATGAATTTTTGTTATTGTCATGATTATTTTTCTTCTTCTGCCTGCTTTCAGTTTACTCTGTTCTTTTTCTAGTTTTTTGAGATACAAGTGTATGTTATTGATTTGAGATCTTTTCTCATTTTTAATGAAGCATTTAGTACTATAAATTTCTTTCCCACCACAGCCTTAGCTGTATTTCCTATATTTTGATATGTTGTATTTTTCTTTCATTTGTTTAAATATATTTTTGGATTTTAATTTAAGACTTTATATTGTATCCATAGATCATTTGGAACTGTGTTGTATAGTTGAAATGCATTTCTATTAATATATTAATTATATTAATATATCTTCCTTCTTTGTTGATGTTCAAAATTCCTTTTTTTTCTTTATTTTGTTTGAATAACAGTTTTAGTAAACATTTAATGGTAAGCTTGCTAACAACAAATTTTTAAACAATTCAAAAAATATAATTTTCCTTTACTCCAGAAGCATAGTTACAACATCTGTAGCATTCAGAGTTGGCAGCTCTTTTCTTTCACTACCTGAAAAATATTATGTAACTTGTTTCTGACCTCCATTGTTTCAGATGAAAAAACGTATTTTCATTTACATTGGTTTTCCTCTATAGGTGATGTTTCACCTATAGGTGACTGTTTCTATCTGGCTGCTTTTAACACTTTGTCTTTAGTTTTGTCAACGACCTACACTGGGGAAAGGACACAATCTCCAATACATGCTTCTTGAAAAATTGGATATCCATATGCAGAAGAATGAAACTAAACTCCTATCACTCACCTTATACAAAAATAGACTCAAAATGGATTAAAAATTTAAGTGTAAGACATGAAAAATTAGACTACCATACACTGTTGGTGGTAAGTTAAATTATTTCACTTATTATGAAAAACTGTATGGTGGTTCCTCAAAACAAAAATAGAGACACCATATGATCTAGTGATCCCACTACTAGGTGTTTATCCAAAGGAAAGTAAATCATTACACTTAAGAGGCATCTGCACCTCCATATTTATTGCAGCTGTCTTCACAATAACAAAGATATGGAATTAAGCTAAATATCCATCAATGGATGGATAGATAAAACATGTGGTATATACACATACCAAATTTGTATATACATTCATATATATATATTATATATATGAATACTATTCTGCCATAAAAAGAATGAAATTCTGTCATTTGCAGAATCATGGATAAGACTAGTGAACATTACGTTAAGTGGAATAAGTCAGACACAGAAAAATTAATACTGTCTGTCCTTACCCATATGCAGGAGCTAAACAAATTTGAGCTCATTAAAGTAAATGGTAGAATTGTGGTTATTAGATGTTGGGAAGGATGTGGGAGGGGAGGTTGGTTAATGGACACAAAATTATAGCTATATGGGAGGAATAAGTTCTGTTGTAGTGCTCTATAGCTGGTCGCATGGAAATAACTATAATTTATGGTATATTTTCAAAAAGCTAGAAGAGAGGATTTTGAATGTTGTCAACACAAAAGTATGATAAATGTTTGAGGTGTTTGAAATGCTAATTACCCTGATTTGATCATTATGCATTGTACACCTGTATCAAAATATCACTCTGTTTCCATAAATATGTACAATTATTGCATGCCAACTAACAATAAAAGGACAAGATAAAGATTCAAAAAATAGGAAGAAATATCATTTTTCTGATACAATTTCTTCTCGGTGTGCCCATGTTGTTTCATGATTGCAAAGCGTTCTTTTAAGTGCTTGTAAAATATTGTTTTCATGCTTCTTAAAATTGCTTCCAGAAGTAATGTCAAACTCATTCACCTATAGTTTATGAGCTCTATCTTCCTTTAAAAAACTAGTACACTGCCCATTTCTTGTCTTCTAAAACTTTTACTATTCTCCATAATCCTCAAAGATATATAGAGAAACTTAAAAATCTCTTTCCTAAACTTTCTTATTGTTTTGGAGTGAGTTCTACTCCAATACTAGGGCCCAGAGCTCATAGTGCCTCTTCGTTCATCTTGAGATTTAATTAAAAGCAATGTTGAGTCTTCTCTTTTGGATCTAAAGATCTATTTGATGAGAAAGACTGAAGAAAAATAAGGATAAGGGTATTTCCTCCATGTTTTCATGGCACAAAATCTTTGTTTGCTAACTGTGATAAGCAGAATAATGCCCCCCCACCCCCCACAAGACTGTCTCTGTCCTATTCTCCATGTCAGGAAGGATATGCTATGTTATATAAGAATATATGATGTTACAATGCAAGAAAGTATTAAGGTTGCACATGACATTAAGCTTACTAAACAGCAGAACTTAAAATAAGAGATCATACTTGATTATCTAGGGGGGGCCAATTTAATCACAAGGATCCTTTAAATGTGGAAGAGTGTGGTAGAAAATATTTAAAGATACTACATTGTTAATTGTACTGGAGGAAAGAACCAAGAGACAAGGAATGGGGAAAGCAGACAAGAGACAAGAAATGAAGACAGCCCCTAGAAGCTGGAAAAGGCAAGAACATGTATTCTCCTTTAGAGTCCCCAGAAGGAAAGCAGCGCTGCTGACACCTTGATTTTAGCCTAATGAAAACCATTTAAGACTTCTGACCTTTATAATTTTAAAATGATAGATTTATGTTTCTAAACTACCAAATAAAAATATTTTGTCTTTAGTTTTTAAAAGTTTAATCAAAATGTTTCTTGAAATGTGTTTATTCCGTGTAGGGTATCTTAGGCTTCTTGAATCTATACATTTGTGTCTTCTGCAAATTTGAGGTTTTTTTGAAGCACTATTTCTTCAAGTATTCTTTCAGCCTCATTTTACTTCTTTTCTGGTACACGTAATAAAAATGTTGGATCTTTGTTGTTGCCTCACACATACCTACATCTGTGTTCATTTTATGTATCAGTCTATTTTATTTATGTTGTTCAAATTGGTTAAATTCTACTATTCTGCCCTCACATTCACTGATTTTACCTTCTCGCATCTCAATGGCGCTATTGACTCCATCCAACACATTTTTCATTTCTGTTACCGTGTTTGTTTGCTTTTATAATTTACATTTAGTTCTTTTTGTTGTTGTTTTTTTACAACTCAAGTTTGGTTAATATTTTGTGATTTTGTTATATATTTTAAGATAATTTCTATTTGATGTTGAAACATTTTTGCTAGATATTTTAAAATCATATTCAGATGATTCCAACATCTGATGCGTTTTGGTGTTGGTGTCAGTTAACTGTCTTTTTTCACTCAAATTGTTATTTTCTTGGTTCTTTGTATGATTGGTGATTTGTAATTATATTCTGGACATTTTGTCTATCATGGCAGACAATTGTGAGCTCTATTTAAACTGTTCCTTTTGGCAGGCAGTCACACTGTTTAGCTTTAGCATGTACATCCTGGGTGTGGGGCAGGTACACTGTGTACTATTTACTAGCTTGTCTGAGTTCAGTTAAACAGAACACACTCATATGCAACAAATTACATAAGGCAGATGTATCATTTACAGACAAACAGCAAGAGACAACAGGTACCTATGTGAGCCGGTCCATTATGAGCCAGTAGCCCAAGGCTCAACAAAGTTGTCTGAAGTGGATGGAGTGCATGTGAAGTGCCTGAGGTGGATGCAGTGATTGTGCATGCCCCACTTGTACCACAGTTGAGGGACCCCACAAGACAGCTTGCCCTAGGTTACACACCTCAGGACCAATGGGAAACTATGGCCTAAAGTTTTGAAGAACATTCTCTGTCAAGGGAGAGAGTAACAAGGCCTAGGCTGTTTCAGGCCATTCTTCCCTGTCTCAGGATATTGCATTCTCAGCATATACTACAGTTGCTCTTGACAACTGCAAGCAAGAAAGAGGGGATAATTGGGTCAGTCCAAGGACACCTGGAAAGTTGACCTGCAGTCTCCTGCTCCAACCAAGATATTTCCCTTAGAAAAGGTGGTGTATTTCATATGCCCATTGACCTCTCCAGATCTGGAGGTGGAGGTTTGTCTTGTCAGATCAATGTAACACCTTGGCTGACTCTGTCTCAGTGAAACATCATTGAGTCATAGCCAGAATACATTTTACTAGTCCCAGGAGGACTACTACCACTAGCAGCACAGCCAGACCTCTCTGCAGTAGTAATGTAGCTCTGGGTCTCAAAGATCTAGGTAAGAGGTTGCCATAGAGGTTAAAGAAGGATTCTTCAGGTGGCCCCACTGTCTACAACCAATGGGTCAGCTTCTGGATCTCCTCTACCTATGTTTCTACAATACCTAAGATGTTTATCCCAATACAGTAAGAGGTGTTGGCAATTGTATACACTTCTCCCAGTTGAGCTAAAAGAAAGTCGGGAGGGCCGAGTGTGGTGGCTCATGCCTGTAATCCCAGCACTTTGGGAGGCCAAGATAGGTGGATCACCTGAAGTCAGGAGTTTGAGACCAGCCAGACAAACATGCAGAAACCCTGTCTCTACAAAAAACAAATACAAAATTAGCCAGGAGTGGTGGTGCACGCCTATAATCCCAACTACTCTGGAGTCTGAGGCAAGAGAATCACTTAGACCCGGGAGGCAGAGGTTGCAGTGAGCTGAGATCATACCACTGCACTCCAGCATGGGCAACGAGAGCGAAACTCCATCTCAAACAAAAAAAGTCTGGAACAATTCTGTTGGTTAAAATAACTTTCTGGGTGGATCTGGGAGATGTTTCCTTGGCTTCTAAGACAGTGGCAATGGAGGAGGCAATATTTGCCATGGTTTGGGGCAGGTTTCTTTTCATTTTTTATGAGCAATAACTCCTATGAATGGTACCAAAGATCTCATAAAAGACATAAACCCAAAGTCAGTTACACATCCAGTCAGGTCTTTGGTAAGTCTGGTATACAGCATTAGGCTCCTGAGTCAATGGAGCACTTCATTTTGGGGGTGAATTCTAGGAGCATCCCTAGCACACTCAATGGGGCAGGACCTGTAAGTTTTCCAGGCATGACTTTGCCCACCCCGTATTTGAGTCACCCCAGATTGCCCACAGATAAAGATGTAGCCCTCTGGCACACACAGACCCCCTGTGCTAGTATTATTTATGAGGATGAAGGTATTGGCACTCACTAGCTAAGTCTCATTGATGGCAGTAGTTGCCTGAGTTTTCCTCATACAGTTTACCCCATACAATCCTAAAGCCTCTACGCAGAGGGCTAGCACTCTCCGATACTTGTTATCTTCATCATCATGAACACACATCTTTGTAATTAAAGGAGCCTGGTGCATCAAAGCACCTGCCCACCAAAGATTCGTTAGTTGTGGTCATGACATTTTTCCACAAAGTTATTTAAGTTAAAAGATAGCACCTTTGAATTCTTCCTATGTGGCATGTGCTAGGTCCTCACTCAGTAAGCTAGGACTTAAGGTCCATTACTGTACTCTGTGGCATTAGGAGTGCTAGAGTAGTTAACCACTGGCAAGATGAAAGGATCATTCTAGTCAATGAGAGAACAAGGTCGTGGATGGAGCATCCAGCACTTTGTCAGGTTACCCATGGTGTAACCATGGCACTTTGGAAGAGGCCACTAAGGCATTATGCTCACAGGCCTATAATGCCCCATCCTTGTGGAAAAGCAGACTGACAGTTTAATGCCCACCTCTCACCCTTTCCAGGGTCTCAGATGTTCTCTACCTATTGGATAAGAATTAGGCTGAGTTGGTATAGCAACCCGGTCTCTCTGTTTTAGTCCCAAGCTACTTCTGCAGACACCCATTGCCCTTGTTGCTTGACTCAAACCTTTCTGCCTCAATCATCCACTCCAGTACAAAGTTGGCATATCTCATAACATCATCCACCCAAATGGAAGGATCAGAGGTATCCAGCATCATTAGAGGGATTCTAGCAGTCTGTCATTCCTTAGTCCTGTACTCCACCCCTGTGGAATCCCCTTATAGGGGAGGTACCCAAGGGAAGTATAAACTCCAGATTAGAGACAGCGTGGCCTCTCTGGAGTACTATGGCACCCTGAACTGCAATTCATCCCCAGGACATGTACTCTATAGGGGAAAAGGAAAAAGAATTGTTGAGAAAGACTGAGACTTTACAGGCACAGACAGCCTAGTCAGGTGGGTTTCTCATCCACCTCCACCCCAACCAAGCTCAGTGTCCCTCAATATGCACTGCAGTGCTGTTTCCTTTGCATTGGTGCATAGTGTTTAGTGTTCCTATTGCCCTAGTCAGATGGGCTACCCCCTCACTAGCAGGACATCTTGATGTTCTTTCTTCAGTTGTTTTGTGAGTTCCATTATTCAATAACTCTATTAGCCTGAGGATGACAATGTATTTAAAAAGCCCATCTTTTTTCACTAATGTGTACCCATTATCTAGTTGCTTGAATAGCAAAAAATATTCCTTGGTCCAAGTAAAATCCCATGGGCTATGTAAAAGGATGGCAGAAATTCCTCTCAAGTGTGGCTATAGTTACCTCAGCACCCATATGATTGACATATATTTGTCTTTTTCAGACAACAAGCTGTTTTTCTTAGTCCTTGTCCTCACATGGATATCCTCTAACAGTCCAATCCTTCCATTGCCACTGTCCTGATCAGATGGCTAGGCTTTTGGCAATGGCCCATAAGTCACTGAAAATATAGCAAGATATGCGACAGAGGTAGCCTGCATGGCCATCACCACTGCATTTAGTTTGGCCCATTGGGTAGAATGCCCATGTCCAGTCTCAGTCAAAAGATAGCCATCCAGTGGCTGAATGGTGGTCCAGTGCATGTTGTCTGGCAGAGCTATCAGTAAACCATGCCTGTCAGGCTTCTGAGCCCAAGCTAAACCATCATATCCCCTGTGACCTGCACGTATACATCCAGGTGGCCTGAAGCAAGTGAAGAATCACAAAAGAAGTGAAAATGGCTGGTTCCTGCCTTAACTGATGACATTACTTTGTGAAATTCCTTCTCCTGGCTCAGAAGCTCCCCCACTGAGCACCTTGTGACCCCCGCCCCTGCCCGCCGGAGAACAATCCTCTTTGACTATAATTTTCCACTACCTACCCAAATCCTATAAAACGGCCCCACCCCATCTCCCTTCACTGACTCTCTTTTCAGACTCAGCCCGCCTGCACCCAGGTGAAATAAGCAGCCTTATTGCTCATGCAGTGTCTGTTTGGTGGTCTCTTCACATGGACGTGTGTGACATTTGGTGCCTGTTATCACCCCCCTGCTACAGCATGGGCTTGTAAAACCTATAAACTCTCCTTACAATTCTCCCATTTTACCTATTCAAACACCAGACAAGTCTTACAGGTTAGTTCAGGATCTGCTCTGGCCATCATGTCTCCGTGCAGCAGTTGCCATCACCCTAATGCTTTTAGAGGCCCTAAAAATCACAAACTGTGCTCAACTCACTCTCTACAGTTCTCATAACTTCCAAAATCTATTTTCTTCCTCACACCTGATGCATATACTTTCTGCTCCCCGGCTCCTTCAATTGTACTCACTCTTTGTTGAGTCTCCCACAATTACCGTTGTTCCTGGCCCGGACTTCAATCTGGCCTCCCACATTATTCCGGATATCACACCTGACCCCCATGGCTGTA
This sequence comes from Homo sapiens, assembly GCF_000001405.40. Lineage (NCBI taxonomy): Eukaryota > Metazoa > Chordata > Mammalia > Primates > Hominidae > Homo > Homo sapiens. The sequence continues at coordinate 9,848,307 of NC_000021.9, forward strand.
TCTCTCTGATCCACCTGACATTCACTCCGTTTCCCCATATTTCATTCTTTCCTGTTCCTCACCCTGATCACACTTGGTTTATCAATGACAGTTCCACCAGGCCTAATTGCCACTCACCAGCAAAGGCAGGCTATGCTATAGTGTCTTCCACATCTATCATTGAGGCTACCGCTCTGCCCCACTCCTCTACATCTCAGCA